>NT_187600.1:675696-1013544 GCF_000001405.40 Homo sapiens | reverse complement strand
ATGTAGAAGAAATATATTTATATCAATTAAATGTGTGCAAATATTGACAGACACACCATACCAGGAGTTCAACTTGCAAAGGGTAAAACCAAAAAAGTTTGAGATTGTTAATGTGCCATTTGAAGGTGAGATCGTTTTGAGGACCATGTCCTGTGAGAGTTTGTTTCTCTATTAGAGGAGTTCTGTACTCATAAAGTTCTGGACATGCCAGGAGACAAGTATCAGTAAACAAATATCAGAACTTGAACTTCAGCTTCCCACTCTTGCATTCTCCATGTGTCATCTCTCTACTATTTCTCATTCTAGATCAGGTCTTTAGCTATGAAATATTCCACCTAATTAACATGTAAATAGATTGAAGTCCACAGAGTTAAATATGTATATTTTCTCCTGTTTTTCCCAGTTGTTCCCTCCCACAGCTCCAATATTCTCCACTGTTACCATCACCTTCTAGATCTGCTGCCATGCCCTGCAGATTAAGGATTTGATTCCACGACAGAGAGGAGGTGCATTTCAATGGAACTTTGGTGAGAACCTCGGTTTTTATCCCATTTCCTCTGGGGCTCCACCAGTGCATCTGGAATAATGGGTTCAGTGGCTGGCCCCTGCAGGGTGATTCCTTAGTTCTGTAGTGAAGATGAGGGAGGTGGGTCTGAATGCATTTCAGAAGTATGGGCTCTCCTCTCTCAGACAGACACTTTGGGAAAATAAGATTTTTCTGACTGCACCCATTCTAGAACAAAGGAATTCAATTGGATAAGAATGCTGATAAAAAAAAACTCAAACCAAATTAAATTTAAAGGAGTTTAATTGAGCAATGGATGATTCATGAATTGGGCAGCCCCCGGAATCACAGCGGATTGAAAGAGAATTCAGTGCAGCCATGTGGTTGAAGAAGATTTATACATTTTTTTAAATGATGTACAGAAATCAGAAGTGAGGTACAGAAACAGCTGGATTGGTTACAGGCTGATGTTTGTCTTATTTAAACACAGTTTGCACACTCAAGAGTGTATGAGTGGTTGAGGTATGGCTGCTGAAATTGGCCAACGCTCAGCTGTTGGTGAGGTGCTCAGGTACATACTCCTGAGTTAGGTTTTCAATCTCGTCCACCTATTCAGGTAGGTTACAGTTTGTCCACAAGGACTCAAACATAGAAGTACGGAGTCCTCCTCAGGCCATATTTAATTCACTTTATCAGTGCCCTTCAGCATATGGTTCCTGAGAATTTCACACGGCAACATGTTTACCACCCTAGAATTTAAGCAATCCAATACATGTAATAGGCTGTATTTCACATGGCAACTTCTGCCTCAGTTTAGCTAACACTATGGCTTTGTTTCTCTCTACAAGAACTCATTTCTCCCAAAATTTCCATTTTCCTGAAAGGAAAATAAATCTTTGGGACCCTCATATCACTAAGCCAAAGGGAAAAGCCAAGCTGAAAACTGTTTGGGGCAAACCCACCTTCCATTCTTTCCCTAAAATGATAGCTGTTAAGGTGTTTACAAGCTACATATCTCCTTCAAAATTTGACCGCACAGAAAATCCTTGTTGACCAAGGACATTGTAGACCAAGCAGAGAGTCATTTCTCTGCTCACGTAAGTCAAATGCATATCTGATTGCTCCCTTTGCTCTATTGTTTCACTAAGCCAGACTAAGGCCTATGTGACTATTCCTGTAAACTGTGCATTCAGTTAAAGGCTAATCAGAAACTCAAATAATGCAACCATTTCTCTCATACCTACCTATGATCTGGTAGCTCTCCCCCCAACTTCAATTTGTCCTGCCTTTTTGAACTAAATAAATATACCTTACATATATTAATTAATGTCTCATGTCTCCCTAAATTGTGTAAAACCAAGCTGTGTCCCACCACACTGGGCACGTATCATCAGGACTCCCTGAGGCTGTGTCACAGGCATGTCCTTAGTCCTGGAAAAATGAACTTCCTAAATCTATTGAGATTAGTCTCAGATACTCTTTGGTTTATAAGTATGTTTTCTATCTCATAACTTCAATTATCTGAAATACTAAAGGAAATCTGCCAAATAACACATTATCTTGTTTATCTGTTATTGTTGTTGCAAAAATAAATATATTTATATAATTTATGTATAATTGATCATCTTTGTACATTACCAAACTGAGTAGCAGATTTGTTAGTAAGACCCAATGTAATAAAAAATTCAAATATCAATTAGCAACTTAATAGAAAAACAAATTACGCTACATTTGTTTGCCGAAATGCTACCAATTTTTATAAAAAAATAAACACATATAACATAAATGGTTTAATTCTCAGTATTTCTATTGAGAAAAATAAGCCAAATACATAAGCGAATATACTATATTATTTCATTCTTATAAATTCTACCAAATAAATACTAGTCTAAAGAAATATGAAAACATCAGTAGTTTATAAAGAAATGGTAGAAAAAGGGAAGGGGAAAAAACAAATAATATAAAAGATCAAGAGGAATGCTGAGGGGAGTTGACTTGTTACCTCATTGAAAATAGAGATTATTTTTTCAAAGTTTACTATTGCACATGTTAAATATGTGAATTTTATCATCTGTCAGTTAAAACTCATAAAATTTATTACAAGTAAACAGCCGACATTTTATACAAAAAAGGGATGATAGGAAGAAACAAATAAATACATTAAATGTCAGATACACCAAAAACTTATCTGCCTGACCCCTAGTTGTCTCCGTAATTTTTGGATGAAAACCAGCCCACCCCTGACCCTGCTGCTCTGGGAGAGGAGCCCCAGCCTTGGGATTCCCAAGTGTTTGCATTCAGTGATCAGGACTGAACACACAGGACTCACCAGGGAGTTTGTGCTAAGCTGGGTTTTCCTTGTTGCTATATTAAAATGTGATTCATGGAGAACTAGAGAGATTGAGTGTGAGTTACATGAGTGAGAGAAACAGTGGATATGTTTGGCAATTTCTGACCTTGGTGTCTCTGTGTTTGCAGGTGTCCAGTGTGAGGATCAGCTGGTGGAGTCTGGGGGAGGCTTGGTACAGCCTGGGGGGTCCCTGCGACCCTCCTGTGCAGCCTCTGGATTCGCCTTCAGTAGCTATGCTCTGCACTGGGTTCGCCGGGCTCCAGGGAAGGGTCTGGAGTGGGTATCAGCTATTGGTACTGGTGGTGATACATACTATGCAGACTCCGTGATGGGCCGATTCACCATCTCCAGAGACAACGCCAAGAAGTCCTTGTATCTTCATATGAACAGCCTGATAGCTGAGGACATGGCTGTGTATTATTGTGCAAGAGACACAGTGAGGGGAAGTCAATGTGAGCCCAGATACAAACTTCCCTGCAGGAACGCTGGAGGAAACCAGCTGCAGGGGGCGCTCAGGAGCCACTGATCAGAGTCAGCCCAAGAGGCAGGTGCACACAGAGGCTGATTTCCTGTCAGGGTGTGGGACTTCGTCTTTTTACCATTTCTCTAGGGAACCTCTCTAAGTTCAGAATTCTGTGCTTACCAGTGTCATCTCTACATGTTTTTTAATGATTATTTTAATATGAGAACCTATTCTTACATGCACAAAATGCAGATGGATGCTTACAGAGATGAAAAGTCCTCAACCATGGTCACCAGGATCAGCCTTGAGGAAACTCAGGGGTGCCTGGTGAATCTTCTCCAGTCAGACTCAGGACAGAAACCTCTGTGAGATTCCCTGACTAGATCAGTCTTCAGGAATTTTGATACCAGCCAATAGAGAGGCTGGGACAGGGTCAGTGTCATGTAGAACCTCACAGGTTTCACGTCTGACCCTTCTCCTTCTCCTGACACTAAAGTATGCAAATCAGTATCAGCACTGATCTGGGTCCCCTTTTGCTCTTAAACCATTCTATTTCTTTTTATTTGTTGTTGTTCTTGCTTTTCCTCGTACTTCTCTTGCTCCCTGTAAAATGGGGAGGTGTTTCTTGCTGCAAAAGCCCCAAGCCTCAAGCCCATTCCCTGCAGCTCAGGCGGGGCTCAGGCTGTGGCTCCTGCAGCCACATGGGAGTGGCTGTTGGGGCTTTCTCTTCTCCCATTGCTCAGCACCCTCCAGTGTGTTGTGTGGAGACTACCTGGGAACGAATGTGGACAACAGGAGTGAAGGGGATGAGCTTGCGTGGACAAAATGGGATGTGGATGTGAAATTTATCCTGTGCTGTACAAACAACCACAGATTCAACTTCCTCACCAGTAGTATTAGAAAGAGGGTGTGAAAGTTGTCAGAATAAAAATGGAAACACTTGTGTTAACACCCTGACAAATGGAACTAGGAATGACCATGAAGAAGTTTCTCATGCATATACTCCAGAAAACAAGAACTACCGTAAATGGATTCTGCTTAACCACAGCCTTGGATAGAAGAAACCACAACCTTACAAAAATCACTTCTACAAGGATATCTTCCCAGCAACTCCCTGTTTAACCCTACAGTGATGCCACCCTTAGTCCTACAAAAATCACTTCTACAAGGATATCTTCCCAGCAACTCCCTGTTTAACCCTACAGTGATGCCACCCTTAGTCCTGATTCTAGGAGCACAGGATAATCCTCTCAAAATGACTTATGTAACCCACCTCATTTTCACTGCGTAAACCTATGGATTCACATCCTGGAGTCACTGCTGCATTTGTTCTTAATGGTCATTAGCCCCTTTCACAATATTTGAGGCTGTTTTTCTCTGATGTCTCTTCTAAAATAAAGAATTTCCAAGTGGACAGCAGTAAAGAAGCTATTTAGGAAGATGTAATGGGAAGGCATCTTTAACATTCTGTTGAATGTTTCCACATGGCACTTCAATCCCCTAAAATACTTTGCTGTATCAGCATGTGATGAATCGGAGTATAATATTGAAGGTAAAATGGGAAATACATGGGCTTTTGATGAATCAAGTCATAGGATGAGAATGTCTGTGTCCTTGAGGAAGGAGACCATGGGTTGTAAGTTCTAGTGGAGGTACCTTTGGCAAAGGGAGTTCATGAGTTTCTGAACCTTATGCTACTTTTAATTTAAGGAAGCAATTTATGATGTATGTTTACTTAAATCTTTCCAGAGACATTTGTCAGTAAGGACAGGGTAGCATTTGTGTAATAGTGATGACTTAGAGAGTTATTTTGTAATTGCTCCTGTAAGGTATGCACATTGCTCACTTGATACAGAAGTTCAAATGTCACAGGTGGAAAAACAGGAATAAAGGTGGGCAGATCACAAGGTAAGGATCACAAGGTTAACCATCCTGGCTAACACGGTGAAACCCCATCGCTACTAAAAAATACAAAAAATTAGCCAGGCATGGTGGCGGGCACCTGTAGTCCCAGCTACTCAGGAGGCTGAGGCGGGAGAATAGCGTGAGCCCGGGAGGCAGAGCTTGCAGTGAGCCGAGATCACACCACTGAACTTCAGCCTGGGCAACAGAGGGAGACTCCATCTCAAAAAAAAAAAAAAAGAAAACAGGAATAAAGCAAATTTTATGAACTGTCATGACTGTAGTTTTTGGCAAGGACATTATCATGTCAACCTGTAAATAAACAGACAACAATAAAACATATCAAATCCATGGGGAGTCTGACCTGTGTCCCTCTGTCTTATAAGCACAAGGCTTTGCCACATCCAAAATATTATTCAGGCTCCAGGGTATAAAATGCTTTTGGACTGTGGAAGGTAACAGCTCTCCCCTCAGGCAGGGGTAAGGTATCTGGGGAATGCAGAGTTGTGTTCATAAGGAAGATGTCATTATCGTGTCTTCTCCTGTGCCTGGTAGCAGGTCCTGAAGGTGAGCGTCTCAGATGTCAGACATGGGTCTATCGGGTTAGGATAGGTACATGTGACTGACAGGGACTGATTCTCCATGTAATCACATGCCCTGTCCCAGGAGCAGCTGCAGGAGTCAGCCCTGGACCTGAATAGCACACACTTACCCTCTGCCTCACCTACACTGTTACTGGCCACTCCGTCACAACCAGTCCTTACTAGTGGACCTGGATCTGCCGGCTCTCAGGGAGGGGCTGCAATGGATAAAATCCATTGCTAGTGGTGGTGGGAGTCCATTTGTCTTGTGGAAAATGGCAGCATTTCCTTATTTTATAAGGCATAATAATGCTATGTTGTGTACACATACCACATTGTCTTTATCCATTTGCCCATTGACAGACACTTAGTTTCCATATCTTGGCTGTTGTGAATACAGCTGCAATAATCACAGGAGCGCAGGTATCTTCACAAGGCGGTAATTTCATCTCTTTGGGTATATTTCCATAAGCTGCATCACTGGTCATATGGTATTTCTGTTTTAATTCATTTAGGAGCCACCACACTGTTTTGCCTAATGGTAATGATGGGAATACAGAATGTCATAGCCGCTACGAAGAACAGTTTTAGATTTGAGGTATAATCCAAAAGCAAATAATGTTTGATCAGGGTTCTCATATGAGGCTCTAATAAATAAGTCCAGAAAGTTTTCCCATCTTGGGCAAGGATGAGTTTGCCCCTAATTGTCTTTGAGGAAGAAGATTGGCAGAACGTGAGATGGAGTCTGTTGGCAGGATTCAGGATTCAGTAATAACTAGTAATGGCACAGAAAAATAGAGAGATAGAGACATACAGAGAAAGAGAGAATATGAATCTCATAAGAGGAAAATTTGCTAAATATCAGCATTGGGTTTTCAGTCATAGACACATTTGTATGAGCCAGGAACCATGGAGTCAAGTGAGGAGTGGAGAATATGTTCAGTCCAAAAATCAGCATATTCTCAGAGGCACCCATTGCCCCATCACACAGGTGGAGAATTTTGGAAACCAGTGAAGTGCGAGTTCACATTAGGTGATTAAGCTACCATGTTTCGATAAACTTTCATTAACATGCAAAGTACTTCCATAGATAACTGATGCACAAATATACGAGATGCCTTTTTGCGTTTATGGATGTCTAGAGAAAAATAAGTGAGAAAATTTTTCCAGGTTGCAGAGATCTGTTTAAGTTGCAGATTCCATAGGAGAGTGTCTTTGAATGAATACTGTTCTATTAATTAAATAGGTCAAAATTCCCTCTGTTGGAGCAGCCTTCCAATTATATAGATTTCTTTATAGCTTCTTGAGTTGTGAAACATAAACCCAAGGATTGACTTACTGGAATATGACTGCTGTGTTGATTAAATTTCTGATAAGGTTTCTTCCAATGATTTGAGAATAGCTTTCCTGTTTTTTTACTCAAGGAAATGAATTTTCACAAGGTCTCAGGACATCACGTTTCAGGTGCTTTAGTTAAAGAGACTCTTCTTGGGGGCAGTCAGCTTTCTTCCAACCATGAGCTCATTTCTTCAGCAAACCATTCGCTTTGTGCCTCTATTAAGAATTATGAAGCTTTTGTACTTCAATGCACTGAAAATCATGCCCCTTGAATTAAATGTTGATTGGCACTGACATGAATTGGCCACTCTTGTATATGTGTCCTATGTTATGGGCTCAACATAACAGTGGACAGAGAATCGTCCATTAGCTGCCTCTGATTGTGGCACTGACCAGATTGAGAATCCTCAGAGTCATCCATGAAAAAGAGAGTCCTTAGGTTCATGAGGTTCTTGGAGACATTCAGGTAAGTGGAGGAGAGAAACAGGATTGGGGGCTGCCAGCCATTTCAACAAGACTGGGAACAATTATCATCTACGTTTAAAGGTCTACATCATTCCAAACACCCTCCAGGTTTCTCTGAGTTCATTGTGATGATTACATTCAGCTGCTTCTCCAGTGAGTTTAAATGAGCATGTGGCAATTCAGATGAGCCTGGCTGTGGGGTTTATTATATGTAAATCTGAACTACATAAACAAAGAGGGCATGTCTGACCGTATGAGGGTGCAAAATCCTGGAGACCCCACACCCCACACTCTTGTGCTTTCTTTTCTCCAGCAACCTCCAGGTTTTTTTGTATGAGAATTGTAATAGATTATCTCATGGCTAAGTCATCAAGAGACGTAAACTCTGAGAAATACAAGCAGAAAATTCTCCAGATAGAAGATCCAGGGGAAGAACATTTCTAGCACCTTATCTATGTAGGGGAAGGCAGTCCATCTCCATTACAGACCCCTCACAGCAGCCTTCCTTTATAAGGAAAATGGGTCAAATTAGCCAATAGGGTAAGAATCCTATAATGTTCCAGCCAGAAAAGGGAAAGCATCAATTTGACTTCTGGAGACTCTGTATATAGGTCACATTCCATAGAAAGAAGAGCACTAAATTATTAAGATTCAATTGTAACTACATATGATACTTCCGGGATGCACAAATTAAAGATGAAAGTGTGACAATGCACAGGCTCTGTCAGAGAAGGAGAACGTAGGGAAACTGAAAGAGAATGGCAGAGAGTAAGACAAGGACAGAAGAGCAATATGAAGCCTCTGACATCAACTCTGTAAGGACAAGGTCTTGGCAACTCCCGCATTGACCACAGATTCTGTTACCATGGGCCATTTGCAGGGTTCCTAGCTAAGGAAAAAGAAAAAAAAAAAAACTGCATGCACTTCCCAAGTCTCCACTTGTATCCTGTTTTTCTTAGATCTCTAGGACAAAAAAAATGGCATAAACCTAGACCTAGTGTCAGTGTAGGAGGTACTTTCTTTATAGGCAAGACACTAGGAAGAAGGGAAAATGTGTGTTATTGGACTAGGAGATACAGAGATGGCTTTAATCTGAATAGATCTACACCCGCAGGTATTCTCGAATGCAACATTCAACTACAAGAGCCTAATGAAGAAACACGACCCTCCCCAAACCCCTGCAAGCTCTTGTATTCACTGTGTCTCCACTGATTTAGTGCACCTGGAGCTTCAGAGCACTGGCTCCCTCCTGTGTCCTAGAATCTTTTCTTTGGGTCTTTCTGCAGAATTCAATAGGATTAGTTAGGCTAATCAATTGTTTCAAGAGATGGTGTTGGCAGCATATATTGTCGCTGGAAGAGTATTCTAAGCCAGGACACAGGCACTTTATGCCGGACTAAAGACTCTGGAGAAAATGTTTTGTGAGCCCTGACAGAAACCTCCTTGAAAGGTAAGGGCTGGGCAGGAGGGGCACTCAGGAGCCACGCAGCACACGGTCCAGCCCTAGAACAGGAGGCTGGGGAGGAGGTTTCCTCTCAGGGCCTCGGTTTTCCTTCGTCAGAAAAAAAAAAATCTAAAATAACCGTTCAACAAGTTGCTGATATGCCTTCAAATATCCTGCTACAATGGAACAATTCATATAACTTCAGGCAATGAGAACTATTTTTTAAATCGGGCTTCTAGGATTATAAGTATCTTAATAGTGAAAATGTGAAGAATAGGTATGATTTTACTATTTCAATGGATACAGAATTGTGGGAGTCACTATATTCCTATGAACAAAAAATTCAGATTTCAGTGTTAAGTAATGTTGCCTACATTGTGTGAGTGACGGGGCAGTGGTGGATCTGAGAGTGTGGTGGGTGCACGGACATAATGATTCAGAAAGCAATATGGAAAGATGAGTATCTATGGATACGAACTGAAAGTATGTAAATACTTCACAAAATACTAATAAACGGAGTTGAATATAAAACCCATAATTATCCAAAACACAAATTTCTTGGAAGTTATTTTGGGAACATGATTTCATAAAGAACTCCAAACTCTTGTTTCAACTTCTGACTCCTCGTTTCTGTGATATAAGAAAACCATTTCCAATTATGCATCTCAGGGCAATTCTGTAAACCCAGAGCATTTCTGCTGAAGATCCTGGGGAATCAAGACACCGGGCAGGTGATGGAGACACTGTCTCAGGTGCGCCCAACGAATCTCAGAGGAACCTGCTGGAGAGTCACGTGGAACATCTACAGTCAGTTTCTCAGAGTCAACAGTGAGCTGTGTTGGTGCCTGAGGGGACCATGATGGGGCCAAGGCACGTGCTCAGTGTCGTGGACAGTGATGGTCCAGAAATGATCTAGATGGTCTTGACGCTAATGAAATATGGGTTCAGAGTGAGGAGCATAATCTGTGGGGACTTGTTCTTCAGTGAAAGGATCCTGTCCGCAAACAGAAATGGAGCAGGACATGCATTTCTTCAAGCAGGATTAGGGCTTGGACCATCAGCATCCCACTCCTGTGTGGCAGATGGGACATCTATCTTCTTTCTCAACCTCGATCAGGCTTTGAGGTATGAAATAATCTGTCTCATGAATATGCAAATAACCTTAGATCTACTGAGGTAAATATGGATACATCTGGGCCCTGAAAGCATCATCCAACAACCACATCCCTTCTCTACAGAAGCCTCTGAGAGGAAAGTTCTTCACCATGGACTGGACCTGGAGGGTCTTCTGCTTGCTGGCTGTAGCTCCAGGTAAAGGGCCAACTGGTTCCAGGGCTGAGGAAGGGATTTTTTCCAGTTTAGAGGACTGTCATTCTCTACTGTGTCCTCTCCGCAGGTGCTCACTCCCAGGTGCAGCTGGTGCAGTCTGGGGCTGAGGTGAAGAAGCCTGGGGCCTCAGTGAAGGTTTCCTGCAAGGCATCTGGATACACCTTCACCAGCTACTATATGCACTGGGTGCGACAGGCCCCTGGACAAGGGCTTGAGTGGATGGGAATAATCAACCCTAGTGGTGGTAGCACAAGCTACGCACAGAAGTTCCAGGGCAGAGTCACCATGACCAGGGACACGTCCACGAGCACAGTCTACATGGAGCTGAGCAGCCTGAGATCTGAGGACACGGCCGTGTATTACTGTGCGAGAGACACAGTGTGAGAAACCACATCCTCAGAGTGTCAGAAACCCTGAGGGAGGAGTCAGCTGTGCTGAGCTGAGAAAATGACAGGGGTTATTCAGTTTAAGACTGTTTAGAAAACGGGTTATATATTTGAGAACAAAGAACAATAGAAACACAATCGAATTGTAAGAGAAATATTCCATTCAAGAGCCACCACATAAGCCAAACTGACAGAGTGGGAAAGGCCACACTCAGTAAAGTTGATACAAACATACCATAAAGGTGCTACTATGAACAAGTTTTTGAATTAGATGAATAAATCATTTGGAGCAAGGTTATTTGGTCATATGTTAAGAGTAAGCATGATTCTTACAAAGTGGGAAAATTGTCTTTCAAATGTTTCTGTCACTTCTTACCATAAAGTTCATTTTAGAGGTTTTAGGATTACAGTGAAATTGCACAGAAGGTGTGAGAATTCCCATGAATCCCTGCCCCGCACGGACACCGCCTCCTCCACTACAGCCATCCTGCCCCACAGTCACAAATAAGTCACAATGGATGAATCTACAAGAACTCTTGGTTCTTTCTTTTTCTGGTGATCCCCTAATATAACAAGCCTAAATTATCTTGGAACACCCAGGTATTTTCAATGGCTTTCTAGAAGTGATATTAGTCAGAGGGAAAGTGAGTGAGGCTATTACTATTTGAGCACTTTCTTCCAAAATCCACAAAATATATGTTAATTTGGAGTTTTTCTTACTTCTGGTTTACAATGTCCCTTCCCAGAGAGTAAGATTTTTAAGCTTTTAGTGAGGCTGGAAAAAAAAATTTTTAAAAAAGAGAAATAAGCTTTCCTGTATTAGGCTGACTTATCCCAGCGGCAGCAACAAGCACAGCCCAGACCCAGGAAAAGTCTTAATAATATTATCTAATGTGCTCTGGAGACTCTTTCAGCACTCCCTCAACATAGGGAGAAGAAAAACAAATTTTCCTTTGTCTTATGATATGAGTTTATAGATTCTTGTTCTCTGTAACTAGTAACTTCAAGTATTCTGTTTTATCTAAGAAGCACAACGAAGGTCATGAGAAGCCTGAGCAGGCCAGAACTACAGCTGTCTAGGTACCGGAGTGAGTGTTATGAGATCAACCAGTGCAAGGCTCTTTAGAACAAAACCTAGATAACAGACATCTGGGTTGCATAGCAATGGTCATGTGTAATCCTGAGTTATGAACCTGTTACAATTTGATTAACTGTCTCTGTCCTGCCTCCGTATCCCTGCTTTTGTGCACTCTAAGCTTGCTTCAAGCTAGCCCACCCCATTTTGGGAAGTGTGTATAAAAGTCAAGCGCTCTCTTTGTTCTGTGCCCAGTCTTTGGTCATTGAGTCTGCTGGGTCTGGGTGTACTCAGTAATAAAAATATCCTCCTGTATACACCCCAAGATCTCTCTCTGGTCCTCCAGATTCTGCAACATTTCAGGCAGATTCACATCTCTAAAAGGCCAGCAAGTTCTGGTCAATCCCATAATGAAAATCCTTTAATGAGACTTGGCAAACGTGACAATAAGAGACTCCTTGTATAATGCCCTAGAGTTGGATTAGACACACTGTGAGCTCTTGGGTGGTGGTTCTGAATAAGGCAGTTTGTGCAGCAAATGCAAACACATGCATGGGATCCAGGCAGGAACAAAAGCTTCCCTTTACAAAGTGGGTGGGCATCTGGAGGGAGCCCTCAGAGGTGGGCAGTGGTCGTCCTTGCTGACTGCACATTAGCCAGAGGCGTGACCATAATTGGTCTTGCAGGGAAAGAGCACCACTGAGGTCATAGGTTATGAAAATGTTTGTCATCCTCCAGTGAGCAAGTCCATCTGCTTGCTTGTGGGTGTCAACTCCATGGTGGATACACTCTGGGAGATGACAAGATGCACACAAACCTCCTCTCACTAATTATCCACTACCACACACTCAAGACCAACCTTTGCTCCAGAAAGGAATACGTGTCTGTGGAAATAGACAGAGCTTAAGTATTTTGTAACCTGGTGAACATACTGTGCAAAACCAAACGTTTCAGGAAGATTAGCTCAGAAATGTTTATCAAGTGACTGAAGGGCAGTGGCGGGTGAGGTGATGGGACAGCCTCAGGGCTGCACATGAGGAGGGCTCCCTCTCCCATGCAGGCTTTTCCTCCAGGAGCTGCACCAGGAACTCAAGGAAGATCAGGGAGAATTCTGAGAACACCCTGCTGTGGAGCTGCCTAGAGAAGAAGAATAAATGATGAAAAATACAACTCTGAGTAATGCATGGGTTTTTGTTCATGAAAACTCTCTCTCTGAAAGCTTGTGAAGGTCTTGAAATACCCCTGATTAGCTGAAGACAAACATTTAAACCCTCCTTCCACAGGGAGTTCAAGCAGGCTGGATGTGTCCTTCTATGGATGATCTTCCTCAGCCCCTTCCTCTTCCCAGCTCATCACTGGCTCTCTGTGTAAAAAGTTCTCATCAGCGGAATGTGGTTGATGAAGTGAGGTCTTCAATTTTCTCATCTTCTATGTGGTCATGTTATTTTCCTCATCTGAAGTTTAAAAACTCACCTGCATGCAGCACATGACAGGCTAAAATCTCTTGTGGACAAAACAGTAACAAAGGCACCCACCATGGTTGAGCATCCCGTGTTGCTGACAACGACCACCAGGGGTCAACGTCCTCTTCACAATCCTGTGTGAGAGCAGCACTTGAGTGATTTCAATAACAACTTCCCAGGAGAATCAGCTGAAAACTACTTGTCCCATTTTCCATACAGATATAACCCCTCTATTTTCCTGAAGAAATAGAAAGAGCTGAATGCTGAATACACTGAATGTCTGCTGGTTTTGCAAGTTTGTGACTATATCACTTTCTAATTTCTGACCTGTGCAGACCACTGTACAGACTTTTCTCACTGGTGGGACCAGCCTTCCAGATGTCAAATATAACTGAGCTTCTTCATATAAAAGTCAACACAAGCTCCTCATGGTTTCAGTGCTCACTGAATGGAGTTGGAAATAAAACCCACAATTATCCATAACACAAATTCCTTGGAAGTTATTTTGGGATAATGAGTTCATAACCTGTAGACCAAGAGTCCAAGAGTGTTTCTATTGAAGAGCCTGGGGGATCAAGACACCAGGCAGGTGATGCAGACACTGTCTAAAGAGTGCCCAGCGGCTCTCAGAGGGACCTACTGGATACTCACGTGGGACATCAGCAATCACTTTCTCAGAGTCACCAGTGAGCTGTGCTGGTTCCTGAAGGGTCCAGGATAGGGCCAAGGCACCTGCTCTGTGTCGTGGAGAGTGATTGTTCCAGAAATCATAGAGGTGGTCTCTATGCTTATAAAATCTATGTTCACAGTGAGAAGTCTGTTCTGAGAGGGCTTATTCTTCAGTGAAAGGACCTCTGCCCACAAATGTTCATAAATGGAGCAGGGCATTCATTTCCTCAAGCAGGATCAGGGCTTGAGTCATCAGCATCTCACTCTTGCAAGGCTGATGTGTCGTTTGTCTTCCCTTTCTTATCATCGACCAGGCTTTGAGCTATGAAATGCCCTGTCTCATCAATATGCAAATAACCTGAGATCGACTGAGGTAAATATGGATATGTCTGTGCCCTGAGAGCATCACCCAACAACCACATCCCTCCTCTAGAGAATCCCCTGAAAGCACAGCTCCTCACCATGGACTGGACCTGGAGAATCCTCTTCTTGGTGGCAGCAGTCACAGGTAAGGGGCTCCCAAGTCCCAGTGATGAGGAGGGGATTGAGTCCAGTCAAGGTGGCTTTTATCCACTCCTGTGTCCCCTCCACAGATGCCTACTCCCAGATGCAGCTGGTGCAGTCTGGGGCTGAGGTGAAGAAGACTGGGTCCTCAGTGAAGGTTTCCTGCAAGGCTTCCGGATACACCTTCACCTACCGCTACCTGCACTGGGTGCGACAGGCCCCCGGACAAGCGCTTGAGTGGATGGGATGGATCACACCTTTCAATGGTAACACCAACTACGCACAGAAATTCCAGGACAGAGTCACCATTACCAGGGACAGGTCTATGAGCACAGCCTACATGGAGCTGAGCAGCCTGAGATCTGAGGACACAGCCATGTATTACTGTGCAAGATACACAGTGTGAAAACCCACATCCTGAGACCGTCAGAAACCCCAAGGAGGAGGCAGCTTCACTGAATGAGGAGGTTACAGGGCTTACGATGTTTAAAGTTGTTCAGAAAATAGGCTAAGCAATTGAGGAATATGAGTAATAGAAATATGTATGCACTCTATACAGGAAATATTTCTAATAATTGTCACCCTATATGCAAAATTCGCAGAGAGGTAAAAGCAGAAATCAGTCAAGCTGATGCAAAGTTCCCCACGTAGGCTTTGTGCAGATGTAAGTTCTAAAATCAGATAGATAAATAATTTGGAGCAAGATTGCTTGATAACATGGCTAATGCTGAATATGATTCCTAAAAACTGGCCAAAATATATTCCAATTTGTCTCTGCCACCTCTCTTACATAAAATGTATTAAAAAGTAGTTTTAAGACCACAGCAAAATTGAACAGAAGGTGCAGAGATTTCCTATGTGCCCCTGCTTCACACATGCACAGCCTTCCCCACTGTCACCATCCTGCCCCAGAGTCATCAATAAGTTACAATGGATGAACTTACATGGATGGATTGGTTCTTTCCTCTTCCGGCGGTCCCTTGGCATACCAAGTCTAAACTATCTTGAAGCACAACAGGTTCTTCGAGTGGGTTCCTGGGAATGAAGCCAGTTAGAGGAAAAGTGGGTGGGGCTATTCCTATTAGGAGTCTTTTTTAGAAGACTCATAAAATGTATATGTTCCTATAGATTCTGTGACTCCTGACTTAGTATCCCTTCCCAGACGGTAAGCTTCCTAAATGTTTAGAGGCAGATCCATATCTATGGAAAGAAAGCAAGTTCTAGTGAATCCCATAAGGAATGTCCTTTAATGAGAAGTGGAGACCTTGGTCATGAGGCACATCATGTATGATTTTCTATAATTCCTTTAGATTCACTGTAAGCTTTTGAGGGTGTTTCTGGATGAGGCCCTTTGTACAGAAAATGAAAACTCAGGCATGAGTTCCAGGCACAACCAACCAACTTCCTTCCAAAGTGGGAGGGAATAGAAGAAACCCTCTCCTGTGTGGGCGCTGGTCCCCCTCCATTGCTGGCTGCACATTAGCCAGAGGCATGAGCCCAATTAGTCTTGGAGGGTGACAGCCCCACTGGGGTTGCTGGCTATAGAAATGCCTGTCCTCTTCCAGCTGAGTGAGTCAACCTGCTCGCTTGTTGGAGTCAACTGCATGGCAGGTGCACTCTGGAAGATGACAAGATGCACACAAACCTTCTGTAAAGTATCAATTACTACACACTCAAAACCAAACTGTATTCCAGAGACAGGTGTCTGCAGGGATAAACAGAATTTAAGCATTTTTTGAATAGGGAAGACACTGCCAAATGCCATATGTTTCAGGAAGTTTAACTCAGAAATGTTGATGACATAACTCAGAAACGTGAGGTGACATGACAGCCTCAGGGGCTGCACATGAGGAGGGCTCACTTCCCCATGCAGGCTTTTCTTCCAGGAACTCTACCAAGAACTCACAGAAGATGAGGGAGATTCTGAAAACATCATTCTGTGGTGCTGCCCAGGGAGGAAAAATAAGATATGGGAAAAAAAAACTATATAAATTATTAGATTTGTTAATACAAACTATTTCTGAAGCCTTGTGGAGGTCCTGACATAAGCCATCATTAGCTGTGAACAAATATCTACACCCTCCTTTCCTGGGGAGTTCAGTTAGGTTGCGTCTCTTCTTTTATGGACAGTATCCCCCAACCCCTTTATTTCCTGCACACCTGCTGCTCTCCATGGGACGAGTTCTCATCAGTGAAATGTGGTTGATGTAGTGAGGTCTTCACTTTTCTCATTGTATTAGTCAGGATTATCTAGAGGGAGAACTAACAGGATAGAGGTCTGTATTTGACGGGGAGTTTTTAAGGAGGACTGACTCACACGATCACAAGATGAAGTCTCGTGATAGGCCGTCTGCAAGCTGAGGAGCAAGGAAGCCAGTCCAAGTCCCAAAACCTCGAAAGTCAGGAAGACGACGGTGCAGCCTTCGGTCTGTCGCCAAAGGCCAGAGAGCCCCTGGCAAACCACTGGCTTAAGTCCAAGAGTGAAAAAGCTGAAGAACTTGGAGTCTGATGTTCGAGGGCAGGAAGCATCCAGCATGGGAGAAAGATGGAGGCTGGAAGACTCAGCAAGTCTAGTCTTTCCAATTTCTCCTACCTGCTTCATTCTAGCCATGCTGGCAGCTCATTAGATGGTGCCCAGGGAGGTTGAGGTTGGGTCTGCCTCACCCAGTCTACTGACTCAAATGTTAATCTTCTTTGGCAATACCCTCACAGACACACTCAGGAACAATTCTTTGCATCTTTCAGTGCAATCAAGCTGACACTCAGTATTAAACATCACACTCATCTTCTGTGTTGTCATGTTCCTCTCTTCATCTGAGGTTAAGGAACTCACCAGCATGTAGCACATCGTAGCTTAATGTCTCTCATGGACAAAATAGTGGCAAAGGCACCCACTAGGGTTAAGCATCCTGTGTCGCCGACAGCCACCACCACAGGACCAAGTCTCTCTACCATCCTGTGTCAGGGCATCGCCTCAGTGATTGTATTGGCAACTTCCCTCGAGAGTCATCTTAAAAACGGCTTGTCTCATTTCCCACGAAGGTATAGCCCATCCATTTTCTCTTCCTAGCAAAATGGAAAAGGATGAATACACGGAATGTCTCCTGGTCTTGCAACTTTGTGACTTTATTCCTTTCTAATTTCTGATCAATGCAGCCCACTGTACAATTTTTTTTTTCACTGAAATGACCCACATTCTGGATGTTAAATATAATTGAACTTCCTCATTTATAATTCAGCACAAGTACCTCAGAGTTTCTGTCCTCATGCACCACTCTAAACTTACACAAGTTGTTTATTTATTTGTTTTATTTTCTGGCATCTCTACTTGGCGTCTTCATCATACCCATTTTATGTTATTTCTACAAATGATTGTTAAAATTTATAGGTACTTAATTAAATATTCAGGAAACAAGAGAATAAAATGAATGTAAAATAAAATAAAAGTAAATAAATTAATATTTAAAATAAAGAAGCCAGCAGCTGAAAGCAAGGAAAATCTATTATGCTGGGTCAGAGAGTATGGAGAACTCATAGTACAATATCTTCTGCACGTTAATCATTACTTCTACTCAAGTTACAGGGTCCTCTCTCTTTATATCAGAGCTTTCCCTAACATGTGCAATGAAGACTGAACACAGATTCCTCCCTCAAGACTGACCTAGCATCTCTCACTGAGCCTGAGCTGACAAGTCATAGATATCACATTTGTCTAAGAAAATAATGACACCCTGTAAAGTTACCTACCAGCGATATGGAGACAATTTGAATAATATAAATAAAGCCTAAACTTGATAGGTAGTCATTTATCCTTAGAAGGATTGACTGCTGTCTCTACATGTGTTTTTTATCACAGAGAAGCTACTAGTGCCACAGTCCAAGTTGCTGAATATTTTATTTCCTAGCATGAGTTACTACAGAATGTGTTCAACATGAAAGAATGCAGCTGTTGTTAAGGGAGAGGAGATGTGATTATGGAACACGAGCAGGGATCCAGCAGACATTCCTCTTCCACGTTTGCCCCAAAACAGAGACACCAGTAAAACGATGAAATGATTGACTTTAGTCTCCACAGTCTAATGTGAGATTTATACCAGATGTTTTCTGCCACTGTTTTATAGTAGAAAATATAATCTCTAAAGAAATTCCATTTTTAGAGACAATACCATCCTCCAGGAAGCTGCAAATGCCCATAACAGAGAGTATTATAGTGCCTTGTGGCCAGGAGCTACAACACCTGGGTTTGGAAACTAATGGACAGAAATATCAGGTTTTCTTGCCAAATCTATGATGAAAATTTGGAGAATGTTTCTTTCCATCTCCATAACAATATGTTGTGATGGAGTGGAGGTCCTGGTACATAAGAAGGTATGTGTTCACAGTGGGTACAGAATTAGACCCATAAAATGATTGTTCTACTGGGGTTCCCTTGTTGTTGGACCAGCTGACCAAGAAAGTGTTGTAAGAGGTGTAGTATTTAGTGAATACTGTCATATTTTTGAAGGTACCATATTTGAAGCTACCAGGAGAAACAGAGATACATCAATCTAGCCTAGGGAGACTCTATGAATTTATTTTATTTCCTTCAAAATGAGGTAAAAAATTGCATCAGTTGAAATGCCGATGATAATCAAGTGATGAAAGACAACATCCACTCAGTGTTTTAGGTGTGGTTTAACCCAAAAGTTATACAATATGTGAGAACCTGAACTCTGGAGCCCTGGCCATCTCTCAGAAGAATCTAGAAGGTAGACTGAGCCTCTACCACAGTGTGATGTCCATGGAGACTGGGGATGGCTACTGTCTCAATCTTGGGATCACGGAATAGTCTTAATATGATTCTGTGTGTATGTGGATCATTGTGTGTAAGTGGGAGGATTCCTATAACTGTGTCTGTGTGTTTGTGAGTGTCTATGTTTCTGTGTGTGAGCTTGTGTGTCTTTGTTTTATTTTAAAATGAGTAATTTAGTTTCTGATCATTAGACTGTGTCTTTGAGGGAGTGTGTGGGAGAATGTGCATGCCTGTGTCTGTGAGTTAGTTTGTAAAAGGGTATGTTATATTGAATGTGTGTGTCTGGGTCCTTCAGTATTTGAGCCTATTAATTTACATGAACATGAATTTTTTGAAGGTGTGTAAGTATAAAACTTTTGTAAATGTAATTGTTTGAATGCTAGTGTGTGCAGAGCTATTTGAGTGTGAATGTGTTACTTGTATTACTTAGTGAGTGTGTGCCCCTATGTGAGTTTGTTTGGGTGAGTCATTACCTATGACTCTACATATGAAGGTGTTGAGGGTGTGTGTGAGTCTGTGAGCATGTTTTCATTACCTATGACTCTACATATGAAGGTGTTGAGGGTGTGTGTGAGTCTGTGAGCATGTTTATGTGCATGTGAAATGTTGTTATGTATGCTTTGAAAGACTTGTCTCTTGACCTCAATATCATTTGTCTGAAAATACCAGGTATGTTTAAGCCCTTAGAATCTAAGGAATAGTTTGTTGTTTAGGATAAATCCTCAATAAGATTAACAACTGATTTCTCACCAAAAATCAGGAAGGCCAAAGCTCACTGGAGTGGCATATCAAAAGTGCTAAAATACACTATCAATCAAAAATTCCATACTAGCAAGAACACCTTCAAAAGTGAAGGAGAAATCAAGATAATAGAAATAAACAAAAGCTATGGAGTCCATCAAAACCACAAATTCCTAATGAGAAATACTAAATAGAGTCCTGCAGGCTGAAATGAAAACAGAGTGGAGAATATTTAAAAATCTTACACCTAAAAGAACAACAACAACAAGTATCCCAGTAATCACATTTGTGTAATGAAAACCAATATTGTTTTATTTTTGCCTTGAGTCTCATGTTCTATTCCTTTTTTAAAAAAAAAATAGATATAATAGTAATGACAAATTTGAATAATGTGCCTATAATTTATGGTTATAAAATTCATTATAAATTTGAATAATGTGCATATAATTTATAATGTATGAATATGTAACAACACAATAAGTGAAAATGGATACAGCTGTAGAGAAGCAGAGTTGTATGCACTATTGAACTAAGGCAATCATAATTTAAACTACTCTGTTATAAATCTGAATTACCAATTGTAATATCCAGGTTAGCTATAAAAACTTAAGTAAAAGTAAAAAAAAAAAAAAATTAGCAGGACAGCTGACTAAACGTGCCTGACACTCTTCAACCCCACATGAAATAACCACAGAAATGAATAAACAGCTGAGACTAGAGAAATTCAACAGAGTTAGATATCATACAAAATAATAAAGCAAAAAGCTTACAGCTGAAGAATTTAATGAATAAAATAAAAATGCAGTTTACAGATTCAATAACAGAAAATAACGAGCAAAAATAAGAATTTCTGAGCTTGAAGACAAGTCTTTCAAAATAATTCCAGCAGACCAAAAAGAAAAAAAAAGAGAATGAAAGAGAGAAGGAAGGAAGGAAGGAAGGAAGGAAGGAAGGAAGGAAGGAAGGAAGGAAGGAAGGAAGATAAAATTTTAAAAACATAGAAACCCTATAGTTTTCAAAACACAATTTGAAAACAAGTTTTTGAGTTATGGAAAATCCAGGGGAAAATTCCAGAGGGAAAAAAATGAAAATGATGTAGGAAACATATTTAATAAAACAAGAGCAGAAAACGTCCCATATCATGGGAGATAGATGGTTATTCAGATCCAGGAAACTCAAATATTCCAAACAGACTGAAACTAAACAGATCCTCTCTGAAGAATGCTTTCCTCAAATTATCAAAAGACAAAGATAGAGCATGATAGAGTAGGATAGTATATTCAAAATATTGAAATAAAAAAGTATCCAGCCAATAATATAATACCTAGAAACATTATTATTCACAAACTAACAAATATATAATGTTTATCGGACTAACATGAACAGGAAATCCATCACCTCCAGGCTGGCCTTACAAGAAATGCTCAAGATTCTTACATCTGGAAGAGAAAACATAATAGCCACAATTATGAAAAATTTTTAAAAAACCATAAAACCCACTAGTAAAGCCAATACACAAAAAAGAAAATAAATGAATCAAATCTTATCACTACAAAAATTACAAAACTACAAAAATAACCAATAGGTTAAGAATAAGAAACAAGAGATACACAAAACAATGAGAAAAGAATCAATGAAAGTGAAAGAAGTAAGACCTCTTCTATCTATTATTAGCTTGAAAGTAAGTGGATTAAATTTTACATTTAAAATACATAGACTGAGTTGAAGAGAAAAGAAAAGAAAAAAAGAAACAAACAAACAAAAGTGCCAACTATAGGCTGCTATGTTAAGCCCATTTTGCATTGTTATAAAGAAGTACCTGAGTCTGTACAATTTACTTTAAAAACAAAAACAGTCTACAAATTCAATGCAATTCCCATCAAAATATCACCATCATTCTTCACAGAACTAGAATTCATATGGAACCAAAAAAGACTTGGATAGCCAAAGCAAGACTAAGCAAAAAGAACAAATCCGGAGGCATCACATTACCTGAATTCAAACTATACTATAGGGCCACAGTCACCAAAACAGCATGGTACTGGTATAAAAATAAGCACATAGATCAGTGGAAAAGAATAGAGAACCCAGAAATAATGCCAAATATTATATCAATGAATCTTTAACAATGCAAACAAAAACATAAGGTGGGGTATGGAGACCATATTCAACAAATGGTGCTGGGATAATTGGCAAGCCATATGTAGAAGAACTATATCCTCATCTCTCACCTTATACAAAAATCAACTCGAGATGGATTAAGGACTTAAATCTGAGAGATGAAAACATAAAAATTCTAGAAGATAACATCTGAAAAACTCTTCTCAATATTGGCTTAAGCAAAGTCTTCATAACCAAGAACCAAAAGCAAATGCAACAAAAACAATGATAAATAGGTAGGACTTGATTAAACTAAAAAGTTTCTGCACAGCAAAATAAACAATCAGCAGTGTAAAAAGACAATCTATAGAGTGGGAGAAAATCTTCACAATCTATACATCCAACAAAGGACTAATATCTAGAATCTACGAGGAACTCAAACAAATTAGCCACAACAACAAAAACAACAACAAAAAACAATTCCATAAAACAATAAGCTAACGACATAAACAGACCATCCTCAAAATAAGATATACAAATGGCAAATAAACATGAAAAAAATGCTCAACATCACTAATGATTAGGGAAATGCAAATCAAAACCACAATGCAGATGCAAGTCAATACCACATTACTCCTGCAAGAATAGTCATAATCAAAAAATAAAAAAATAGATGTTGGTGATGATGCAGTGAAAAGGGAACACTGGCGGGAATGTAAACTAGTACAAACACCATGGAAAACAGTGTGGAGATTCCTTAAAGAAAAAAAGGAGAACAAATATTTCATCCAGCAGTCCCATTACTGGGATCTACCCAGAGGAAGTCACCATACAAAAAAGATACTTGCACATGCACATGCATGTTCACAGCAGCACAATTCGCAGTTGCAATAATATGGAACCGGCCCAAATGCCCATCAGTCAATGGGTGGATAAAGAAATTGTGATACACACACACACACACACACACGCACACCATTTTATATATATATATATATATATAATTTTTTTTTTTTTTTTTTTTTTTTTTGAGACGGAGTCTCGCTCTGTCGCCCAGGCCGGACTGCGGACTGCAGTGGCGCAATCTCGGCTCACTGCAAGCTCTGCTTCCCGGGTTCACGCCATTCTCCTGCCTCAGCCTCCCGAGTAGCTGGGACTACAGGCGCCCGCCACCGCGCCCGGCTAATTTTTTGTATTTTTAGTAGAGACGGGGTTTCACCTTGTTAGCCAGGATGGTCTCGATCTCCTGACCTCGTGATCCACCCGCCTCGGCCTCCCAAAGTGCTGGGATTACAGGCGTGAGCCACCGCGCCCGGCCATATATATATAATTTTATATTTTCTATATATACATATTTTTTATATATGTACATATATACGTGTATATGTGTATATATGTATAGATGTATATATATACACGTGTATATATATGTGTGTGTGTGTGTGTGTATATATTTACCATGGAATATTATTAAGCCATAAAAAGGAACAAAATAATGACAGTCACAGCAACCTGGATGGAATTGGAGACCATTATTCTAAGTGAAGTAGCTCAGAAGTGGGAAACTAAACATTATATGTTCTCACTCATACGTGGGAAATAAGCTATGAGGATGCAAAGGCATAAGAATGATACAATAGACTTTGGGGACTTGGAATAGATGAGGGGGGCTGAGGGATAAAAGACTACAAATTGGGTACAGTGTATACTGTTGGGGTGATGGGTGCGCCAAAATCTCATAAATCATCACCAAAGAAATTACTCATGTAACCAAACCCTACCTCTTCCCCCAAAACCTATGGAAATAAAAATAAAATTATGTAAAGTATAATAAAATAAAGGTATATTTGGCTGACAGTTCTGCAGGCTGTACAAGAAGCATAGTACTGGCATCTGCTTCTGTCGATGGCCTCAGGAAGTTTTCAATTGTGGCAGAAGGTGAAAAAGGAGCACGTATGTGAATGGCGATAGAAGAGAAGAAAAGGCAGAAAATTAAGGTTGTTGGGTGGGTGCCATGCTCCTTAAACAGCCAGGTATCATGTGAACGAATAGAATGAGAACACACTCATTACCACGTGAAGGGCATCAAGGCTTTTATGAGAGATCCGTGTTCACGACCCAAAAACCTCCCTCTAGGTCCTACCTCCAACACCGGAGATAACATTGCAACATGAGATCTGAAGTGAACAAGCATCCAAACTATATCAGTTACCTACAAAAAACTCACTCCAATTGTAATGATGCACTTACGTTGAATATGAAGGTATGGAAAAAGTTATGTAATGCAAATAAAAACTAACTTCACCTGGAGTAGCTATACTTGTAGTGGATAAACCAGACTTTAAGTTAAAAGCTGTAAAGACAGACAAAGAAGGACACTATGTATAAATAAAGAGTTCAACCCAGGAAGAAGGCATAAGAATTTTAAAGATATATACCCAACGATACAGTACCCAGGTATGCAGAGCAAATGTTATCAGATCTAAAAGGATAGACACCAATACAATAATTGCTGGCGACTTCAATCCCTCACTGAAAGCATTGCACAGTTTATCCAAAGAGAAAATGAACAGAAAATTTCAGATTAAAATTGCACCAGAGGCCAGGCACAATAACTCACATCTGTAATTCCCGCACTTTGGGAGGCTAAGGCAGGTGGATTGGTAGAGAGCTCAGGAGTTTGAGACTAGCCTGGGTAGCATGGCAAAACCCTGTCTCTACAAAAAAAATAAATAAATAAAAAATAAAAAACAGCCAGTGTGGTAGCATGTGCCTAAAGATCCAGCTACCCAGGAGGCTGAGGTGGGAAAATCACCAGAACCCAGGGAGATAGAGGCTCCATAGAGCCCTGATGGCACCCATGCACGCCCTCCTGGGCAACAGAGCGAGACTGTATCTCAAAAACAATAATTGCACCACAGACTGAACGGACTCAACAGACACTTACAGAACACTTCGCCAAACAGCAGCAGATTGCACATTCTTTTTAACAGCACAATGAACATCCTCCAGAATTTAATATATTTGGACACAAAAAAGTCTCGAAATTATAAAAATATCAAAGCCATATCAAGTATCATTTCCAAACACAATGAAATAAACTAGAAACCCTAGAGGATGGAATATTTGAAACAATGCAAATATATGAAAATTAAACAACATGCTTCTGTGTGACCATTGGATAAAGGAATAACTTAAAATGAAACTTTAAAAATTTATTGAAATAAATAAAAATAGAAATACAATATAGCAAAAGCTACTGGTTACAGCTAAAGCAATATTAAGAGAAAAGTTTCTAGCAATAAACACCTAAATCAAAAAAGTAGAACGATTTCTCAAAAACCACCCACCTATGTGTCTTAAGAACTAGAGAAGCAAGAACAAACAGAATTCATAATTGTAGAAAAAATAGACAGTAAATATCAGAGCAGAATTTTAAAATACAGAAAAAAAAATCTATAAAGGATCAGCAAGGCCGGGCGCGGTGACTCATGACTGTAATCCCAGCTTTTTGGGAGGCCGAGGGGGGCGGATCATGAGGTCAGGTGATTGAGACCATCTTGGCCAACATGGTGAAACCCCGTCTCTACCAAAATACAAAAAATTAGCCAGGCGTGGTGGCACACGCCTATATTCCCAGCTACTTGGGAGGCTGAGGCAGGGGAATCCCTCGAATCTGGGAGGCCGAGGTTGCAGTGAGCCGAGATCGCGCCACTGTACTCCAGCCTGGCAACAGAACAAGACTCCATCTCCAAAAATAAATAAGTAATAACAAAAGGGATCAGCAAAACAGTTGTTTTCTTGAAAATGTAAAAAAGCAAGAAGGCATTATCTAGATTAACTACAAATGAAAAGAGAAAATGCCCATATACATACAATCAGAAATGAAAAAAGAGACATCACAATGATACCACAAAAATACAAAAGATCATTAGAGGGTATTATGAACAACTATATGCTAGAGAAAATTCAAGAACCTAGAGGAAATGGATAAATTCATGAACACATGCAAACTACCAAGACTGAACCAAGAAGAAGTAGAAAGCCTAAACAGAACAATGAATAACAGGAGATAATAATAATGAAAAGTCTCCCATCACAGAAATGTTCAGGACCTGATGGTTTCACAGTTGTGTTCTACTTAACTTAAAAAAAAATCATGAAAACAGATTATTGTTAAACTATTCAAAAAATTGAAGAAAAATTATTTAATTATAATTTTAATATTATTTTTAAAATTTCAACTTTTATTTCAGGTACAGGGGGTACATATGCAAGTTTTTTTACATGGGCATATTGTGTGATGCTGAGGTTTGGGGTATGGATCCCCTCACCCAGGGAGTTAGCATAATACCCAATAGTCAGTCTTTCAACCCATGCACCTCTCTCTCCCTCCCCACTCCAGCAGTTCACAGTGCCTATTGTTTCCATGGTCATGTCCACATGTGCTCAACCTTTAGCACTCACTTTCAAGTGAGAACATGTGATATTTTGTTTCCTTTTTCTGTGTTAACTTGTTTACGACTATGACCTCCAGCTGCATCCATGTTGCTGCAAAGGACATGATTTTGTTTCTTTTGTGACAGAGTCTCACTCTCTCACCAGGCAGGAGTGCAGTGACGCGATCTCAGCTTACTGCAACCTCTAAGTCCCTGGTTCAAGTGATTCTCCTGCCTCAGCCTCCCGGGTAGCTGGGATTACAGGCATGTGCCACTATGCCCAGCTAAATTTTGTATTTTTAGCAGAGAGGGGGTTTCACTATATTGGCCAGGATGATCTTGATCTCCTGACCTCATGATCTGTCTGCCTCAGCCTCCCAAAGTGCTGGGATTATAGGTGTGAGCCACCACACTTTTTTTTATGAATGTGTGGTATTTTATGATTTTATATTGCATACATACCATTTTATTCATCTAATACATCATTGATTGGCACCTAGATTGATTCCATATCTTTGCTGTTGTGAATAGTGTGGCAAGAGGCATGAGTGCATGTGCATTTTTTGGTAGAATGATTTATTTTACTTTGGCTATATACCTAATGATGGGATTGCTGGGTCAAACAGTAGCTCTGTTTCAAGTTCTTTGAGAATTCTCTAAACTGCTTTGCACAGTGCTGAACTAATTTACATTTCCACCACCCATGTATGTGTTCCCTTTTCTTCACTTCCCACCCAGCAGCTGTTTTTTGTTTAACTTTTTTCATATTAGCTATTATGACTGGTCTGAGATGGTATTTCATTGTTGTTTTTATTTGCATTTCTCTGATAATTAATGATGTTGGAAATTTTTTTCATGTCTGTTGGCCACTGAGATTGACAGGCTTACAAGTGTCTTAGTCCAGCAGTTTTCGGTAACAGGCTATCCACTTTCATTTTCTCTTCCTCACATGCCCCATTTCTGGGTTGTCCATCCCAACCAACAGTTACTGCTGGAGCTGAATCCACTAGCCCGCTTCCATGGGCTGTCAGGAACACATTGCAAGGGTGACACACACGATGATCCATCTCTGCAGAGCCAACTCTCCTTCTCCAGAGATTCATCCAAGAAACAATTTTGACTATACCTGAGCTCTGTGACATCTGAGGACATGGTTTGTATTACTGTGCAAGACAAACAGTGAGAGGAAGTCAATGTGAGTCCAGACATAAACCTTCCTGCTGAGAACAATGGAAAGCTTTTCTTCTAAGATAAGGAATAAGAAAAGAATGCCCAGTCTTAATAATTCTAATCAGCATATTGATGATAGTTTTAACCATAGAAATTTGAGAAAGAAAAAAATAGTAAAAGGCATACAAATTGAGGGGAATAAGTTAAATTGTTTCTGTTTACAGACAATATAACTTTATAAATTCCAAAAAAATAAAAAATTCTGAAAAAACAGCCACTGAAAACTAACAAACAAATTTAGTAACATTGCAGTATACAAAATTTATATGGAAAACTCAGTAGTGTTACTAAAAACTAAAAATTAACTATTTAAAAATCATAAGACAATGTCAGTTGCATTTACAATATTAAATAACTTACTTAGTGGCCATGCACAGTAGTTTACACCTGTAATTCTTGTACTTTGGGAGGTAGGGGAGAATCACTTGAGGCTAGGAGTTTGAGACCAGCCTGGGCAACACAGCAAGACCAATATCTATTTCTAAAAATCACTTAGAAAAAATGTTGGTCAAATAAGTGAAAATCTGTGCATTGAAGACTATATGACATTGATGAAATAAATAAATCTATATGCAAATATATGGGAAACTATTCCATATTCACAGATTGAAGATAATAATACTGTTAACATGTCTATACTACCCAAAGCAATCTACAGATCCAAAGCAATTTCTATACAAATGACATTTTCAACAAACTACTTTTTAAATGATAAAATTGAATCACAAAAGACCCCAGATGTCCAAAGTAACCTTGAATACAAACATCAAAGCGGGGGGAGGTTTCCTAGTACCTGAACTGCAAATATGCTATGAAACTACAATAATAAAACTGCATGCTGCTGACTTTCTAAATAAACTTTAATATTCTGAATTGAAGTTATTTGACAATTTCTTCTATCATTTTATCTTTACTAAAGTGTTGCATGAGTGTTTATCTAGACAGATAATGTGCAAAGAGTCTTCCTGGGTGGTAAAATCCCATAAGCGTCTCCAGGAGCTCCGAGCTCTCTCTAGGCTTCTCAGTATGTTCAGGTTCAAGAGACAGAAAGAATTCTCTCAGCCCTTCACTGCTTTTTGCCCTCTTGACGGTCAGAAGTCCAGAACATGCTTTGTGGGGACATAATAGAGGGGACCAAAATAGACACTTTCAGCAAACCCACTATAACAAGTTCTGCTGCCCATGGGCATCTTCTCCAGGTACATGTTGGTCGCCAGACCCTCAGGCTCACCTACACCATGTGGAGGAGGACCTCTACCCACACTCATTTCAGCACAACTACCGTGTAGCTCAGCATCAGTAGGTCACACTACAATACATTAAACATCACTCAGCTAATTACTTATTGAGGTTTTCATTTGTCCATATGCTATCAATATTGGGCAGTTTCAAATGACAACCTAGAGGACTTAATGATAGTTAAATTTATGTCTTCTATTATGGAAAAACATCCCTTACCTAATGACAGGTTCAGCTGTTTTTGCCAAGATGGTGCTCTTCCCTGGCCTGCTAGTCTCCTACATGAGAAGCATCAATGAACTGGGCAGCACCACACACTTGTCAAGTGATCACTGGGAATGATGTCAGCTACAGAGGATGGGGTAGGGTTGCTCATACCTATGCTCCTTACTTCTAGGACACATCAGGTGTCTATGGATTTAGAGCATGTCTGCACCCTGGTGGACTGCACACTTTACCCAGGGAGAAAGGTCTCTGAGTGTGGGTGGCAAGCCACCTAGGTGCCAAGGTAAGAGACCGAGGGCACAAGCTGTTCCAGTATAATAAAATATATAAAATAAGAATAGTTATACTAGATATAGATCATAGATATGATTATATATGAATATCATTAATCATTAGTTTATAGCAATTACTCTTTATCCCAATGTTATTAATAATCCTCGCTCTATAATCATAACCTAGGAAAAACCAAGCCATACAGAGATAGGAGTGGAAGGGACATGGTGAGAAGTGACCAGAAGACAAGACTGCGAGCCTTCTGTTATGCCCGGACATGGCCACCAGAGGGCTCCTTGGTCTAGCGGTAACACCAGCTTCTGGGAAGATGCCCGTTGCCAAGCAGACCGTGGTCTAGCGGTAGCGTCAGTGTCAAGGAAAAACACCCGCTACTTAGCAGACCAGGACAGGGAGTCTCCCTTTCCCCAGGGGAGTTTAGAGAAGACTCTCCTCCTCCACCTCTTGTGTAGGGCATCAGTCAGGCCCACCTGAGTTATCTGGAGGCCTAATCATCTCCCTCTGATGCTGTGCTTCAGTGGTCACTCTCCTAGTCTGCTATCATGTTCCATCCTGTATACCTGGCTCTGCCTTTTAGATAACAGTAGCAAAATTAGTGACAGTACTAAAAGTCTCTGATATGCAGAAATAATGGCGTAAGCTGTCTGTCTCTCTCCCTCTCTCTCTCTCTCTGCCTCAGCTGTCAGGCAGGAAAGGACCCCTGTCCAGTGGACACGTGACCCACTTGACCTTACCTATCTCATTGGAGATGACTCACACTCTTTACCCTGCCCCTTTTGCTTTGTGTCCAATAAATATCAGTGCAGCCAGACATTCGGGGCCACTACCGGTCTCCATGTCTTGGTGGTAGTGGTCCCCTGGGCCCAGCTGTCTTTTATCTCTTTGTCTTGTGTCTTTATTTCTACAATCTCTCATCTCCACACACAGGGAGAAAAACCCACCGACCCTGTGGGGCTCGTCCCTACATCTGAGCTTCTCAATGGAGGTCTACTTCTCTATGAGACTAGCACCTTCTGTGGAGTCTCATGCTGAATGTCTCCTTCTTGATTATGGTCATTGGTTATGCAGTGCTGTAATTAGAAACCCTTACAGAATAAACTACAAAACAAGAATGATACTACCTTCTTCAGACATGACAATTCTACCTAATGTGCACAACTGGACCTATTGAAATCTTAGCCAGGAGAGGATGCAGGCATAAAGCAGATGATTTTCCGATTGTTCCACCCTACCGGGTTATATTGAACAGTGGACACAGGATTCAACAGGTACCGATTATTAATCCAGTGAGGAAATTATAGAATAGTCCCAAGTCTAGGCAGAGAAGAGTAGCTGAAGACAGTACTTTCCCTGCAGCTCTGAGATTCACTAAAATGTCCAGCTCTGTCCCTCACTCGTGAATATCACAGACTAAAGGACACCCTTCCCACAGCATTGGCTCTCCATGAAGATTTGAAATTGATGCCCAGGCCTCAGGGTCTGCTGACAGAGCTGTGACAGTGGGAGTGGAACTCACACAGAGCAAAACAGAGTGTGTTGCATAATAAGGCTGTACAACATTTTCATAATGGAGGGAATCTCTTGGTCCCAGGAAGATGACAATTTAATATGTCTCAGGCCTGTGGAGCTCTCTTTAGGAGCTTTGTGTGTGGCTTCTTTGTATACTCTGGCTCCAGGAACTCCAGTGAGGGAAGAGATTCGTCACCTCCTGTGCGAAGGGGGCTGAAGCGAGGAAGACAAGTGGCCTGGCTTCCACAGAACCCATAAGCTAAAACACTCCGAGTTCCCTTGACTGCAAGAAATGCAGCTGTCATCACGGTTTCAAGTGCCAGAGTCTTTAATGATTATGTTTCAACTCATGAGAGTGCCAGGAAAATTCCACCAGTATGAACTACTCAAATATGTCATTTTGTAACATTACTTCATTGCTTGCTCTCATATCCTCCATGTTTCTGAAAAAGCAAAGTTTCCATGCTTTATCATCTGCACCAATGAGGCCATATTTAAGCTATATTTTCATATGAACGTCTCTTGAAGATTTTAAAATAGAACAAATGTTGAACAATATGCTTAAAAGAAAAAAAATAAAGAAAGCAGTCTATGTTGACTCATGTGACATTGATAATGTATATTAGATTATATTGGTTGCTTATTTAGTTGGTCATGGGAGAAGAGCCTTCTTTCCAGCCAAAGAATACTAAGAACTCCCTCTTCTAATGACGAATTTCAGCTGATCTTGCTGAGAATATTTAGCAAGAAGACAGAAACAGAGACTCCTAAAGGGAGCTCCAGAGTCCTGAGATACATTTAAGTTTTCATTTTCCTGGAACCCAGAGATTCCCCACTGTTCTACAAGACAAGACCCCATTCTATGACCCTGTCTGAGGAGAGCTCAGGGGCAGTGAGCTCCCCCTCACATTACCCCTTCACCCTATGCCCTTGGGGCTCTGTCCATGCAAATAAGTCCCGGGTTCAAGAACGAATAGAGGCAGGGCTGTGAGTGTTATGCTGTGTGCTGGCTCTGAGCTGGGGTCTCTAGTAGCACTCTCCACATCCATAGATACATGGCCCCTCCGCTACTCCTTCTCTGCCTGCTGGCTGCCCTCTGTGGTGAGTTACTCATGATTTCATACGTGGGGAGACACGGGATGAGGCAAATGTGTCTGTGACTCACAGATGTTCTCTATTCTCAGGGGTTCACAGTGAGGACCACCTTGTGCAATGGGAGGAAGAAGTAGTGGTCCCCTTGGTCATGCTCAGCCTCACCTATGCCGCCTATGCACATTCAATTTCTGAACATTCTGTTTCCTGGATCCACCATCTCCCATCAAAAGGTCTTCAGTGTGTTGGTGTGATATGGGTTAAGGGAAACACTAAGCCCCAACCTTCAGGGCAGAGCTAGCATCTCCAGAAACACATAGTAAAAAACAAGAAAACTTACAGCTGAGAAGTGTGATGGCTGGGGAGGCAGGCGTGTATTACTGTGCTCAAGGCACTGTGACTCGAATCCAGAGTGAACTCAGACACAAACCTGCCCTGCAGGGGTTCTTGGGACCACAAGGGGAAGGATCAGGTCACCAGGGTGTACTTAGGAACCACTGAACTGGGTCAGGCACAGGAGGTGGGGGTCAGGGCTCCTCCCCAGGGAAGGGCTTTTAATCTCCATGCCTTGTAAACCTCTGACAAGCCAGGCAGACACAGACATATTTTTAAACTATGGAAACAGATGTACCTTTCATTTTGGAGGAAAAAGATCATAAGTGTGAAAGCAAAACTTACCAAGGGCCAGGTACTGGAATAACTGTAATCTACATAATCACTCTAAGAATTCTAAGAATTTACAAGTGCAATCATCCTCATTTCATAAACTCACCTTAAATAAGAGCTTTCTAACTGATCCCATATATTCTGATTTTGTTTATTTCTTCAACACTTTATTATCTTCAAGGCATTTCACTGATGTCAATTTTAGAAGAATCATATGCAAACAGCCTCTCGTGGTGGTTGAAAGCCCACAGCCTCGCCAGTCCTGTGGATATTTCTGGATGTTCTCAGAGTCTCCATTGTCTGTAGAGAAGAATTGTCCCAATAGTTATTTCACTTTTGTCTTCCACAAAGTTGGAAAGATGGGGATCACTCAGGGGAATCGAGATCAACAAACAGAAAGCCTGAACCCACCATATACAAGATAGGATGTATTTTTTTAGGAATATATTAATTCCCAGACCCTCAGGCTCACATACCCCATGTGGAGGGGAACACACATCCACTCCTTCACTCAAGCCAAGCTGGCCATGCAGCTCAGCTTCTGCAGGCTCAGGACTGCAAGCTCTCCAGTGTGGGAGTGGAGCTAATGGGAGGTGAGGCCAAGTCTCTGCCCTCACAGAGTCTCATGATGAAGATCTGATGAAATATTTCCACAGTAACATTTCTTTGGATATATAAATGTAGAATATATTTTGAAATAATGAATGATGTATCTTCTGATGGATTCATGTTGGGGAGGCAATAGAGGAAAAATAAAGGTAATTTTAAATTTCTGCTCCCAGCTACAGCACTTGATTTTGATTTAGTGCATGACTGTTTGAAATTTTTTGATGCAGTCAACTTCAGCAGCCCAGACCTGGAAGCCCAGCCAATAAATGCTCCAGATTGGGAAATTTAAACTGATGGGAGCTGTTTCATGGAGGAGGAAAAATGCTGAGCCAGTTGTGCGATCATAACTATTGACTGGATAATAGAAGCCTGTGCCCTTTCTGCCAGTACCTCTGGTCCGAAACCTGAGCTAATCACCCTCACCAAGTTGAGTAAACATTGACACCTATACTAAGTACACCTTCATGGTGGTGCATGCTCATGGGGCCATCTGGAAAGAAAGAGGCCTTGTCTCATCAGGAAATAAGGACATTAAACACCCAATAGAAATGGTGTTAAACTACTAGAGGTGTGTTCTCATCCTTCTCATCCTCCATTATGCATTGCCCTGAGCACCCAAAAGATGACTCATTGGCACCTAAAGGAAATCAGACTGCAGAAAAGGCTGAGAAGTGAGCAGTGCAGGATGCACACCTGCTATGAGCTTTGATTCCACATCTGGAGTTTCCATAGTTCAAACTCCATTATACTAAATAGACAAGAAGCATGCCTGCGACTGGGGATTTGGTAAAACAGATCCAGATTTATTCTGAAAAACTAATGCTTATGGATTATTCTTACTCTCCGAGGCCCTGGTCTACAATTTTAAAACATTTACATGAGGGCACACACTCCAAATGAGATTCCCTTGCAGACTTTGTATGACCATGTGTCAGAATGGTCAGAAAACTGTTCAGAAAGTCACATACGAGTGTGTTTTGTGTGCCAAAAATATCTTTGAGACTGAACAAAATCTTTGCAACGAAGAGGTACAACACAGAGAACTGTGACTCTTGGAAGATTGGCAAGTGGATTCACTCACATGCCTGTGGCCAGTGGCAACTATAAATTCCTCCTGATTGTTCTAGATATTGTTTCAAGATGGGTAGAAGCATATCTCACCAAGTCCCAAAGAGCCACATGACTGGCTAAGGCATAATTCAAGGAAATCGTTGCCAGGTTTGGACTCCCATGCACTATACACAGTGACAACGATCTTTCTTTTATTTCAGAGTTTACTCAAAAGGTAAGTCAAGCACTGCAAATCGAATGGAAACCACAGTCATCATGGAGACCACAGTCAGCAGTAAAGAAATAAAAGATAACACCTTGAAGAAGACAATAGCCAAACTCAGGCAGGAAATTGACCTGCGTTGGGATAGATTTTTTCTTATTGCCTTGTTCTGGGGCAGAACGGTGCCCTGAAGTGGGCTTGGGAAAAGTCTCTTTGAAATTATATATAGGAGGCCCTTCCAGACCTCTTGCCAGTAACAGCACCTTTAGAGCTGGTAAAAGAGCCCAGAGTTAAACCATATGTGCAGATTGGTGCAGACCTTGCTAACTGCACATCAGCTTGCTATTTCCAGGCCTGTTTATTCCACAGTGAGCCTCTTCACCCCTTCCATCCAAGAGACAAGATGCCACTACAGTCTTGTAAAAGTCAAAAACAAGATCAGCAGCTGACTGAAAGGTGGAACAGACCCCATGATGTGCTACTGATTAACCTTTGTTCAGTTAAGTTATCCAATGTAAAGCCATGGGTGCATCGCTGTTGGAAAAAACCTGTCCCACCTCAATTTGACCCCAGATAACAGACTACCTGGTCACATAAGCCTAAGGAAAACCTGAAGTTGCTGATAAAGAGGAGACAAGAAGACAGATAGGTAATACCCTTCTGTTAATATAAAATTCTTAATGAGTTCTATAGTTATAAGTACATTATTTCTCCTTATTAAAACTAATCTTTTTTGCTGAATGGGTGGAAGATGGTGGCTTCCCTGCAAAAGAAAACATAGTTGGTTCTGTAAAGAGTTTGCCCATTTCTTCCACTATAGGCCTGCCCTGGCATAATACAAGCTCCCAACGTAAGAATTTATGATTTTCCATCCATTGGAGAAGCCATCTTTTCCATCTATTATAAAAACAGAAGACACTTCATTAATATCACTCCCACTATAGGCTATGCCATATCCAGTGAGGTAGGATGGCTGACAGTGGTGCGAATCCAAGTAATTGGTCAAGCACTGCTATGTGTGAAGAAACACCACAGCATACTCTACACTGTCACTCATGATATGGAATTGTTGCCTCCTTAGCAATGTAACTGAGCCCTTAATATGTGGCTGGGATGACAAGGCAATGCCAGCCTGCAGAGTGGAATCTGTTCTTCCCTCTGGGGTTAGCTACAGCCTGTGGCACTCATGGCTGGCCCTACTTTCCTTACAACTGGACTAAAAGAAGCAACTGGATATGACCTTATATCCCAGGATGTAACTGTCCAAAGTGCATTCTCTTTATGTCAACTGGAAAAGTGTGAAAGACAGACACTACTGACATAAACAGACATCCTAGTTGTTCTGCCCACTAGCCAGCTCTTCCCCCCAGGTGGCAGTCATAGATTTAGAATTGCAAGTAGAGGCCCTGGCTAAGCAAACCACCAGTCCCTTTAACAACACCTACCATGCCATCATCATTCTTACTGAAGAAACCTCACAGATTTGACAAGTGACACTATGAAGCTATATGACCCTAGGTATTGCAACTACAGCCAAAGGTAACACTTGTGTATTAATGAACACTGAATGTTGCATATATATACAAGATTAGTCCCACAATATAACTCAAGCTATGCAAGCATTAGATACCCATATTTCTGCTAGAGATGGATGCCCTCTCTCAGAACCCCATGACAGCATGGTTTAGTTGACTTCCTAACACATGGAAGAGTTTCATATATAGTAGAGCTGGTATTCTGTTCATTGCTATCTTCAATTGCTATGGATTTTATTGCTATCTTGCACTTTAAGTGAGAATGTAATACTGACCTTCTCAAAAACTCCTAGGTCCTTGCACCATAATGCTCCAACAAACACCTACTGTAATTCCGGAGACTCCAGAATATTTCCAACTCCAGTTTAATGGATTCCCTTCCAATACATACAACCTATGCCCTTTCTAAAGAAGTAGCCAGAATGACTATGACACATGTTTTCCATAGAAACGAAATGGAATTTGACAGTGGGGAATGATATACAGGCAGCTTAATTTCAAAATGCATTTTAAACTTAGTATTTGAGGTTTTAATATTATTTTTTATACTCCCTGAAACCTGAAATTTCACACTTACATTTTAATTCAGACTTAATAGCAACAAATAACCAGAACACATGAATTGCCTGTAATCTCTATACCTTGCATTGTAAGCCACATTTCAAGTGTAACCTTACTTGTCAGCACAGTATGTTTACCACAGGCATAATTGCTTGTCCTGACTGTCCAGAAGGCAGGGTGGTATTAAGTATGCGGCCTCTGGAGCTGGGAAGTCTGGCTTTGTATACCGTCTCTGCCACTGCTAACTGGAGGACAATGGGCCAGTTACTTCCTGTACCCCAGTTTTCTCATATGTAAAGTAGGGTTGTTGTAAGAATGAAATTAGTTAATATTTAGTACCTAACAACTAATAGGCATTACATGGTAGCTATTGGTATTGCTATCGTCAGAGAACACACAGGAGTCCATTGTTATTTTTACCCTCCCCCTCCAAACAAAATGTGTAAGACACTAGACATGGTAGCTCTGTAACGGGGTTCGTCATGTATTAAACTGTGTACCCAAATGATATGTCAAAGTCCTGACAACCAGCACTTCAGAACACGTCCTTATTTGGAAATATGGTAGCTGGAGATGTTATTAGTGAAGATGAGGTCTTACTTGAGCAGGGCAGGCCCTCAATGTGGGAAGATGGGTGTCTTTCTAAGTACAAGGAAATTTGGACACAGAGACAGAGACATACAGTGTGCCATATGACAGCAGAGGCAAAGATCAGAGTGGTGCAGCAGTAAACCAATGCATGTCCGGGATTACCAGTCACCTCCACAAGTGAGGAAAGGGCAAGGAAGAATTCTCCTGAGTCTCAGAGGGAGTGCAGCCCAGCTCACACTTGATTTTGGACTTCTAGTCTCTAGAACTGTGAGAGAATACAGTCCTGTCATTTTTAAGCCACCCAGTTTGTAGTATTTCATTTTGGCAGCCCTAGGATATTCATACAGAATTCTTCACCCAAAAGGAAGCACTCTTTCACACAAACAGTCAAAGTCCTGGATGACAGACAACCTGGAGACTGCAAACCTCCAAGGAATCAAAGGAAGTTCTATAAATTCTAGGGGCCCCATCTTTCAAAGGCTGCTCCTCAAGTCCACACCCACACTTTGGAAGGAGAATCCTGCTCTTGGACATGGGATCCTTAGTGAGCCAACTGCCAATAATCCAACATCGTCATGAATTAAAGATCTCTGACATTTCCTCTTCACCAAGGGGAATTCTGTCAAGTAGTAAGTAAAACCCTTCTTCAGTAATCTCCACACCAAACAGTTCTGCATGGCTTGGGACGCCTCAGGAAACTTATAATCATGGCAGAAGAAAAAGGGGAAGCAAGGCAGTCATACATGGTGGCAGAAGAGAGGTTAAACTTTTCTGTCTCTCTTGGGTGTAAAGATATAATCTTGAGGCAAACAGCAGAATCAATTTTCTTACGCCTTGAAATAGACTCCACCTTTCTCCCTTTCACCATAAATATTCCCTTCACATTAATCTAACTTTATGTTTGCATCGAACTATGTGCCTTTTTGGAAGTTCCGGAAGCTAATTTGAGACAGATAGACAAAGTCGGGAGACCCTGATGCAGAATTCCAGAGGTGACTTCAATGTTGCTAGTTAACAACCCAGGCATTGCCCAGATGATGCCAGCCCAAGATCTAGGTGGACTGGGATGCCAGAGAGCCGCCAGAACAAGACGCACAGACCTGGTTCTCAGCCCAAATCTTGCATGCCTTTCTTACCAACTTTTCCTTTTTTAAACCCCTGCCTTTCCTTCAAAATTCAAGTGGTTGCTTGGGATGGGAATGCGGTCACTTCCCCTTTACCATTATGGTTAATACAATAATCTTTGTACCAGATCTCTCTCTTGTTAATTGGATCCTGCAGGTGGCAGATTCCGGACCAGAGTGAGGTTAGAAACTGAATGCACATACTGGGTGGTTCACAGACACGGTGTTCTGTGAAGTTTATGGGTGGATTCCTGGGGAAGCCTGCAAGCCTGTTAGTGATTAGCAGAACCGCATCCAGCTACTGGGATCTGCACGCCAGGTGCCGTGAGCCCCTCACCATGTTCCCTGGTCCCAGCTGCCCGCGGATGGTTCAGCCTTGACAACGGGCTCGGTGTTCTGGGTGGTGGGAGAGCAAGGGGGCCCCTTGGGCAGCGTGCTACAGGGCTGTGAATCCAGGGGCCCACCCGGTGTTCCCTGTGGAGTCACTGAGGGAATGAGGGGCTTCTCAGGGCACAGAGCTGTGCCGCCTTTGTGCAGTGGTGGCTGAATACAGTGACACTGGGCGCGTGGTGAGAAGCGGGGCAAGGTCAGTTCACTGGACCCTCCGCCCTGAGCCTCAGATGAGTCGGGGGTCCCCAGACAGGCCCGGCCTCTGCCCTGCGGCGGACACTGGAGCCTTTGCTGTGGCTGCCACCGAGGAGCCTTGACCTCAAAGCAGCGGGAACCTCTCTACCCACCTCGGAAACCTGAAGGCAGCGGCGGCCTCTCCCAGCCAGGACCTCGCCGGCATCCGGGTCTCCAGGCCCAACCCTGTACCACATAAAGGAAGTCCCCGCTGAGCTACCGGCGGGACACAGCGCCGTTGGGTGGGCGGGCGCGGCGGGGCGGGAAGCACGGAGCAGCTGCCACAGAGATGCGCGGGGGCTGTCGGGAAGTGGGCGGTCCGGGAGGCGCGGGGCTGATGGGACGTGGGCGGTCCGGGGACGCGCGGGGGATGGCGGGACGTCGGCGATCGGAGATGCCAGGGGGCAGCTGGGACGTGGGCGGTCTGGAGAGGCGCGGGGGCAGCTGAGATGCAGGTGGTCCGGGACGCGCGGGGGCTGGCGGGTTGTGGGCGGTCCAGGGATGCGAGGGGGCAGCTGGGACGTGGGAGTTCCGGGGACGCGTGGGGTCGCCAGGAAGCGGGGTCTAGGACTTAGATCCGCTTTCTCTTCAGGCCATGCAGCCCCGAAGCTCCGAATCCTGGGATGACTCCTGTCCATGTTGGAAGGGACCCTGCCAGTCCTGGCAAGGTTCAAAGGCCTTAGGGCAAGAAATGTTAGTAGAGTCCTGGAAGACGATGTGGGGAACGGGTAGCGGCCACCGGATGGTGATCGTTCTTCTACAAGACCTTGACATGGATGGGGAGAAACAGAGAAGAACCTTCCAAGTTTGTCCCACTGGACATGCCCACCACACTTTACCAGCCCTTTCTAGAAGGCCTGTGCGTAACACATGAAAAAGCTCCGCTCGACCTTTCCCTGACCTTTTAAAAGAAAACATTTGCTGCATCTAATCCGCCTAGATATAAGGAGGTTCCCAAATGTATGACAGAGTCAGAAAATTACATGTCTTGTAAGTTACCATGTGCTTGTCTTTTGTTTTCCGTTTTTTTTCGTTTTTTTGTTTTTTGTTTTTGAGACGGAGTCTCACTCTGTCGCCCAGGCTGGAGTGCAGTGGCAGGATCTTGGCTCACTGCAACCTCTGCTTCCTGAGTTTCAACAATTGTGCTGCCTCAGCCTCCCGAGTAGCTTGGATTACAAGTGTGCACCACCACGCCTGGCTAATTTTTGTAGTTTTTAGTAGAGATGGGGTTTTGCCACGTTGGCCAGGCTGGTCTTGAACTCCTGACCTCAGGTGAGCCACCCACCTTGGCCTCTCAAAGTGCTGGGATTACAGGTGTGAGCCACCGTGCCTGGCCGTAAGTTACCATGTGCTTTTTAAAAAAATCATAGCAAAGGGGTGTCTTCTGGAAATGACATTTTGAAATGGTGTTATTAGACCACCCCTGGAAGGGACACAGTAACCACACGTCCACGTTCGTTCAGTGGGTGAGAGGACATGGAGGGGAGACCTGGGCAGGAAGGGAAGAGGGTTCCATGCCAGGCTGCTCATATTTAGAAGACATTTTCATATCATTGTCATTGTTTTCTTGTGTGCGTTTTATTCCTCGCTATTGTATACATCATTGGAAATTCTAAGTATTCTTTTGAAATATCTAGTCTTTCTAGATGTTCTGAAGTGCCTGATGTATGTTAAAATTACAGGTGGTAAAATAATAAATTTTGTAAATATCTTTTTGTTAAAATTCATATGCAGTGTTTTATTTTATTTTGATGTTGGTGGGGGGTGGGGAGGATGGCCAAATCCCTGCTTGATCAACACACATTGCGTTTGTGCTCTGGTTCAGGGGAGGAGAGAGGAGGAGAAAGTGCAGACTTCCAGGCCTCTGTGCGCACCGGGAGGAGAGATTAATGATCATCTCTTCTGTCTGTGTGTTTGTTTTATTTATCTATGGATATCCTGTGTATAAAGGATGAACAAGTCCTATTTATAACATCTAATCTTTTCAGGTGTTAAGTTGCCAGTGTATGACGGAAGCAGCGTTATTAAACGAACGCAGCTTGTACATATTGTGTTAAAATTCATAAAAAGCCAGTCTTCTGAAAAGAACCCTTGGGCCCTCCCTCCGCAGCCTCCGGCGCCAGCTGCAGGAAGACCTGGCCAGGGGAAGGCGGGCGGCACAAGCTGCTGCTGGCTGTGGGGAAGGCGGTGGAGCCCAGGCCTCCACAGGCTCCCCACAGGCTCCCCACAGGCTCGCGCGGCTCTGGTCGCTGGGCTCCGCACGGGCCGCGTGGGGGCGCCTGCTGGGAGCGAGGAGGCGCCATCCTGGCTCGCCTGCTCCAGGAGGACGCTCTGGGCCTGCGCAGATGCAGTTCTCCAGGATGGGCGCGGGCGCTGGGGGCCGCGCTCCTTGGGCTGCTGCGCCTCCACTGAGCCGCCTGGGTGTGAGGACCTCGCGCCGGCGCCTCCGGGAAGGACGCGGAGCCGCCGCGGCCGAGCCCAGGGCTGCAGCTGCTGCCCGACGCCCGCGAGAAGGCCCTTCCGCCACCGCCCGCGGGTTCGAACTTGGAGCAGCTGCTGCCAGCTGAGGCGCCAGCGGCGTCGGGAGCTCCTCAGAGTCAGTGTTTTGTGCTGGATTCGGCATGTCCTCTGAAAACTCGGGAATTTGTCACTGAAATGGTGACAGGAGGTGAGAAGTTTTTTTAGACGTTGCCTTCGCTGACCGGGCGCCGGGCTCAGGCCTGGAATCCCAGCACTTTGGGAGGCCGAGGCGGGCGGATCGCTTGAGCTCCGGAGGTGGAGAAGCTGCCTTCGTGGTAACTGTGGTCTTAAGTTCAGCTGAGAACGATAAATGGCTTTTCCTTGAATTGGCTGCTTTTGTGATTTCTCTCAGGCTCATCTTTCCTCAGTTAAAAATCCAGTGGTAGGTGTAGCTTAGAGACGGGAAATTTTTGGTTTTGTTTTGGCTACACGTAAGTCTTGGAAATTATTTTCTTTTACGTTCCAATGTGAGCAAATCCAGAAGGATGTCAGATTAAACACCGAATTTAACAAATTCAGCCGGGCACGGTGGCTCACGCCTGTAATCCCAGCACTTTGAGAGGCCGAGGCGGGTGGATGATGAGGTCAGGAGTTTGAGAACAGCCTGACCAACATAGTGAAACTCCGTCTCTACTAAAAATACAAAAATTAGCCGGGCGTGGTTGTGCGCGCCTGTAATCCCAGCTACTCAGGAGGCTGAGGCAGGAGAATCGCCGAGATTGCGCCACTGCACTCAGCCTGGGCGACAGAGCGAGACTTCGTCTCAAAAAAACAAAAAAAAAAATCAATCATTGGAATACTGTTGTTCATTACAATTAATGAACGTTTGATACACGCATAAACGCACTAAATTCACGAGTACATATAAGTAAAATAAGCCAAAAAAAAAAAACTACATCCTGTATGATGACACTTTTATACATTCTACAGAATAGAAACTGAAGTGACATGAAGGTCGGGAGTTGAATGGAGAAAAGGTGAGAGAAAAGAGGGAGGAAGGCGTTGCAAGAGAATAAGAGAAAATGTTGAGGGTAATTGATTTGTTTTCTATCTTAATAATGGTGATGGTTACATCAATAATTTCCAAATTGTACATTTTGTGTGTTAATTAGAATTTTATATTATTCAAGCTATTACAAATAAATACCTGTATAAATTTCTTAGGGACGGTGTAAGGGAGATGGATAAATCACATAAAAAGTCAGATATTTCTGAATGTACAATGAATAACCCTTAGCTCTATCTCTATTTTTTGGTAATTCTAAAATGCAGCAGTTTTTTTTAATGTTTTTATTACAAGAAGGGTTTCTTCAAACCACACCAGGTATGCGTAACTCTGGGATAAAGTTGGCTAAGGGAGCTGTGGGATCCGGTGGAGAGGAGCACAGGTCCCGATCCTGGAGCCCATTCTTGTCACATGTGAGCTCCAGGACACATCTCATAGCTCCCTCATGCTTCTGGGTTTACATTCACATCTGTAAATGGAGGACCAATGGGCATCTGCCTCTAACAATGTATTTTCGTGTGTTAAGATAATGTATGCTAAATGTTTACCACAGCACAATCTTTTACTAAGAAATTACATTTTTTCCAAATATTATCATTGTCTTCAAGCCCCACCACCCACTAGAAAACTTCATCTGCTCTGTGCCTTGCCCTGTCCTCAGACATCCTGCCCAAGAGACTTCTATATAGTAGGAGACATGCAAATAGTTCCCTCCCTCTGCTGATGAAAACCAGCCCAGCCTTGACCCTGCAGCTCTGGGAGAGGAGCTCAAGTGCCAGGATTCCCAGGTGTTTTCACTTGGTGATCAGAACTTAACACAGAGGACTCACCATGTTGTTTGGGCTGAGCTGGGCTTTCCTTGTTACTATTTTAAGAGGTGATTCATGAAGAACTACAGATATTGTTTGTGAGTGGATATTAGAGAAACAGTGGATATGTGTGGCAGTTGCTGACCAGGATTTCTCTGTGTTTGCAGGTGTGCAGTATGAGGTGCAGCTGGTAGAGTCTTTTTTTTTTTTTTTTTTCACTTTTTAGCGAACATCCATGGGTTACAAAATAATGGGTTGGCTTTTCTTCCAACACTTTACAGACACCATCAATTTTCCTCTTGCTTATAAGGTTTTAACCAGAAGAATGCTGTCATCATCTTTCCTGTTCTTTTAGAAGGAATGCCCCCTCAACTCATCTCCACTTGTCTGCATGTATTTCTATTTGTCTTTGGTTTTCAGCAGTTTTAATAAGATTCACCTAAATGTGTGTGTGTGTGTCGAGGGGTGTTATGCTATTGTTCTGTGTTCTCTGAGATGCATGGATTCACCGTTTACTCTGTCTCCATTTTTGTGAAAACAATTAGAAAAAAAGTCAGTGTGAGCCTAGAAACAAGCCTCCCTGAAGTGGGCACTGGACCACCTGGGGGCGCTCAGGACCCACTGAGCACAAGAGCCAGCCCCAGGGCAGGTGCAGAGGGGTGTTAAGGTCTGGTTTCCTGTCAGCCCTGTGGCTTCCTCTCCATAAAACAGTTTCCTTTGTGGCACATCTCTGGATTCCTTATCCTTTTTTTCCTGTGAAGTCTGAAGAAGAAACATTTGTCGTAACAAGAGAAAAACTTTCTCATATGCACCAAAGGCAGAGTCACCTACAGTCATTTACTCCTGTTTCTGAATGTCAATAAGGTGTCAATGCTTCTGAAGTTAATCAGCTAAATCTATAAAAGGTGCGGTGTTTAACTCAGCATGGCAGCCCAGCTCAACAGAACTCCAAGGGCCAGTGAGCAAGCAGGCAGGATAAAGTGCATGCTGGGCATTGGGGCAGAGGGAGTTAGCATCCAGTGCAAGAGAAGAAAGCCCCCGTGGTGGTCATTGTCAGGACTCCAAGCCCACAGTTCCAATTGTAGGTGATACTGGGCAAAGGAAGAGAGACCCCACCAATGGTTAGTGTGGATTTCGAGTCTGATGGTTCCACACTCACACTCCAGGTGAATATGAAAACATTTATTAACTCTATTTTTGAGGTGTCTGCTGAGAGCAGCACAGGCCTCTCAAGAAATTTCAAACTGGAATTTCCTCAGTAGACAGGAAAGGAGGCTGGCTCAGGGCTTTATAATGATTTGGTGGTGGGGTTGGGGGTGCGTTTCTACTCAGGAGAAGGAGATTGTGTGATTTAAACCTCACAGGGGCATCAGATAAGGGAGCTTCTGTGATTTCTTACTAGATTTACCACATGCAGGGGATAAGGAGGAGGAAGAATAAACCTTAATTCGTCAGCAACGAGGCACCAAAAATAGGACCTGACGCTTTATTCTCCCTAGCAGCTTAAGAAAATGAGTGAAAAAGAGAGAGAAGAGTCCACTATGTGTGAAAAGCAAACAGGTCTAAAGAAAATAAAAATTTTATTACTGTAAGCACATAATAAAAAGAAAGAGAAGAATGAATGAGACAGGCAGGGGTGCTGAATCAATGTCCTGAGTGGGGCCTTTTCATTATCCACAGTTATCAGTTAATTCTGAAGGTCTCAGGTCAGCTTCCTGCTTCAAAATATCACAGGCCCTTACAGTATATGTGAAAATCCTCGGTTTGTCGTTCTTCACTAAAGTAGCCTTATAATTAGATGTACTTCTGAATTTAATCTTCAGTTGTGTTAAATAAAAAAAAACACAATCTACAATTTAGGAAAGTGAGAGTTTATTTTTATCAAGGTTTACAGCCATCCCATATGCTGGAAAGCATAGCTTTTGGTAAAGACGAGAGAAAGGCACTCCCAGGAAGAAGGGGTTGGGCAGAAGCTTTATGCTGAAGGGTTTGGCTAAACAGACATAATCAACAGGTTACAGGAGGGGCTACTGATGTTCATGGAGGTGGTCCTCACACATGCATACTGAACAAACATGTCTGTAACGTATGACCCCTGTTCACTTACCAGTGGAGACTTAGCATTTAAATTCATTACAGTCAGGCCCTATGTGCCAATAGCAGAAGCAGAAACACAAAGGCACTCAGGGTGCAGCCTCTGTAAACGGCCAGAGCCAGGCCATGGTGAGTGGTCTCTGATCAGGAGAAAGGTCCTGATATCACTCTAGTGTTCAATCAAAGCTGGGGTTATGGCTTGTGGAACAGGGGTCAGTTCATCAGGGGATGGGCTGCAATTGTCTTCATAGTGCTTGTCTCAGTGCCGGTGCTTACTGAGCCGCTAGAGAAAACGAATAACCTATTGGCAGTTAGAAGACAGTTTACCTTTTAAGTGTGGGAGTGAGTGGCAGAACCCTTGCCTGACATGGCTTTAGGTCTTGTTTATAATTTGACATCTTATTGCCACAGAGATTCTGTTCTGTCATTCTTTTGATCTCTATTTTAACATTAGTGTTGGTCATTGTTGTGTCTAAACCGCAAAGGGGAGTGAGTGTAAGAGGCGCGTCTGATCTTGTCATGGCTGGGATCTCAGTTTTTAGGCTTTTCTGGAGTCCCTTAGATGAACAGATGGACTATTTAGTCAGTTGGGGCACTTAGGATTTTATTTTTGTTTTACAGTTCATAAATATGAACCCTAGTATTGACATTGTGCATATTCACTGCTGTGTTGTGGTTAAAATTACCTGGTAAGATTCCCTTCAAAGCCGTTCAAGAGCAATATCCTACCCTGATGTTTCTTCCAGTAAATACCATTCCCTGTTTTAATGTCATTAGAGGCTATTGAAAAGATGTAGGAAAATGATAGCTTAATCTGTCGATGACTGGAGTGGGTAAGATACAGTCATCACTTTCAATGCTTTGTCATGCGTGCATGTAATAGGAAGAGGTGAGCTCTGGGGGAAAATCTCTAAATGTATGGGCCTTCCAGCCACCAAATCATAAGGTGATGACTGATGTCTCACTGAGGGACTTGACTATAATGCTCTAGTGCTAGGGAGAGAAACTTTGGCCAAGGAAGTTCAAGATTTTCTTAAGGTTTTGACAAGTTTAGTTCAAGTATGACAATTTTCTTCAACATTTTCAGAAGATTGTGGATGGGAATGATGCTGAGTTATATAAGTAATTCTAATGCCTTCTGTGTTTAGATAATATTATAAAGAAGACTGTTTGGTATAATGACCCACTACAATATATATACTTTTAGTTGTTACACCATTTCATTTTCCTTTAGGATTTTACTTTCTAAGTTACATGAATCAGTTCCCTAAAATATAGGCGTGCATCTAAAATTTATTCTTTTGTTGAGAATTTTTACGTGTTCCAGAAGATATGAGAAACTTCTTTGCGTGAAGAGCATCCCAAAGTCAGGCACTCCTGTAAAACATGTACTTAATCCTTGTCTTTGGCTTATTGATGAGCTCTGTTGACCACAATAAAACTTCTGTCATGCGGGCTGACTTGACATCAGGTAGAGGAACAGATTCTGAATGTACTACTGAATTGAGTGCATAACCTCCAGTTTCGTTACTGATGTATGATTCATCAGAGATGATACTAGATCAAGGATTTCAATCGGAATCTAATCTAAAAGATGTGAATAAACTTTCCTAATTTAGATAGTATTACTGTGAGCACACTGCTAGTATTCAGCCATGTCTCCTGTCTGTCACACTGAATTCACGCTAACTTTGATCTAAAAGTTAACACTTGTTCTAATGTTCAAATATGTTATTTTTATTCTAATGTCTCTAGATTATTATCTGTGGCTATTTTAGGCAAGAGTGAAGGAAAGCAAGGTTAACTGACTAAAAATGAGAAAAAGCACAACCTAATGTAATGGAAGTCAGGACATCAGCATCTCCAGGCTTGTCTATTTCTAGAGTTCATGCAACCAGGGGATTTCTTTTCTCATTTTTACACAAAGAAACACCCAAATTGTCCATTTCATCTCCCATTGACTCTTATCATCTGTCTCTGTCAGTTTGCTTAGAATTTTGGCCTCCAGCTTAATCCAAGTTGCTGCAAAAACATGATTTCATTCATTTTTACAGCTGCATGGTATTCCACTGTGTATAAGTACCACGTTTTCTTTTTTCAGTCTGTAACTGATCGGCATTTAGTTTTATTGTATGTCTTTGGTACTGTGAATAGCACAGTGATACACACGTGAGTTGATGTGTCTTTTTGTTCCAATGATTGGTTTTCTCTTGGACATATACCCAGTAATGAGATTGCTGAGGGGAATGGTAGCTCTGTTTTAAATTCTTTGAGAAATCTCCAGATTGATTTCATCAGTTCTTGGGCCAAATTATATTTTCACCAAAAGTGTGTAAGTGGTCCGTTATCTCTATAGCCTTGCCTGCATCTGTTAATTTCTGATCTTTCAGTGATAGCAATTCTGACATATGTGAGAAAGTATATCATTTGGTTTTGATTCGCACTTATCTGATGACTGAATATGCTGAGCATTTTTATAGGTTAGTTGGCCACTTCTATGTTTGTATTTGAGAAGTTTCTGTGCATGTCCTTTCTCCATTTTTAATGGGGTTATTTGGTTTATGCTGGTGATTAAGTTCCCTATGAATTACCACCTTACACACACTAAGATAATCAGCATTCAAAAAAGAAAAATGAATAGAAAAACATAACCACTTGTAGGTATAGACATACTGAATTTGGAATGGTCATGGCTTGCATGTTGGTATTGAAATGGGACAGCAACTTTGGAAAATGGTCTTCACAGAAAACCTCATAAATGTAGCTAGTGTCACCACTCACAGAAGTAGATGGAGAATACAACTCAAGTGTCCATCGACTGCCAGAGGGATGAAGACGCCGCGGTGCGTCTGTAACCCACAGGGATGAAGACGCCGCGGTGCGTCTGTAACCCACAGGGATGAAGACGCTGTGGTGCTTTAAAAAGGAGTGAAGCACTGACATAGGCTGCAACTCGGATGGGCCTTGTAAACATTGGGTGAGTGAACTGAGGGAGACACGGAAGTCTACATCCTGAATTGTCCTATTGACATGAAGTATGCAGAGGAGGAAAATCCCTAGAGACAGATCACAGGGGGTGAGTGGAGGGGAAATGGAGAGTGACGCTTAATGGAGCTGAGGTTTTCTTTTCTGTGATGAAAATGTTCCCAAACCAAATACTGGTGATATTTGCACAACATTGCAAATGTGTAAAGTATCACTGACCCGTACACTTAATCGTGGCTAAAATTGTAAATTTTATGTCATGTGTATCTCAACACAATAGAAATGAGCACCACATTTTGTTTAGTGACTCAACAACAATAACATTTAGGTTTAAATTCTGGATTCCCCAACAGAACCAGTGCTTCCTGCTGGAGCTGGATCCATCAGCCCCCAGGGAAGGGACTGGAGTGGGTCAGGTGCACAGGTCATGAAGGGAGCACAAATTCTAACCCACTCCTCAAGAGTCCAGTCACCACCTCCAGATCTATGTCCAAAAACAGCTCTTCGTATGGCTGAGTGACATTAGCAACAAGCACACAGCCATGTTTGTTTTTTTGTTTTGTTTTGGTGTGTGTGTGTGTGTTTTTGATAGAGTCTTGTGTCACCCAGGCTGGAGTGCAGTGGGGCAATCAATCTTGGCTCACTACGAGCTCCACCTCCTGGGTTCAAGTGATTCTCCAGCCTCAGCCTCCAAGTAGCTTGGACTGCAGGCACTCACCACCACACCTGGCTAATTTTTGTATTTTTAGTAGAGACAGGGTTTCACTATGTTGGCCAGGCTGGTCTTGAACTCCTGACCTTCTGATCCACCCGACTCGGCCTCCAAAAGTGCTGGGATTACAGGTATAAGCCACTGTGCCCAGCCACAAACAAGTATTTTTAAGCAAAAGACACAGTGAAGAGACTTCAGTATGAGCCCACACACAAACCTTCCTGTGGGAGTTTACAGAACAGCAGTGGGTGCTGAGGACAGAAGCCAGCACCCAGGAACCAGCAGGGAAACCCAGGGGGCATTTGGCACCGCCTGAAGGCTCAGGACCATTGTGGGGCTCAGTGGTCAGGCAGGCTCAAGGTTCAGCCTCAGAGCAGGTGTAGCAGGCGGGGAAAGGCTCTGAAGACGGAGTTTAGTGTCACCTTCTCATTTCCACTACTAAACACCCTCCAGCACATCTATTCTAATGTGTATGGGTGTTCATGTGTTTAGAGAATATTATTTATGTTATGAATCTATAGCCATCTTGTGGGTGCATCAAGTTAACCACTTCAACCTATGTGGACCCTGTTCATTAGGAATAAGTCCCTGTATTTGAGGACCTCACAAATTAATAATTATGTAGAATCACTTTCTTTTTCAGTCTCCTTTCCTTCCTCTTTCTTTCTTTCTCACTCACACACTGACAAACACACGGGGTGCCATAACATTAATTACCTGATGTATTAAAGAATATTGATTCATTTGCAACTTGACCAGTTTAGCTGTTGTTCATGTTGTTGTAAGATCAGGAACATGTTTCTCAGCTGTGTACTCCTCTAAGCTGAGCAGCAGCTTTATTTGAAATACACAGAAACTGAAAACAATCCAAATATTAATCAGCACCTTCATAAGTAAACAAATTGTGGAAAAGTCGTTTATTGGGATAGTACCCACTACTACAATCAGTAAATGTTGGATACGATCAACAGCATGGTTCAATTCACAAGTACATATGATGAGTATAGTGAGCCAAAGCACATACATATGATTCCGTTTTATAAACTGTACAAAGTGAATACTCATTGGAAATTACATAACAAAGATCACTAACTGACTTCTCCATAGTAAGAGAAGCGAAGGTATAGGAGGGAGAAATTGTGAGAGACAAAGAGAAAATTGAGAGGCGAATTGATTTGTTTTCTCTGTGAATGGTCATTAGGTCAATGTTTGTCAAATGGTGAACATATTGTGTGAAGATTATATGTCTGTATTACTTCATTAAAGCTATTATAAATAAAAGTCTAATGTGGTAGAAAAAGATGAAGAGAGAAATAAAAATAATACAAGAAAAGTCATGAACTCCTGAATGAATTAACCCTTAGTTTTTCTCTATTACTTATAAAAACACCAAGATACAGCCAAATAATATCACGATATCATTATAAGAAGAGTGTTTTGTAAACCTCACTGGGAATTTATAGCTCTTTCCTAGAGTTAATTTTGGGAACAGTTGGATCCAATTGTGAGAAATGCAGGCTGGACACTGAGACTGGCTCTTATGAGATGTGAGCTCTTGTCTATGTCACATGGTCCTTCCATACTTGGGGGTTTACATTCACATCTGTAAATGAAGGAAACATTGACTCTCAAAGAACATATTTCATGTGCATGTAAAAGTATGAATGCTAGTGAGAATTAATTACTTATGAAGTATAATCACCCACATCCACTCTTGGACACAGCCCACTCTGAGGCATCTGTTACAGAACTCATTATATAGTAGGAGACATGCAAATAGGGTCCTCCCTCTGCTGATGAAAACCAGCCCAGCCCTGACCCTGCAGCTCTGGGAGAGGAGCCCCAGCCCTGAGATTCCCAGGTGTTTCCATTCGGTGATCAGCACTGAACACAGAGAACGCACCATGGAGTTTGGACTGAGCTGGGTTTTCCTTGTTGCTATTTTAAAAGGTGATTCATGGATAAATAGAGATGTTGAGTGTGAGTGAACATGAGTGAGAGAAACAGTGGATATGTGTGGCAGTGTCTGACCAGGGTGTCTCTGTGTTTGCAGGTGTCCAGTGTGAAGTGCAGCTGGTGGAGTCTGGGGGAGTCGTGGTACAGCCTGGGGGGTCCCTGAGACTCTCCTGTGCAGCCTCTGGATTCACCTTTGATGATTATACCATGCACTGGGTCCGTCAAGCTCCGGGGAAGGGTCTGGAGTGGGTCTCTCTTATTAGTTGGGATGGTGGTAGCACATACTATGCAGACTCTGTGAAGGGCCGATTCACCATCTCCAGAGACAACAGCAAAAACTCCCTGTATCTGCAAATGAACAGTCTGAGAACTGAGGACACCGCCTTGTATTACTGTGCAAAAGATACACAGTGAGGGGAAGTCAGCGAGAGCCCAGACAAAAACCTTGCTGCAGGAAGACAGGAGGGGCCTGGGCTGCAGAGGCCACTCAAGACACACTGAGCATAGGGTTAACTCTGGGACAAGTTGCTCAGGAAGGTTAAGAGCTGGTTTCCTTTCAGAGTCTTCACAATTTCTCCATCTAACAGTTTCCCCAGGAACCCTGTCTAGATCTGTGATCTGGATCTGCTGAAACTGCCTGTGTCACCTTCCTCACCTGTGACTTTGGGGGAGCTGATTGTGGACACTCCAGTGTGTGGGATTTCTTGGTGACAGCAATTGTGTCTTCTGTCTAGGCATGTCTAGGGCTGGCCATCAGGAAGGGCAGGCTGGAATTTTTGGAAAGAGGCGCACCTGCCATCCACCAGGAAATTTTGTTGTCTTTTGTTCTGCTAGAATTAAATCAGACACACCAAGGTTAACTAGCACTATCTTCCTAGCTTGAGAAACTTGATGGCAGGCTTGAATAACACCTGTATGAAGCCATCAGAGCAACAACTAGATTAATGTCTGCTAGAATTAAATCAGGCACACCAAGGTTAACTAGCACTATCTTCCTAGCTCGAGAAACTTGATAGCAGGCTTGAATAACACTTGTATGAAACCATCAGAGCAACACCTAGAATAGTGTCTGATTTAATAATTGAGACTATGGTCTAGCCAAGGAGACACATAAAACATGATTTCCATGGTTGGTTCATATTTTATATTTATTAATAGAATCTGGCTGGTATTATAAACAGCTTTGCCAAAATATATGTGTTAGTGTTGGTCTTCGGAGAAGCAAACTCTGTGACTGGATTAGCTTCGTGTACAGTTTCCTTCGTGTACAGTTTCCCTGTCCACTCTTCTGAGAGGAAATGCAGAGGTGGTGGAAGGGGTCTGGGGTAGCTGAATGCATGTGAGGGAAGTCGGTCCCTGAGTGAAGGAGAAAGGGAGGAGGACTGGGTGGAACTTTCCTAAACTTCTGTGTTGTTCTATGAAGGTCCAGCAAGGTCACTGAATCAGAGTCGTGTCACAGGTTCCCATCAGGGACCCAGTGACTCCCAGCAGTGGCTCTGCTCAGATCAGCGCAGAGCTTGTTCGTCTCCTGAGAGTGGAGCACAGGACGTGGCTCCAACACCAGCCATGGCATGGAAGACAGAGAGCAGCCCTGGGTGCCTGGGTCAGGTGCATTGTGCTCCCTGCAGGTGGAGGGAGGGAAGTGCTGACTCAGGGCCCAGAGACTGTGGGTTCTATACAGAACATACACTTTTACTTCATTTCTGTGGATGACATAGAAACAAACATGCAGTCTGTAAACAATGGTGATTCCTACATTTGCCCCAATTGCTTTATTCCTTAATTCTGCAGAATGTCCTGGCACAGAATTGCCTTTCTCATGTGGAATTGTGACGTGTGTTGAGGATGTGTGATCCCTACTTTCATTGTTTTCCTCCATGTACAGAGCTCCTAAATAGAGTACAGCTGACCCTCCTTCTACACTGTTGCTCTCCTCCCCACAGAAAGAGCAAATAATTACCTGAGGCTGAATCTGAGGTGGGATCTGTCCTCTGAACCTCAGAGCCTGCAGAGACCCCCAGCTGCAGATTCATGGAGTCAGGTGTTTGTACATGTGGGAACCTTGAGCTGTTCTTTTGTCAGTGAACACTCCTTAAAACTAATTGTGGGTTCAGAATTAGGACACCCATTGATCTATCACACCTCAGCTCATTCTGCCACTCAGAATCTCCAGAAATTCAGGAAATGGTTGAATGTACATTTTTGTGACAAATTTTTCTCATTTCACTTAGTTGTGAGTTTGGTTAGCAGAAAGTGCTACCATTTATGGGTCCCAAACTGATGAAGCTCATTTGCTTCAACAGAAGTTAGGAGGCTCCTAAAACTTCTCATCAGCCCTTCTCTCTGCACTTCATGTGAAATTCAGTTTTACCTGGAATTCTGGTGTGTTGGTTTAGCCAGAGTTCCCCATCCTCCATGTCTGATTTTCCTGGGTATCTGATCAGTTTCCTTGCCCTTCACCATACCTCGGTGACGTCTAATCACCCTGGCCCAACATCAAGAATTCTGGCAGGTTGGTTTAAGCAAGATTTGCTGTGCCCCTGATGTTTCCTCTCAGTAATTTTCCATCTTCCGGACCCCACCCTGCTGCTTGGCTTTAAATCCCCATGTTTCCATTCTGCATTTGGAGTTCAGCTGAATCTCTCTCCTCACTGCAAAACACCATTGCCCTGATCCCGACACCTACCATGAGGACCCTGGATAAAGTCTTCCTTACTGTGCTGGAACAAGTGTCTTTACTTGATATTTTTTCTTTAATAAATCTACCTTTAGTGCTTCCTAAATTGCTCAAGGAACCTCGAAAAATAAGATAAGTGCGATTATCCATTTTACTGTGTGTGTATGTGTGAATTTCAATTTCCATGTGTGGTGTCCAGAAGTCCTGAGCACAAACAGTTTTGCTTCTCTGTCCAATTCTTTGCTTCTGAAAGCCAGGAGTCATCCCAACATTGGTAAATTGGCGATTTGTTTTTACTATTTAGTGACTGACATATTTCACTTAACCTGAAGCTTCATGAACACATTGATGAAAAGTAGATAGAAGACTTGTTTGGAAATGCCAGATTTAGGGTAGACTTTACCACCCACGTGTGTCTGGAGATCTCCTTAGGATTCCAAGAACAGGGTGGTTTTTTTCCACCACAGGACAAGGATGAGAACCTCCAAGCTGTGATGATAAAGGACAGGCAGGGCCATGTGTGGACAAGGATGGGCTGCTGCCACGTCCAGAGTGTTCTCTCCTAGCAACGCCGCCATCTCCTTCCTCACACTGTGGTATTTGTCAGATGGGAAACATGCCTAGAATTTATCTTTGACATATGGATGGAAGCCCAGGCTAGAGGCATTTGACAGCTTATTTCTGAACCTACTTCTTTAAGGAATGCCCAGATCCCTTGCTCTGCTTCCTGGTTCTTAACCCCTTTAGCTCCCTTCCGCTCCTGCACCCATGCACTGCCTCTTTACGGCCACTTCCCCACACCCTTCACTGTAGCACCATTTTCTTGGGCTCCTTGGAAATATCACAGCTTTGGTTTAACTCACAGATCAGGCACACTCATGGGCCCCTCCAGAGGTTCTCGATTTCCCTCCCTCAGGCTCCTCCCTGGGGTCCTAACTTGGCCATCTCTATCCTCTCTTCTCAGCCTGGCCATCCACAATCCATCCCATCTGGACTTGTGTATAGCACTGGGTTAACTCAGCAGGTATGAATTGTTCAAACCCTGCACATTCCTAAAAAATAACTAAAAAAAAAAAAAAACTTTTGTTCATTTATTGCTGTTACCTACTGTGATGAGATCTCCGAGTCCATAAAATATTGCACCTGATAACAGTGTCTGTGGATGTCTGTAGCCTTGGGACATGCGGTACAAGTTTAATCAGTGATTTATAGTGAATGTCTACTTTTGTTTTGCTGGAGAGGGCTGTCGTCTGAGTATTGTGGTCAGTTCCCCAGGTGTTCCATAGTCTATGATTCATTCCCCAAACACAGCCCTGGACAAGAGAGCTCAGCGGCACTCCCCTTGTTGTCAACACTTCACACAAGCCATCTTACCTCACAGCTGAACAATTACACATGTGTAGAAGGCTCCACTGTGAGAGGACACCTGAGAGCTTGTGCCTGGATTCTCCAGGGCTTCACTCCTTGTGCCTTTTGTCTTTACTTATTTTAAATTGTATCATTTTTCTGTAATAAACTGTTCCTGTGAATAGAACAGTTATGAGTCCTATGTTTTTACTGATTTTTCAGCCTACAGGTGGCAGATGAGAACTCTCAACACAGTTGTGTTAGAAGAAGGATTTCCTAGAGAGACCCTGACTCAATGATGATACATGGCTGAAGCATTGCATGGAAAACGTAAGTGTTCAGGTATGGAATGGCAAAATTTGATACCTGGGGAGTGACAGAATACTACAGTCTATTACAGCAGCTGAGCTGAAATCGGTTTCTGGAGGTAAATGGGATTTAGAAATTATAAATCCAACTCCCAAGGAGCTGGCTCAATCAATACATAATGAAATGTGAAATGATTAGAAATAGCCTACATATGCAATTTCCATCTGTGAGAACTAAGTGAAAATCCAGGAGAGAGTTGGCAGGGAGAGGGATACTGCACCAACCTCAGATTTTGACCATTTTCATTTAGGGCTGATGGGCTCATGACCACTAGAGTTAGCAATTACACTGTGATAAAAGATAAAAGCTTCACAAACTCTACCCACCCAGAAGGGGGCTCAGGTGGTGAAATAGGGAGGGTAAGGCATGAAACGACTGAAATATGGGAGGATAGTGAGATGGGTTCTCTCTTTTTGAGTTTTATCTTTTGCTTCTTTACTAATTTTTGTTAATCTGGATTTGGAGAATGACTAGTGTAAAAGTGGATTCTGTTTTGAGTCCCTTAGAATGGAGGAGAATGTGTGGGCCAATGTTGTGCCCAGAGACTACTACAGAACAATAGTAGATGAATGTACATGACCCAAACACAAAGCTTTGTGGTTGCTGATGGGAGAGCTGCACTGCCCTGGCCTACTGGATAACAGCTTCTCCAAAGTGTATTTACCCTGACAATGGAGATTGCCTTTCTCTTTTAAGTGAAAAAAATGGAACACTACAATAAAGTAGTGGTAATGCTGTGTGTGTATGTATAAGACATTCTGGAGTGGGTTTGTGATAATTGGGATATGTATCACTTATCCTTTTATTTGTATAAATTTATGGGGTGAAAGTGCCGTTTTGTTACATGGATATATTGTTGAGGGATAAAATCTGGGCTTTGAGTATAGCCATCATCTGGATGGTGTATATTGTACCCATTAAGTAACTTCTCATCCCACATGCCACTCCCACCCTCCCAACCTTCCAAGTCTCCAATATTTCTTATTCCACACTCTGTATCCATGTGTACATATTATTTAGCTCTCACTTATATATGACATGTGGTATTCAACTTTATTCTTCTGAGTTCTTTAACTTAAGATAGTGGCCTACAGTTTCATCCATGCTACTGGAAAATACATAATTTCATTCCTTGTCTATTATTGAGTAGTAATTAAATGTGTATATGTACATACACATGTATAGTGTGTGTATGTGTGGGGATGTGTGTGTACATATATGTATATGTATGAACATATACGACTGTTTCCTTTATCTAATCATTTACTAATAGAAACTTAGTTTGGTACCATGTATTTGCTATTGTGAATAGAGCAGCAATAAACATATAAATGCAGGCATCTATCTGATATAATAATTTATCTTCCCTTGGGTAGATACCCAGTAGTGGGACTGCTGAATGAAATATTAGTTCCAATATTAATTATTTGCAAAATCTCCATACTGTTTTCCATAGAGCTTATAGTAATTTACATTTCCACTAGCAGTGTATAAGCACTCCTGCTTCTCTGCATCCTTACTAGCATCTGTTTTTTGTTTTGTTCCATTTTTCTTTTTGACTGTTTTAATAGTAGCTTTTCTGACTGGTATAAGATGGTATCTCACTGTGTCTTTAAATTGCATTTTTCTGATGATTAATGTCATTGATTATTTTTTCATATGCTGGTTGATGATTTTTTTGTCTTTTGAAAAATAAACATTGTAGTAATTTGCTCATTTTTAATGTGGTTATTTGTGGGTTTTTGTGTTGCTTTTGTTTCTTGTAGTTTGTAAATATTAGCTCTTTGTCAGATACAGAGTTTAAAAATAGTTTATCCCATTCTGTACGCTTTCGGTTAAGTTTTTTGATTATTTGTTTTGCTGTTCAGATGCTTTGCTTCTTATTTGTATTAAGTCCAAATGGTCTATTTCGGTTTTTATTGTTTACTTTTAAGGTTGTAGTCATGAATTCTTTGCCTAGGACAATCTCCAGAACAATATTTCCTAGAATAGCATCTGCAACTTTCAGACTCTCAGGTCTCCCAGTTAAGTCTTTTATCCATATTGGCTTAATTTTGGATATAGTGAGAGATACGGGTCCAGTTTTATTCTGCTGCAAATGGCTGTTCAGTTTTTCCTGCACAATTTATATAACAAGGTGACCTGTTCCCAGTGTATGCTTCTTGTCTAGTTTTTCACAGTCAGTTTGGCTGCAGGCATTTGACTTTATTTATGAAATGTCTATTCTGTTCCACTCATCTATGGCTTTCTGCTAGATTGTTACTTGATTGTTACTTGTGTATAATAATGCTACTGGTTTTTGTATGCTTTTTTCATTTATTCTAAAACTTTACTGAATTAACTCATCAATTCTAGGAGTATTTTGAAAGAATATTAGTTTTTTTAAGTACAAAATCATATTATCAGCAAACACAAAGAGTTTGACTTCCTCTTTTCCAATTTGAGTGCCTTTATTTCTTTCTCTTGCCTAATTTCTCTGGCTAGGATTTCAAGTTCCATATTGATTAAGAGTGGTGAAAGTGGGCATCCTTGACGTGTTCTGAGTCTTAGGAGGAATACTTTCAACATATTCCTATTCAGTATAATGTTGTTTCGGAGTTTGAAGGTGATTTATGGAGAATGAGAGATGTTGAGTGCGAGTGGACATGAGTGAGAGAAACAGTAGATATGTGTGGCCGTTTCTGACCAGGGTGTCTCTGTGTTTGCAGGCGTCCAGCGTGAGGCGCAGCTGGTGGAGTCTGGGGGAGGCTTGGTACAGCCTGGGTGGGTCCCCGAGACTCTCATTTGCAGCTTCTAGATTCACCTTCAGTGACTTCTGAATGCACTGGATCCGCCAGGCTTCTGGGAAAGGGCTGGAGTGGGTTGGCCGTATTAGAACCAAACGTAACAGTTACACGACAGAATGCGCTGCATCTGTGAAAGGCAGGTTCACCATCTCAAGAGATGATTCAAAGAACACACTGTATCTGCAAGTGAATACCCTGAAAACCGAGTACACGGCCATCTATTACTGTACTAGAGACAGTGAGGGGGAGGTTAACGTAGGCCCATACACAAATCTCCCTGCAGGGGCGCGCAGGGCCAACTGGGGGCGCTCGGGACCCACTGAGGATGGGACAGGTCCCAGGGGCGGGTGCAGGGGGAGGTTTCCTTTCTCAGCTGCAGGAGGCGGGTTTGTTTTTGCAGGAATATGGAGTCTTATGAGGTTTTGATATTTTACTATGGTTATTTATCATGATTTTTTAAAATTGGGATTTGTGTTTTAGTAATTTTTAAATTTATATGTAGGGGTATTTTTAAAAATTAAGTTTTAGGGTACATGTGCACAACGTGCAGGTTTGTTACATATGTATACATGTGCCATGTTGGTGTGCTGCACCCATTAACTCGTCACTTAACATTAGGTATATCTCCTAATGCTATCCCTCCCCCCTCCCCCCACCTCACAACAGGCCCCGGTGTGTGTTCCCCTTCCTGTGTCCATGTGTTCTCATTGTTCAATTCCCACCTATGAGTGAGAGCATGCGGTGTTTAGTTTTTTGTGATTGCAATAGTTTGCTGAGAATGATGGTTTCCAGCTTCATCCATGTCCCTACAAAGGACATGAACTTATCATTTTTTATGGCTGCATAGTATTCCATGGTGTATATGTGCCACATTTTCTTAGTCCAGTCTATCATTGTTGGACATTTGGGTTGGTTCCAAGTTTTTGCTATTGTGAATAGTGCCACAATAAACATATGTGTGCATGTGTCTTTATAGCAGCATGATTTATAATCCTTTGGGTATATACCCAGTAATGGGATTGCTGGGTCAAATGGTTATTTCTAGTTCAAGATCCCTGTGGAATCGCCACACTGACTTCCACAATGGTTGAACTAGTTTATAGTCCCACCAACAGTGTAAAAGTGTTCCCTATTTCTCCACATCCTCTCCAGCACCTGTTGTTTCCTGACCTTTTAATGATTGCCATTCTAACTGGTGTGAGATGGTATCTCATTGTGGTTTTGATTTGCATTTCTCTGTACCCTAAAACTTAAAGAATAAAAAAAATCCTTCAAAAATAATTCTTCCTAATAATATGCACTTATTCTCCTAGGTTGTATTAACATCTGTTGATATCTTCAACTACATAGCTATGGCGACATTAATTTACATCTGTAGACATATGTGTAAATACACAAACTTATGCATACATGTCTAGTCTTTTATATTTAATATAATAAAATCATTATAAAATATGTCCTAATGAATGAAACTTAATGATTAACTAAATATAAATTATAGTAATCCATTATTCATTGCAATGATTCTCTATAGTTTACATAAATTGGTATCTATTTGTAAGCTTAAATATAGTGTATTGGTCATTTTAAAATGGCCAAGAACAAATTTCAAATGTCCCTGTCACACAAACACACACAATAAGGATTTGAGGATTTGAGTTGATATATATGTCAATTAGCTAGATTCAGTTATTCCATATTGCATTCATAAATCATAACATAGCTTTGCACTCTATAAATACATAGTCAAAATTTCTCAATTTTCAATGAAATTTTAATTATACATTTTTTAATCCGTCCTAGGTCATGATTTTTTTCTCCCTGTCAGGATATGATTAGATTGTCCTGAGAAACTCATTCAGCCTCCTGCCTCCTGAAGGCTTCAAAGGCTTCAGGAAGTAAGCTCCTGGATGGGCAGAAGCAGGCAAATCTTTCATGTGCACAGGACCTGGAGCATCTCTCTTTGGATTAAGCCCCCTCCTCAGGATTACAGGGCTCTTCATTTTTCTCAACAGGCTGTTGTACCAGATAAGCACAAAAACTTAATTTCATTATGCTTTGCTTTTTTTAAAAAAAAAAAATGAAGGTAATAATTTTAACAATAAACATATTACAACCTGCTACACATGAGACCCTTCTTGTGCTTCGACCTTTCTTCTCAGGAGTTTATATGTATTACATATATTCAGTTTTTTTCTGAGTTGGAATGCTTATTACAGATTATTCCCCTTATTACAGATTACTCTTTTAATTTATCTCTTAGAATGATTTTTCGAGAGCCCCTGCCTGCCCGCGCCTGGTGGAATGGAGCGGCGCCTGGGCTGAGCCAGGCGCGCAGGGGCCTCCGCACGTGCCGCGCCGGTAGCAGACGCCAAGCGGGCGGACAGTGAGCGTGAGAGGCCGGGTCGGAGTGGCCGCCGGAGCAGTGCCGGGGATGGAAGAACAGCCCATCTTCACCACCGGAGCACAGGTCTTCCAGATTGACCCCAACACCAAAAAGCACTGGATGCCTGCGAGCAACAGGCGGTCACCGTTTCTTACTTCTATGATGTCACAAGGAACATCTATGGGATCGTCAGTGTGGACGGAGCCAAGGTGACCATAAACAGCACAATCACACCGAATATGACCTTCACCAATGTGTCACAGACGTCTGGGCAGTGGGCCGACAGCAGAGCCAACACGGTGTTTGGTTTGGGGTTTTCCTCTGAGCAGCAGCTGACAAAGTTTGCAGAGAAATTCCAGGAGGTGGAGGAAGCGGCCAAGACAGCCAAAGACAAGACCCAGGAGAACATGGAGCCCTCGAGTAATAATCCCGAGAATCCGGGCATGGAGCCCCATCTTCTACTCCGGCATCCAGTGTCAACGGGACGGACGATGAAAGGCCTCTCAGGCCGCTGCAGCTGACACGCACCTGCAGTCTGGGAACCACAAGCTGAAGGCGGCCTCGACGCAGAGAGCTGCCCACGGGAAGAGGTGGGAGATGGAGCTGCAGATCCGGCGGGAGAGCGACGCCCGGCTGCCCACGGCGCTGCAGGAGTCGGTGGCCAGCGTGGAGCAGAGGAAGAGGCCGTGAGATCCACAGAGAGGAGAAGAACACGCAGCTGAAGAGGAAGATCGAGGAGCTGGAGGCGGAGCTCCGAGAAAACGAGAAAGAGTGGAAGTCCCCAAAAGCAAAGTAAAACTACTCCTCAGCTCAGGTGAGTGCAACTGTGTCTCTGAGAAGATGGAGGCGGCAGAGAGAGGATCAAAACCTGGAAGACAAAGTGCGTTCCCTGAAGAGAGACACTGAGGAGAGCAAATCCAGACAGCGCCACCTGGGGGTGGAGGTGAAGAGTTTCCCGGAGGTGCTGGACCGGAAGATCCACAACCTGCCTGACTTCCGCCCAGGCCTTGCATACTGTGCACCAATAACTAGGGCTGGCCGAGGCCCAGGCCCCTCCTGTGAGTCCCAAGCGTGTGTGCGAGACCAGATGGCGCTAGGACGTTCCCTGTGTGCGTTGCTTCTGTAAATGCAGGCGCAGTTTCTTGTATTTCCAAACCAACTGTGCCGTCCACTCACCCCTTCCCAGAATAGAAATCTCTTGTCCAGGCACAGTGTCTCACGCCTGTAATCCCAGCACTTTGGGAGGTCGAAGCGCGGGAGGATCACGAGGTCAGGAGACCGAGAGCATCTTGGCCAACATGGTGAAACCCTCCCTGTCTGTACTAAAATACAAAAAATTAGCCAGGCTTGGTGGCAAGCACCTGTAGTCCCACCTACTTGGGAGGCTGGTGCAGGGGAATCGCTTGAACCAGGAGAGAGAGTTTGCTGTGAGCCGAGATCGCACCACTGTCCTCCAGCCTGGGCAACAGAGCGAGACTCCATCTCAAAAAAAAAAAAAAAAGAAAAAGAAAAATTTCCTCTCGCTTCTCTGGCCTTGTGAGGTTGTGGACAACTGGAAGATTTTGACTCAGGAATCCAGAACTAGGTCTACCTTCAACATTTACACAGTCAGGCCAGGGATGTTTATATTTTTCATAAGGGCTGTTGAAACCATATGAACTGAAAAAAAGCACTTTCTAATCCAAATATTGATATTCTTTACACCAGGTCATCGGGCTCCTTTTATCGAATAGCATTCAGGGTATTTGAATGTCCATCAGGCGCCAGGCCCAGGGGGCACAGGGAGAACAACATTCCTCTCCGTCAATAACGAGAGGCTTTAAAACAACTGTTTAGTGGAGACTTATCGAGATGGCAAACAGGTTTCTGGTGGGTACATTTTCTGGCCTGGGGATCACCTGCATCCACGATATTGCCCTCTGCCCCCCAGTTTGTATGGTTGCGACAATGTTCCTTTTCTTGGTTTTAATTTCTGAGCGGATGATTGTGGTGCGGGAACAGCACACAGTGAGGGTGCCTAGCACAATGCCTGGTGCAAAGTAGGTTTTTTATAAACGTTTGTGCGGCTCACACCTGTAATCCCAGCAATTTGGGAGGCTGAAGCAGGCGGATCACCTGGGGTCGGGAGTTCGAGACCAGCCTGACCAACATGGAGAAACCTCTTCTTTACTAAAAATATGAAAAAAAAAATAGCCGGGAGTGGTGCATGCCTTTAATCTCAGCTACTCGGGAGGCTGAGGCAGGAGAATCACTTGATACCGGGAGGCAGAGGTTGCAGTGAGTGGAGATCGTGCCATTGCACTCCAGCCTGGGCAACAAAAGTGAAATTCCGTCTCAAAAAAATTTTTTTCTAAAGCCCCACTCAAAACCAGGGTATTATTAGCAGTGTAATAGTTGGACCACAGTTGAAAATACATTCAATTCAGTTCATGTGCTCTCAAATATCCTTTTTCGTTTTAAAGTTGTTCTCAGTTGTAATATTACTCAAAATATTAGTAATTTATACTAATGACACAGGTTACAATATTGTATACATAATTTAGTGACATTTGATTGGAAAAAATACATGTTCCCCATGTCTTGAGTATTTTTTCCTTCTCTATAAAATGTATGCTTATAATTATTTAAGTTTCAGATGCTAGCATTATCTTTTTGATATCTGGGATTTAATTTTAGTAGGTATACTGGAATGCCTTTTATTAATTCATATAATAATGTTCATATTTTAGATAGGATTTTAATATTAATTTTACTATTTACTGAATTTCAAACTTTTCTACTTTTTTTGTTTTTATGAGATAAAATTCACACATAAGAAAAAATGCATAGATCTGAAATGTGTCACTAGAGAGTTTCTGGCAAATGTGAATACCTTTGTCCCCAGCACCTAAGGTAGCCTGAAGAGCAAGTCTCTCCCCAAAACATGCGTCTTTTTCTATGCCTGTGGTCAAATCCTGCATGGGGAAAGGTTTCGATTTCTGACACTATAGATGTATTTTATTCTGCTTTGAACTTTATATAAATGGAATCAAACATTATAGACTTTTTTTGGTAAGGGGCTACTTTTCTATTTTTGAGGTTAATTCATGCTAGCTAATGTATAAAATTAGATCAACATATTGTCGTTTATTCAATTCATAGACAGACTGTGATATGAACCACCAAAATTTTCATGTACATGGAAAGAGAGAGAGAGAAAGAGAGGAAGCAGAGATATTTTATATCTGAGTCAGTCCATTAAGTAAATAAATGACAATATTTTCATTTATTTTTATGTCAGTGGACTTTAAATTTGTGTCCAGTTTATGAATATTATATGCAGAGCTGTTACAAATAGCTTAGTGTAAGTTTTCTGATGTTCTATTTTTATTGAGAAAATATGAAGTATGTATTTCTTTATTCTAAGAGTAAGTTTAATTTTTTTCAGTGGTATTGAGGCATAATTGAAATATTTTTATAATATATATGTTTAAGGTGCACCAATTGATGTTTTGATATTGTATTAGTCCATTCTAACACTGCTATAAAGAAATGCCTGAGGCTGAGGTGGGCGGATCATGAGGTCAGGAGATCGAGACCATCCTGGCTAACACGGTGAAACCCCGTCTCTACTAAAAATACAAAAAGTTAGCTGGGCGTGGTGGCAGGTGCCTGTAGTCCCAGTACTCCGGAGGCTGAGGCAGGAGAATGGCGTGAACCTGGGAGGTGGAGCTTGCAGTGAGCTGAGATTGCACCACTGCACTCCACTCCAGCCTGGGCGACAGAGCGAAACTCTGTCAAAAAAAAAAAAAAAAAAAAAAAAAGCTTGAGACTGAGTAATTTGGAAAAAAAAAAAGATGTAAGATGTTTAATTGACTTGTGAGAACTCAACTCATGCATTGTCATGAAAACAGCACCAGGAGTCAGTTCTAAACCATTCATGAAGGACCCACGCCATGACCCAGTCACCTCCAACCAGGTCACACTTCCACAATTGAGGATTATAATACGACGTGAGATTTGGGGTAGGACACAGATCCAAAGCATATCAGATATACATTGTAAAATGCTCATCATAGTCAAGGTAATTTGCATATCCATCTTCTCACAGAGCTACCGTTTAATTTTTTTTAAATGTAGAGCTTGTGTGTGTATGTGTGTCTGATAACAACACCTAAGACCTACTCTTAGCAAAAATCACTTTTACAATATAGTATTAAATACAGGAACATTGCTGTGCATTAGATCTCCAGAAATGATTCAGCTTGCACAACTGAAACTCTGTGCCCTTTGACCGATATCACCCAATTTCCCTCTCCTCCCAGGTCGTGGGACCCAGTACTCTACTCGCTGCTATCAAGAACTTGGATATTTTAGATCCTACATGCAGATGACATCGTGAAGCATTTGTCTTTCGGCATCTGGCTTATTCCACTTAGCACCATGTCCTCTAGCTCCATCCGTGTTGTTGCAAATGTCAGAATTTCCTTTTTTTTTTTGAAAGCCAAATGAAATTCAGTTTATATATATACATTTTCTTTATACAGTCATCAATCTATGGTCATTAAATTCTTTCACAAATCTACACTATTATAAATAATCTTGCAATTAACATGTATTTGACATCATAATTTTATTTCCTTTGACGATATAACAAGAAGTGGGATCACCAGGTCATATGATAGCTTTATTTTTCAATTTATTGACTAACCAATCTTACCATACGATATAAGGATACCCTCTTCACCACATTCTTGCCAACATTTGTTATCTTTTGTCTTGCTGATAATAACCATTTTAAGTGGTGTGAGGTGATATCTCATTGGGCTTTTTATTTGAATTCCCCTGATAATTAGGAATGTTGAGTACCTTTTTAGGATCTGTTTTTCATCTGTGGGTCTTCTGAAAAAAAATCTAACCAGGTTTTTGCCCTCTGTATTAGGTCAGTTGATATTTGCTGTTGAGTTGTATGGTTAATTTATATATTTGGGTGGAACTTCTTGTTAGATATATAATTGCACATAGTTTTTTTTACTGTGCTTGCTTTTGGTATTAAATTCAAATAATTTCTGAATCAATGACGAATATTTTTCCATGTTGTCTATGATTTATGGTTTCAGGTTATGTTCATTTTTAGTTGATTTTTGTATATGGTGTTAGAGAAGGTCTAGTTTCATTTCATTTTTTTTTTGCACATGCATGACCATTTTCTACACCATTGATTGAGGAGACTGTCCTTTCTTCACTGTGTGTTCTTGGCATACAAAATTAGGAAGACACATAATTAAAAAAGAAAACATCAGATGAATATTCCTGGTGAACATAGACCTAAAAGTTCTGAGCAAAATACTAGCAAATAGAATCCAGAAGCACTTTAAAATGTGATACATCATGATCAAGTAGGCTTTACCCCTGGAAGGCAAGTTTCATTCAACATCCAAAAATCAGTAACTGATTCACTATGTAAGCAAAATAAAAGCGAAAAACATAGATTATCTCAATAGATGCTGAGAAAGCTTTTAATAGCATCCAACATCCACTCATAATAAAAACCCTCAACAGACTAGGCATCAGAAAAATATACCTCGAAATTATAAGAGCTATCTATGACAAACCACAGTCAACATCATACTGAATAAGCAAAAGTTCAAACCCCTTGAGAATTGAAAAAAGACAAGGATGCCGTCTCACCACTCCTATTGAACATAGTATTAGAAATCCTAGTCCGAGGAACCAGGCAATAACAAAAATAAAAGGCAGCTGATATGGTTTGGATTTGTGTCCCCACCCAAATAGCATGTCGAATTGTAACCACCAATGTTGGAGGTGGCGTCTGGTAAAGGATGATTAGATCATGGGGATGTGTTTTCCTCTCTCATGCTGTTCTCCTGACAGAGCTCTCAGGAGATCTGGTTTCAAAGTGTGTGGTACCTCTCCCTTATCTCTTCCTCCTGCTGCAGCCATGTAAGACATGATGTTTCCCATTCTGTCATGATTGTCAGGTTCCCCAGGCCTCCCCAGCCATGCTTCCTGTACAGCCTGCAGAACCATGAATTAAATTAAATTAAAGAATTAAATATCTTTATAAATTACTCACTCCTGTGTGTTTCTTTGTAGTGTGAGAATGGACTAATGCAGCATCCAAATGGGAAAAGAATGCAATGTATCTGTCCAAACTGATGATAAAATTCTATACCTATAAAATTCTAAAGACTCTGACAAAATAATTCAAGAGAGATAAACAACTTTGGTAAAGTCTCAGGATACAAAAATCAATGTACAAAAGTCTCCAGCATTTCTATATCCCAACCACATCCAAGCTGAGAGTGAAATCAAGAACACGATCCTGTCCCACTTACAATGCTCACAAAAAATGAAGTGCCTGAAAATACAGGTAAAAAACAAGGTGAAAACTGTATAAGGAGAACTACCAAACACAGCAGAAAGAAATCACAAATGACAGAAATAAATGTGAAAACATTTCATACTCATGGATTGGAAGAATTGATATTGTAAAAATTGTCATACTGCCCAAAGCAATTTACAGATTCAATGCTATTTACATAAAACTCTCACCAGCATTCTTCAGATAAATAGAAAAAAAATTCTAAAATTTATATGGAATAAAAAAAAGACCCTGAATAGCCACAGCAATCCTAAGCAAAAAGAACAATGCCAGAGGCATCATGGTACTGAATTTAAACTACACCATAAAGTCATGGTAACAAAAACAGCTTGGTACTGGTAAAAGGGCAGACATGCAGAAAAAGTGGAACAAAAGAGAAAGCAGAAATAAAGCTGCATGCTTGCAACCATCTGATATTTGATAAGGCTGACAAAACAAGCAATGGGGAAAAAACTCTATTCAATAAATGGATTCTGGCAGATATGCAGAATGCAAGAGTGAAGGAGGTTGGGCAGCTTCTACCTAGATTTCAGAAGATGTGCATGGAGAACCCTATATGCCAAGGAAGAAGCCTGCTGCAGGAGTGGAGCCACCACAGACAGTGTCTATTAGGACAATACCAAAGATGGGGAAAGATGGGGTCGGAACCCCCATTCAGAGTCCCCACTAGGGCACTTCATAGTAAAGCTGTGGGAATGTGGCCACAACCCTCAAGATCCCAGAATGGTAGAGTCAAAGGCAGCTTGTCCTCTCAGCCTGGAAAACCTTCTGGCACTTGACTCTAACCTGTGAAAGCAGCACCATGGGCTGTGCCCAGCTACAGGGATGATATTCCTGAGGTTTTTGGGACCCCCTTTGTCCTAGTGTGCCCTGGTGGAAGTACATAAAGTCAAGAGAGACTATTTTGTAGCTTTAAGATTTAATATCTGCCTTACTAGGCTTTAGGTGTGTCTAGAGCCTGTTGGCAGTTCCTTTGGCCAATTTATTCCTTTTGTATTGACAATATTTACCCAATTCCTGTGGCACTATTGCACCTTGGAAGTAAACAACTGTTTAAAACTTTTTTTTTTTTTTTTTGAGACGGAGTCTTGCTCTGTCGCCCAGGCTGGTGTGCAGTGGCGCGATCTCGGCTCACCGCAACCCCTGTCTCCTGGCTTCACTGCCTCAGCCTCCCGAGTAGCTGGGATTACAGGCGCTCATCACCACGCCCGACTAATTTTTGTATTTTTAGTAGAGACAGGGTTTCACTGTATTAGCCAGGATGGTCTTGATCTCCTGACTTCGTGATCCACCCGCCTCGGCCTCCCAAAGTGCTGGGATTACAGGCGTGAGCTGCCACGCCCAGCCTGTTTAAAACATTTTGCAAGCTCATAGCTGCAGAGAAATTGCCTTAAGACTCAGAGGAGACTTTGGTATTTTCAGTCGGAGGTTGACCAAGTGAAGAGTTTGGTCACTATTAAAAAAACTATTAAAAAAAAGATGACTTTGCAATCTAAGAAGGACATGAGATCAGGACACAAGAGTAAAATGGTATAGTTTAGATGATGGTCCCTGCTAAATCTCAAGGTGAAATGTGATTCACAGCATTTGCGGTGGGGCCGACTGGGAGGTTTTGAGACATGGGGAAAGATCCTTCAGGAATGGCTTGGTATCCACCCCATGGTAATTAGTGAATTATTTCTGTATTATCTACTGTGAGATCTGATTTTCAAAATAATCTAGCAACCATCCTCCCCTTTCATGTCCTCCCTCTCACCATGTAACACAGCCTGTTTCCCCTTTGCCTTCCACCATGACTGTAAGCTTTCTGAGGCCATCACATGATGCAGATGCTGATGCCATGCTTCTCACTTAGCCTGCAGAACTATCAGCCAAATAAGCCAAATAGACTAGTACACTGTCCAAAGCAATATACAGATTCAATGCAATTTCTATTAAGTAACCAATATAATTGATTACATATTTTAAAAAACCATAAAATTTATATGGAATCAAAAAAGAGCTTGAACATCAAAAGCAACCCTAAGGAAAAGTAACAAAGCTGGAAGCACCACATTGCCGGACTTCAAATTATACTACACAGATATAATAAGAATGACATCATCGTAGTGACAAAAAATAAAAATTGATGTAACACAACAGACAGCCCAGAAATAAAGCCAAATATCTACGACCACCTGTTATTTGACAAAACTGACAAAAAATATACACTGGAGAAACAACCCTTTATTCAATAAGTGGTGCTTGGAAAATTGGGCAGCCACACAAAGAAGAATAAAACCAGACTTCTATCTCACAATAGACAAAAATTAAGTGAATATGGATTCAACACTTAAAAATATAAACTGAATCTACAAAAATACTTGAAGAAAATGCAAAAAAAAAGTTCTCTGGACATTGGCCTAGGCAAATAAAACATGACTAAGATTTCAAAAGCAAATGCAATGAAAACACAGACAAACAGGACTTAAGTAAAAATCTTCTGCACAGAAAAAGAAATAATCAACATGGTGAGTAAACAACCTGCAGGATGGTAGAAGGTATCATCTCACCTCAGTTAACATGGCTCATATTAAACACACACACACACACACACACACACACACACACAAACAAAACACTAACCAATGCTCGTAAGGATACAGAGAAAAGAAAACTCTTATGCATTGTTGAGGAGAATGTAAACTAGTACAGTCACTATGGAGAGCAGTGTGGAGGTACCTCAAAAAACTACAAATAGAACTACCGTATGATCCAGCAATTCCACTACTGCAAATTTATCCAAAGGAATGAAAATCATTGTATCAGAGAATTCTGCACCCCAGTGTATGTGGCAGGACCTTTCACAATAGCCAAGATATGGAATCAACACAGGTGTTGAACACAAGAGAATAATGGTTAAAGATGATGTGGTGCATATACATGACGAAGTACTCATCAGCCATAAGAAATGAAATCATGTTGTTTGTGGCAATGAGGATGGAACTGGAGGACATTATGTTAAATGAACTAAGCCAGGGACAGAAAGTAATACACCTTGTTTTCTCACTCATAGGTGGATACTTAAAAAAAAATGGTCTCCTAGAAGTAAAGAATAGAACAGAGGATACCAGACGCTGGGAAGGGTAGGGTAAAGGACGAGATAGGCAGAGATTTGTTAAATAATACAAAATTAGAGCTAGGGAGGAGGAATAGATTATAATGATCTTTACCACTGTAGGATGGATACGGTTAACAATAATATGTAGTTTTAAATAGTTAGAAGAAGGATACTGAGTGTTCCTAACAAAAAGAAATGGTTTGAGATGATGGATGTGCTAATTACCCTAATCTGACCCCTATGCATTATATGTATCAAAACATCACTATGTACCTCATGAATAGTTACAATTATTGTCTATTAAAATTATATTTTAAAATAACACAAAATTCATTGGCAGTGACATAAATGGAGGCTCTGGGATAGGTGTGGGGATAAAGGGAGGCTCTGGGATACATTACAGGCCTAACATGTCAGTGGGCAGAGGAGCTTCCATTAGCTTTTTCTATTTGTAGCACTGAGTAGATGTGACATTTCTCAAAGTTTGCCCTACAATAGAGACCTGAGTTCCAGGGAGGTCTTGCAGGCAGCTGTGCAGATGGAAGAAGCAGGAGTAGAGGGTTGCTGGCCCATTCAACAATAGTAGGATGATTATTGTGCATGTAGAGAAGTCAACATTGTTTTAAGTAGTTGCATCACTGGATGACATGAAAAACAAATCCAGTGGAAATCCTTAAATATTATTGGTAGTGAAACTGTTTTGGGTGAGGAAATGTTCACTGAAGTTAAGTGAGCCAGTAAAGCTGTTAAGAACTATAAAAACATTGGATTGGATTCAGCTTTGTCTGAATTTAATGTGATTATTACTGGCTCAGGCAGGGGTCACAAATCAAGATGGATAGGTGGTACCAACCAGAAAAAGCCATGGACCAGAAAGATTCACAGCTGAATTTATTCGGATGTATAAAGAAGAGTTGCTACCAATCCTAGTGAAACTATTCCCCAAAAATTAGGATAAGGGACTCCTCCCTAAATTATTCTGTGAGACCAGCATTATTCTGATAACAAAACCTGGCAGAGACTAAAAAAAAAGATAACTTTGGGCCAATATTCATGATGCAAAAATGCTCAATGAAATACTAGCAAACTGACCACAGCAGCACATCAAAAAGCTAATCCACCATGATCAAGTAGACTTTGTTCCTAGGATGCAAGGTTGGTTCATATACGCAAATCAGTAAGTGTGATTCGTCTCATAAACAGAACTAAAAACAAAACCATGCTATCAATGGACATAGAAAAGGTATTCAATGAAATTTAACATTGTTTCATATCCAAAACCCTCAACTAGGCATGAAGAAACATACCTCAAAATAATAACCATCTATCATGAACCCACAGCCAAAATCATACTGAATGGGCAAAAGCTGGAAGCAGTTTTCCCTGAAAACTGGAACAAGAAAAGCATTCCCACTCTAACCACTCCTGTTCATCATAGTCATGGAGGTCCCAGCCAGAGCGTGCAGGCAAGAGAAAGAAAAGCATCAGAACCGGAAGAGAGGATGTCAAACCATCTCTGTAGATGAAATGATCATAATCCCGAGTCTGTAGTTTGGTGATTGACATTAATTTGGAAAAATTGTCAGTCATCATTGCTTTAAATATTTCTTCTTAACCTTTCTCTGTTCCTTCTCTTTCCCATGTTATACCCTTATAATTGTCTCACAATTCTTGGATAAGCTGTTCTGGTTTCTTATGGGTGTGTATTTGTGTACTTGTATGTTTGTGTGTGTATTTGTGTGTTTACTTTTTAAAAAAAATATTTCTCCATTTTCAGTTTGGGACATTGCTACTGAGATATTTTTAATTTCAGATTTTTTTCCTCAGCCATGCTGCGTCTACATATAAGTCCATTGAAAGCATTGCTTAATTCTGTTACAATATTCTTGATATCTACATTTTTTTGCTTTTTAAGAGTTTGCATATTTCGACTTGCATAACACAACTGTTCCTGGATGCCCTCTGCTTAACTCATCACAGCCCTTAGCATATGAGTTATAGCGGGGTCTTAAATTCCTTGTTTGGTAATTCCAACTTACATGACGTAGCTGAGTCTCATTCTAATGCTTGTTCTGTCTCATTACACTGTGATATTTTTCTTTTAGTATGTCTCGTGATTTTTTTAGCCAGAAATTATGTACCAGGTAAAAGAAACTGCTGTAAAGAGGCCTTTAGCGATGTCATTGTAAGATGTGGAGAGAAATGTGTTCCATAATCCTACGGCCATGGCTTACTCTAGCAAGCTTAGGCCTTTGAAAATAAACCCTTACATGAAAGTGAAAACATAAGTCTTAGATTTGGAGAATTTGCTTGCAAATCAAATATTTGGAAAATGACTTTTATCACAAATGTACAAATTACCTTACAATTGAACAACAACAAAACCACACAAATTAATTTTAAAATGGGCAAAGATCTGAATAGAAATCGCATCTAAAAATAAATATAAAGAGATCAACTTCATTTTCATTAGGTATATGCATGTTTAATATTCAAAAAATACTACTATCTTATGAGGATGGGTAAAATACACAATATAGATAATACCAAATGGTGATGAGGAAGTTGAAAAACAGGAACATTCACTCTTTGCTGGTGGTAATGCTGAAATGGCACATAGACATGTACAGTTAATAATTTAGTGTATATTACAAAACAGCTAGAAGAGAAGATTTAGAATTGTTAACACAAAGAAATAATCAATGATGGAGATGAAAGATATACCAGTTATCCAGATTTAATCACTGCATATAATAATCTTTTATCAAAATATATACCCCATAAAGATTTTGAACTCATGTATCTATATAAATTAGGTATTAAAAAACAGCAATGCAGGGGAATCCAGCTAATTGCACATTCCCTGAATGTACCCTTTCTTGTCAAAAAGGAGTTCCAGAGACTCTTGAAAACGTAGTGCAGTTCATGTGAGAAATAGAGGTTCAGAAATGCCTCATTATACCCTCCTCCCTTTGGAATTCAAGCACAACTAACCAGTATTTTTCATTAAAACAGATCTTAAGACTCAGAAAACAGATTCTTTGCAGCAGTAAGATACCAAATTCTAACCTGACTCAAGAATAGGATCACATGACAGAGAGCAGACCTTGAAAAGAATCAAAGACTTTTACCCTAAAATATATTTATTTGACATATTTTAAAATCACCCTGCACAGTTATCTTTTGAGAGAGAAATTTACGTTCTGTAGCGAATCTCCTTCCCTTTCCAGGTCTAGTTGTTAGATTAGCTGAGAGTCTAGCATCTTTTAAATGTCATAGTAGAAAACATTTGCTATCTACTGCCTCTAACGGTGGCCACATAAGAGAATTCATCTACATAATAAGAATCTTGTTCTCCAAAACCCGTTATCCTAACCTATGTAGGGAAAAGAGAGATCAGACTGTTACTCTATGTAGAAAAGGAAGACGTAAGAAACTCCATTTTGATCTGTACCCTGAAGAATTGTTTTGCCTTGAGATGCTGTTAATCTGTAACTTTTGCCCCAACCTTGTGCTCACAGAAACATATGTTGTATGGAATCAAAGTTTAAGGGATCTAGGGCTGTGCAGGATGTGCCTTGTTAACAATATGTTTACAGGCAGTATGCTTGGTAAAAGTCATCACCATTCTCCATTCTTGATTAACCAAGGGTAACAATGCAGTGCAGAAAGCCACAGGGACCTCTGCCCAGGGAAGCCGGGTATTGTCCAACATTTCTCCCCACTGAGACAGCCTAAGATATGGCCTCGTGGGATGGAAAAGACCTGACCGTCCCCCAGCCTGACAACCGTGAAGGGTCTATGCTGAGGAGGATTAGTAAAAGAGGAAGGCCTCTGTCTCCTGCATGTCCCTGGGAATGGAATGTCTCGGTATAAAACCCAATTGTACATTTGTTCTATTCTGAGATAGGAGAAAACCACCCTGTGGCTGGAGGTGAGACATGTTGGCAGCAATGCTCCTCTGTTACTCTTTACTACACTGAGATGTTAGGGTGGAGAGAAGCATAAATCTGGCCTATGTGCACATCCAGCGATAGTACCTTCCCTTGAACTTATTTGTGACACAGATTCCTTTGCTCACACGTTTTCTTGCTGCCCTTCTCCCCACTATCACCCTGTTCTGCCACATTCCCCTTGCTGAGATAGTGAAAATAATAATCAATAAATACTGAGGGAACTCAGAGACCGGTGCCGGTGTGGGTCCTCCGTATGCTGAGCACCGGTCCCCTGTGCCTACTGTTCTTTCTCTATACTTTGTCTCTGTGTCTTATTTCTTTTCTCAGTCTCTCATCCCACCTGACGAGAAATACCCACAGTTGTGGAGGGGCTGGCCCCCTTCAAACACAGAAACGTTTTTCTACTGATTTCAGCTCTTTAAATAAAAAGTTAAGTCTTTCAATCAGAAAATCTTTGAATTCACCTGTAAGCTGTAATCCCCTCCCCACACTGCCTCACTTGTAGCTCTTTTATCTTTATGAAACAAATCGACACATGTCTCATATGTATTGACTGATGTCTTTCTCTCTAAGACATTAAATTTAAGCTGCAATCAAGCCACTTTGGGCACACGTTCTCAAGATCTTCTGGGGCTGTGTCACAGGGCATGGTCCTCACATTTGGCTCGAATAAATCTAAATATTTTGCAAAGTTGACTTTTTCATTAATAGTTCTTACAGAACCTACTCTGTGCTCTTTGTTACAAGCATAAAATCAATATAGTATTAGTTATAATAGTATTGGGTATACCACATATTGGCAATTTCTTATGAAGTTAGGCATAGACTAACAATGGGATCAAGTGTAAATGTTTTAATGTATTTATGCAAGTTATTTTGATATTTATGTTCTGCAGATACTTCTATCAGATTTATTATATCAGCTAATTATTTGTTTTATGATTTTTTGCATTTTTTGTAGATGATAACACCATATCTTTTCTAGGCCTTTATTGTAGAAAATTGTGTGAAACTACTCAGGACTACATTTGAAAGTCCTTATTGCAGTGGCTGCCAGAATTGAAGTACATTTCCTCTGTAGCCACCAGACACCCAGATTCCTCCAGTAACACCTTAATTTTGTTTCCTGCTTGGCTTTGGGCTTTAGTCTTGTGCTATCCAGAGAGACTCTGTCTTTCAAATCCCCCAGGTCATTCTAAAGCCACATGGACCGGACAATTGTCAATGTGGTGGGAAGGGTCGCACTGAACGGGCACTCTCTGTCCTTCTGAGGGAGCCATACTGCAGGCAGACATCACAGTCCTGGCTCAGGTTGTGTCCTTCCAAGTATCCCTGCCCTCCTGCAGGTGTGATGCTGATCCATGCATCTTCCTCCCATTCCTGGGTAGAGGGTCTCCTTGTTTTTTCCCAGATCTTCTTCCAGCAGCCACTATACTATGTCTTCCCACTGATGTCTTCAGCTTCCTCTTTTCTGCCCTTCCCAGCAGGATGAGGCTTTTATTCCTGAAGAAAGAGAGAGGAGGTGGGAGATGAGGCTGTTATTCCTGAGAGAATGAACAGGGCTTTGGAGCTTTTCTTTCTTCTATCCCAGTTTCTATGAGTTCCTCCAGTACCAGTAACACAAAGGTGTTAGTGGCTTTGCCCCTGCATGTTAATTCTTTAGCAATGTAGTGGTGACAGTGGAGGTGGGTCTGGATGCATTTCAGCTGCAGTTGCTGTTTTTCTTTCCAGCACAGAACCATCTTGGGAGCTACAGGGAAGAGCTTTTTGTAATGTGTCCTCAATCCTGGGAGAAAAGTTTTCAATAGCAATAGGAATCTCTCAGTTGTATGTTCTCTGAGAATTTAAACAATAACTTATTTATTATACTCAATTTTAAACAATGTAATAAATATGTCTAATTTAATCTTGCATTAGCTTATGTGACATTTGCTGGCCATTGCCCCAGATAAGGCCATTTTCTCTTCCTGTTTATCCCTGCAAGTGACTGACTTTTGCAAGATGTAAGGTTTCTTGTTTGCCCTATAACATCAATAATCTGAAATATTAAAGAAAATGTGCTAATTTGCAGATCAGTAAGGTTAGTTGTTTCTGTAAAAATATATATGTTTTTTTGAGATGGAGTCTTGCTCTGTCACCATGCTGGAGTGCAGTCGTGCGAACTTGGCTCACTGCAACCTCCGCCCCCTTGGTTCAAGCGATTCTCCTGCATCAGCCTCCATAGTAGCTGGGACTACAGGAGTCTTGGCCTCCAAAAGTGCTGGGATTTCTGGCATAAGCCATCGCACCCAGCCAAAAATAATATATTTTAAGGGGTGCATACATCTCCAGGCTGAGTAGGAGATTTATTTGTAGTACTCAGTAACTGGAATTTACACAACTATTAAGGAGCATTATAAATAAATAGTAAGGGTGCACTCATTAACTGTAATACTGTTCCTCATTAGAATCAACACATTCTTTAGTTCATGTCCTTTGCAGGGACATGGATGAAGCTGGAAACCATCATAGTCAGAAAACTATCACAGGGACAGGAAACCAAACACCGCATGTTCTCACTCATAAGTGGGATCTGAACAGTGAGAACACATGGACACAGGGAGGGGAATGTCACACACCAGGGCCTGTCGGGGTGGGGAGCAAGGGGAGGGACAGCATTAGGAGAAATACCTAATGTAGATGACAGGTTGATGAGTGCAGCAAACCAGCATGGCACATGTATATCTATGTAACAAACCTGCACGTTCTCCACATGCATCTCAGAACTTAAAGTATAATTTTAAAAACACATTATTTATATAGAACCAAATTACTGGCTCACAAGTAATTATACTGTGCAGAAAACCACACAAATGAAATTGAAACTATAAGATTTCACTTGAACAAAATCTTGAAAAATAGATCTAAAGTAACAAAGATGACTGACTCAATATGGTGAGAGGAAAATGACTGGGAGGCAGGAATGAGAGGAACACAGGGAAGCTTTTAAGTGTAATTCATTGGTATCTTGATTGTTATTTGGGATGCACAGGTGAGCACATGTGTAATAACATTTTTTTCCTTTGGAGACATTTTCTTGCTTTGTCATCCAGGCTGGAGCTCCGTGGTGACATCATAGCTCTCTGCAGCCTCAGACCCTGGGTCTCCAGCAATCCTCCTCCCTCTGCCCTATCTAGCTGGGACTACAGCTGTGCACCACCATGCTCGGCTTCAGTGCTTATTCAACCAGACACTTTAATTATGCAGTATTTATTACGTGGCAATAATGCCTCAATAAGGGTATTGCAAATAAGTGGATGGATAATTTGTTCAATTAAGATTGATGGAAATATAGACACTTACATGACAAATGTATGACAATCAAGAAAATAAAACTGTAGGAAACATACTTTACTTTTTGTTAGGTAATCGCAACAGTGCATACACATCACACCATGTTCTCATTACAGAGAAAAGGTTCTGCAAACCTCACTTGGTGTGACCTCCTGTATGCTGGGCTTGGTTCAGGGAGAAGTCAGGACCAGTGGTTAGAAGCACGGGCCCAGATAACCAGACTCCCTCTGACCAAATGTGAGTGCTGGGGACATTGTACAATCCATCTGTGTTTTGCTGATATTTTTTCATCTGTAACATGGAAATAACATTGATACTACATACCATGGTTTCTGTGCATATGGAAAAATAAAAGATGATAGGTGCAAACTTTAAATACACACAGTTTATGTAGATCAATTGTACCTCAATAAAACTGTTTTAAAATAAAAATTACAAAACTATAAATTTTATAGGTTTTAAGGGTTTATCATAGAACAAACTTACAATAAGAAACCAGAATTTCCAAATGCTATCAATATCACAAATCTCCCCCAGGACACTCTCACATGCTCTGAGCCCCACTCTCTCCTCAGGCGTCCCATCCCAGAGCTTGGCATGTATTAGGAGACATGCAAATAGGGCCCTCCCTCTGCTTATGAAAACCAGCCCAGCCCTGACCCTGCAGCTGTGGGAGAGGAGCCCCAGCCCTGGGATTTTCAGGTGCTTTCATTTTGTGATCAGGACTGAACACAGAGGATTCACCATGGAGTCATGGCTGAGCTGGGTTTTTCTTGCCGCTATTTTAAAAGGTAATTCATTGAGAACTATTGAAATTGAGTGTGAGTGGATAAGAGTGAGATAAACAGTGGATTTGTGTGGAAGTTTCTGACCAGGGTTTCTTTTTGTTTGCAGGTGTCCAGTGTGAGGTGCAGCTGGTGGAGTCTGGGGGAGGCTTGGTCCAGCCTGGGGGGTCCCTGAGACTCTCCTGTGCAGCCTCAGGATTCTCCTTTAGTAGCTATGGCATGAGCTGGGTCCGCCAGGCTCCAGGGAAGGGGCTGGACTGAGTGGCACATATCTGGAATGATGGAAGTCAGAAATACTATGCAGACTCTGTGAAGGGCCGATTCACAATCTCCAGAGACAATTCTAAGAGCATGCTCTATCTGCAAATGGACAGTCTGAAAGCTAAGGACACGGCCATGTATTACTGTACCAGACACAGTGAGAGGAAGTCCGTGTGAGCCCAGACACAAACCTCCCTGCAGGGGCACGCGGGGCCACCAGAGGGTGCCCAGGATCCCCTGAAGACAGGGACAGCCCAAAGGCAGGTGCAGATGGATGTCAAGAGGGTCTGTGGCTTCGTCTACATCTAACTGTTTCCTGGTGAGCCTCTGTATATTTATTTTTCTGTGCCCACTAATGAGGTTGCTAAGTTTAAACACTTTTTTTTTTGAGATGAAGTCTCGTGCTTGTGCCCCAGGCTGGAGTGCAATGGCATGATCTCAGCTCACTGCAACATCCGCCTCATGAATTCAAGCGATTTTCCTGCCTCAGCCTCCCAAGTAGCTGGGATTCCAGACAACTGCCACCACGCCCGGCTAATTTTTGTATTTTTAGTAGAGACAGGGTTTCACCATGTTGGCCAGGCTAGTCTCGAACTCCTGACCTCAGGAGACCCTCCCACCTTGGCCTCCCAAAGTGCTGGGATTACAGGCATGAGCCACTGTGCCTAGCCAAAAAAGACTTCATTATTATAGGAGGAAAAATTCTCATCTGCAAGTGTCACTGATGGAAGCAGAAAAATTGCCCAGGAAGTCAGGTGAGGCTGTAGACACTGTCAACCCAGGATGCAAATCTCACCACAAGTGCAGGAGAAAGGGCAGGGGGTTGATGGATCATCCTAACTAACGTATGGTTTAAGCTGAGCCCAGCAAGACCCTCAGTGCCTCCCTAACCACAGTTGCCCTTCAGGGATAACCCATGTGCTCAACAGCAGCCACACCTTAGTATCTCCACTGTGCAGTCATTGTCTAGGACAAGCTCCCAGGATGTGGGGCTTTGGCACAAACCAGGTCATGGATGTCAGAGAGGGGCAGCTGGGTGTCTGGTCCATAGGCTCCCTGATGTTGGAGGGTTGAGAGGTGCATTCTCTGGGCCAACATATACTCTAGGGATATTTACTTCAGAACACATACTTTTATTTGTTGGTTTATGGTTAATGGGGTATTCATCCCTTCAATCATTTGTCCTTTGATTTACAAAAACATTCCAATTTCACTTTGGAAGTAATTTTATTATGTGCAATTAAGTCATTATTGATTATAGTCACACTATTTTGCTACTAAATAGTAGGTGTTATTCATTCTTTCTAACTCTGTATTTTGTACCCATTAACCATATCCACCTGTTCTCTGGCCCCCACTAGCCTCCCAGACTCCAGTTACCATCCTTCTACCATCCATGTTCCTGAGTTTAATTCTGTTGATTTTTAGAGCACACACATAAGTAAGAACCTGCAATGCTTTTTTTTTCAGTGCCTTGTCTTTTTCACTTAACATAGTGACCTCCAGTTCCATCCATGTTGTTGCAAATGACTGGATCTCATGGAATACCTAATTTTATTCGGTTCTTTCATATGACGTAGAGAAGCAAGCATGCAGTCTACAAACAACTGTAATTTTCACATTTACCCCAAATGAATTATTACTTATTTCTGTGCAGGGTCCAGGCACATAGTAGCCTTTCTCTTGAGGGACTGTTAAATTTAGAGTGAGATCACTTGTTTCTCATATTATTTGATTCCTGTCCATGTGCAGAGATCTTAAGTAATCTGCTTCTTTCTGCACACTAACTCTGACCTTCTCGACAAAAAGAGTAGAGATTTTCATGTTTCCTGAGTCTGGGGTAGGAGTTAGTCCTACACAACTCAGAGCCTGCAGAGACCTCCCAGTGCAGTTTTATAGACACAGGTGCTTTCTCATGGGGGGTGAGACCTCCACTTCCTGTGATTGCTGCTCAGATCTAACTGTGATTTCAGATTTAGGACACCATTAGGCTCTCAAACCATTTCTATTCTAAAAATCAGCCTCATCATAGAAAATGGAAATAATTCAATATCCATTTCCCTGACCGTATTTCATCCTTGTTTTTAATTTGGTGCAAGTTTATTACATATTTGCCTGAATCTAACTTCAGAATCAACTGAATTGGTCTAGAAATCTCAAAAATTGAACAGAAGTGGATTTTATTATTTTTACCAAAATGTGTGTAGGTAGGGTTTCCAATGTATCGTCCAGAACTTGTGCATGCTAACAACTGTTTTTCTCAGTCAATTATCAGCCTGGTGAAGCCCTTGCAAACCCCCTCACTCACCTGTGCTGCCTCTGGATTCTCTGTCACAATCAGTGCTTCCTGTAGGCACTGGATGGAAAGCACAGGAGTGGGTCAGGTGCATACGTGATGAGTGGAGGATGAATTCCAGCCCACTTATCATGAATTCAGACAAGCCCACATGTTCCCACATGCACTATATCTTCAGACAAGCAGATGTGTCTGCACATGAATTCTTCTTTCAGACAAACACGTCTGTCCCCTCATGGACTCTTGCCACACACAAGCACACGTGGCTTCTTGTGGACTGTACTTTCAGACAAGCACACATTGTTTCATGTGGACATCTTCCTCCCACAAATGCATTTTCCCCTGAGTAGACTCTTCTCCCACAAGCCCATATGTCCGCACATGGACATTTCTCACAGACAAACACCCATTTCCCCATGTAGTCCCTTCCCTCAGACAAGCACACGTATTCCCAGGTAGACTCTTCCCTTAGACAAGCACAGATGTTCCCATATGAACCCTTCCATATGACAAGCACACATGTTCCCATGTGAACTCCCGTATAACAAGCACACATATTTCCTCACGGGCTCATCACTCAGATAGGTCTGCATGTCCACATGTGGACTCTACTCTCAGACAAGCCCACAGGTCCTCACATGGACTCTTCTCTCAAACACCCGTTCTCCATTGTAGACTCTTCCCTTAGACAAGCACGCATTTTCCCATGTGAACTCTTCTGCATGGGAAGCACACATATTCCCACAGGGACTCTTCTCTGAAACACCCATTCTCCATTGTAGACTCTTCCCTTAGACAAGCACGCATTTTCCCATGTGAACTCTTCCGCATGGAAAGCACACATATTCCCACAGGGATTCTTCACTAAGACAAGCATGATTGTCTCCACTGTGACCCTTCCCTCAGAGAAGTACACTTGTCTACATATGGACTCTTCTCTCAGACAAGCAAACATGTCCCCACGTGGACTCTTTCTTCTGACAAGCACACGTGTCCCCGTGTTGTTATAATCATTTTCTCACCTCTGTCTCACAAAGTTCCCTGTCCTCCAAGAATAATTTTGACCTCTCACTTCTCATTCACACTATGGTGATTGGTGCACAGCATTTTCACCCAAGAGAAATGCAGGCAGCTCTCAGAATTTATTGTGATGGAGGCAGGAAGACAAACACAAAGATAAAACTTGTCGCTACCTTGCTGGGCTGTGTTCTGTGCAGAGTCTCTGAAGGCTGCCCTGGGGCTGTGTCCTAAGCTGTATCTCTCTGATTCCACTAGGAGAATGCACATAGAGAAATTCAAGCTGAATGGTGTCCTGATCCCTGCCTCATTCTGCTATTCTTCCCTATTCCTCAGAAATTCACCCAACATTGCCCTCTGTCTTGTATTGTCTACATTCTCACAGACTCTCTCATAGAACTTCAGCTTCAATGGTCAGAGCCCTGGTCACTTCTTCCCAACTCTCCGCACATGCCAAGTGCACATTAGAGACTCAATAATGAGGCTCACCAGGGGCAGTAGTAGTTTCATCTATCACAGTGGAGATGAAAATCCATGATTTAAAATAGGTTTCTAAAAAAGAAAATATGTCTCACATCAAACACAAATGAGAGAATGCAACGGCATAATTCATTTTCAGGTTTTTCATATGTAAATCTCCTAAAGTGCATAATTTAGTTTTTAGTGTGGTTCCTGATCCATGAATCCTTTTGCCTTCTTCATTATCTTTCATTCAAACAAACAGAGACCATACCCACTGTTCACAGTGTAGCCTCATGGAGAACATCTTCACCAGTCAGCCCAGTCAGTGAGTGAGGCCTTTAAATCCTTCATGCTAATTCAAATTTCTGGCTTTATTCTTAGTAGACCCCAGGTTTTCGGGGATGTTGGGTTGTGCCAGCACTCCTAAATAAGGGAGATAGAAATTATTTCCTCAGGCATCCTCTTGCAACATTTGGACAATTGGCCATAGTTTGATTATTGAGGTGTGATGCATCAAAATAATGTTAGTTCAATCTTCTCTCAACCAGTCATTGAACATTGAAATTTTGTAATTATTTATTTGGATATCTCTGAAGTTTACCTCTTGAATATTTAAGTCATATTATAAATAGTTTAAGCTGCCTACTAGGTAAAATGATCTGCTGCAGAATTTTGACTTCCTTGCTGTGCATTTTTGCATTTAAATTCAAGTTTCTATTACTCGTGTGTCTAGAATGTAAAAATACGTCTTACATTTTCTCGAATTTTTCATTTCACTGGAGTTTCCAGAAGATGAGAAAACCTCCCTTGTGTATAAAATACCTGGTAACACATTGCTCAATAGTTTCGTTGCTGAGACCAGCTCAGTCGGGAGACCCTAACCCAGCGGTGCTAGAGGAATTAAAGACACACACAGAAATATAGAGGTGTGAAGTGGGAAATCAGGGGTCTCACAGCCTTCAGAGCTGAGAGCCCTGAAGAAAGATTTACCCACGTATTTATTAACAGCAAGCCAGCCATTAATATTGTTTCTATAGATATTAAATTAACTAAAAGTATCCCTTATGGGAAATGAAGGGATGGACCGAATTAAAGGGGGTGGGTCTGGCTAGTTATCTGCAGCAGGAACATGCCCTAAGGCACAGATCACTCATGCTATTGTTTGTGGTTTAAGAACGCCTTTAAGCGGTTTTCTGCCCTGGGGGGGCCAGGTGTTCCTTGCCCTCATTCCGGTAAACCCACAACCTTCCAGCGTGGGCATTATGGCCATCATGAACATGTCACAGTGCTGCAGATATTTTGTTTGTGGCCAGTTTTGGGGCCAGTTTATGGCCAGATTTTGGGGGGCCTGTTCCCAACATTTCCTCTTTAATTTTTTTCTCCTCTCATATTGTACTGTTATAAGCAATGAGATATCAGGACACATCATCAACACTTTGCTAAGAAATATCTTCAGCTAAATTCCCAGAGTGTCATATACTAATCCTAATTTTAACTAAGGTAACATAATTAAGATACATTCTATAACAAGTCACACATTTTATCCAGTATCCAGTAACATGTTTGTGACAGAAACAAAGCAGGTGCTTCCTCTGCAAAGGGTCATCTGAGGTCTGAGTTGAGGGTCACACAGGTATTTTTCTGGTTTACAAGGGTGGGAACAACAACAGTAATAACGACTCTGAACAGCACTGGCCCTTCCTTGAAAGGTTGCAGGTAAAGCTACTGCTGCTATATCAAATTAACACCTTACTAGAATAAAGCCCAGAGGGAGGGTCCACATGCTAGGTCACAGAGTGAGGAGAAATGGAGCTGTGCTCTGCTCTCCACACTACCTACAAGACCCCAGACACACGCCCAGGTTCTACTGATGCAAGGCATCTACAGTGCAGTTCTAAGGCACCTGCTTCCTGGGGCAGGGAGCATCCTCCTGTCAATTGTGCACCTGCTCCTTCTGCAAGCTATTAAGTGAGCACTTCTATTGCCATGAATTATACATGTTCTCTCTCTTAACATGTATATTGAACATGCTTACTTACTTTGCATTTTATTTTTCTCTGAAATACACTGGATGAGCAGAAGAAAATAAATCACACCCCTGATGCTTTCCACACATACAAAGATTCCTGAAGACAGAGCTGACTGATATCCTCACCAGTAGACCACTGCCTTTCAGAGATGATCTTGGTATTCAAGTTCCAGCAATTCTTGAAGTTAAAGGGCACCTCTATCTCCTCTCCACTGCTTTGCACCTCACCTGATATCAGCTTTCTCATTAGAATGCCTTGTGTTTAAGGAATGAGAGTTCCTGTCACAGGTGCAAAGGCCCAGGTTCTCCCGCTGGCTCCAGTCCAGGGCTAGGGACACCTGTAAGACCATGATATCATCTGATACATAACCTTTACATCATAAGCTTTACATAACTTTTACATACATAACATCACACATAGCATTCAGGATACACACATCAGATCACCTTTACATGCTCTAACATGTAAAGATTAGGAAAGTCATCAAGCTCATTCTTATGTCAAAAAACATCTGCACAATTTGAACATCAACAATTTTTGAAATCTATCAAGGAATTGAAATTGCAAGGGAAATTACCCATTCCAAATACTGAAGATACAGACATGTCCAGGATCAGAGGTGACACTGGCTGAACTGGAAAAGAACTTGAAGAAAGCACGAGTTGGTGAGAGCACACACATGGTAAATGCTATGAAAGCCTAAACGGCAGATGTGGACTAGGGTGAGATTCCTGGGGACCTACACTCCGTAGTCTTCTGAACTTTCCTTCAAAATCTTCCAGATTCTCAGGTATACAATCCAAATAATTTTTTTATGGGTCTGAATTGGGGAGGATTAATTACCGAGAAATGTACCAAGAGCCTTCTAAAAAAAAAAAATCCTGTAGGAAATGAGATTTTCCAGAACCTGGAGGAACCTACAGTTCCCTAAAGACAGACACTGAGGAGAATAAATCTCGACAGCGCCACCTGGAGGTGGAGGTGAAGAGCTTCCTGGAGGAGCTGGACGGGAAGATCCACGACCTGAATGACTCTCGCCCAGGCCTCCCAAGCTGGGCACCGACAACTAGGGCTGGTGGAGGCCCGGGATCCCCACCGTGAGTCCCAAGCATGTGTGCGAGACCAGATGGCGCTAGGACGTTCCCTGTGTGCGTTGCTTCTGTAAATGCAGACGCAGTTTGTCGTGTTTCCAAACCAGTTGTGCCGTCCACTCACTCCTTTCCAGAGTAGAAATCTCCTCTCCGCCGGGCGCGGTGGCTCACGCCTGTAATCCCAGCATTTTGGGAGGTCGAGGCGGGCGGATCACGAGATCAGGAGATCGAGACCATCCTGGCTAACACGGTGAAACCCTGTCTCTACTAAAAATACAAAAAATTAGCCAGGCGTGGTGGCGGGTGCCTACAGTTCCAGCTACTCCGAGGCTATGGCAGTAGAATCGCTTGAACCCGGGAGGCGGAGGTTGCAGTGAGCCGAGATCGTTCCACTGCACTCCAGCCTGGGCGACAGAACAAGACTCTGTCTCATTAAAAAAAAAAAAAATAGGCTTTAGGAAGTAGCTCCTAGATGGGCAGAATCGGTTTAACCCTGTGTGTCCACAGGATCTGGAGCCTCTCTCTCCTTAGATTAGGCCACCTCCTCAGGATTACAGGGCTCTTCAGTTTTCTCAACATGCTGTTGTTGCCCCAAATAAACACAAAAGCACTTTATTTTCTTATGCTTACCTTTAATTTTTCAAAACAACATAAAGGTGATAATTTTAACAATAAACATATTACAACCTACTATACATGATACCCTTCCTGTAGTTCGAGGTTTATTCTCAGGAATTTATATGTATTACTTATTTTCAATTGCTTTCTGATATGGGATGTCAATGCCACTTTATTACAGTCTTTATTCTTTTAAGTTATCTCTAAAATCTCTAAAAATTAATCTTTCCAAAGCACCACTCAAAACCAGTGTATTATTAGAACTTGTGGGTGTAATCGTTGGACCAATATTAAGAATAAATTCTTAATGGACTAACTCAGATATAAAATTTCTGTCCTTCCTCTCTCTCTACATATATACATAACGACTTTGAGGTTTCAGTTGAATCAGTCCATTCATTGAATGTATGACAATAGGTTGATCTAATTGTATACGTTAAATAGCATGAAGAAACCTCAACAATAGCAAAAGTAGCCCCTTACCAAAAACAGCTCTATAATGTTAGATTCCACTTATGAGAAGTTCAAAAGAGAAAAACATGGATCTGTATTGTCAGAAATCTAAACATTTCCGCACGCAGGAGCTGACCACAGGCACAGGAAGACCTGTGTTGGGGGATGGACTTGCTCTTCGGTCTACCTTAGGTGCCGGGGACAAGAGTATTCACGTTTGCCAGAAACTCTCTAGTGACAAATTCCAGATCTATGCATTTCCTCTTATATGTAAATTTTCTCATAAAAACAAAAAATAATGTATAAAATAATTTAAAATTCAGAACATAATAAAAATGACATTACATGCCTATCCAAAACATTCAGTAATGAACATTATTATATGAATTAATAAAATGCATTCAAATATACCTACTGAAATTAACTTCTGGAAAATAAAAAGATAAGGGTAACATCCGTAACTTAAAAATTAATAAGCATATATTTCATAGAGAAGAAAAAGGTAGTCAAGACATATGTGGAATGTGTATTCTTTTTTCCAATCAAATGTCATTAAACTATTTAAACAATTTTTTAACCTGTGTCATAAGTATAGATTACTAATATTTGTCTGATATTACAATGTGAACAAGTTTTAAAGAAAAAAGGATATTTGACAGCATGTGAACTAAATTGAATTTATTCTTAATATTGGTCCAACGATTACACCCACAAGTTCTAATAATACCCTGGTTTTGAGTGGTGCTTTGGAAAAATTAATTTTTAGAGATTTTAGAGATAACTTAAAAGAATAAAGAATGTAATAAAGTGACATTGACATCCCATACATAACAACATATTGATCTATTTTTTGTTGATGGACTTTAAATTTGTTTCTAGTTTATGAATATTATAAGCAAAGCTGTTACAAATACCTTAGTGTAAGTTTTCCTATGTTGTCTCATTTTTATTGTGAAAACATGACGTATGCATTTCTTTCTTGTAAGAGTAATTTTAACTTTTTTCAGTTTCATTGAGGTATATTTGAAAAAATTTTTTAAAAGTATATGGTTGAGGAACAATGCACCACTTGATGCTTTGTCTTAGGCCATTCTCACATTGCTATAAAGAAATGCCTGAGACTAATTTGAAAAAAAGAAAAAGATGTTTAATTGGCTCATGATTCTGCAGGCTCTATAGGAAATGTAGTTGTTTATTCTTCTGGGGAGACTCAGGAAAGTTAGAATCATGGCAGAAGACAAAGAGGAGCAGGGCAATCACATGGCCAGAGCAGGAGCCACAGGAGGCGTGCAGCGGGGGGCGGGGCGGGTCTACACACCGTTAGACACCAGATCTTGTGAGAACTCATGCACTGTCATGAGAACAGCAGCAGGAGTTGTTGCTAAACCATTCATGAAAGACCTACCCCATGACCCAGTCATCTCCCAACAGGTCCTACTTTCAGGAATGAGGATTATAATATAACATGAGATTTGGGTCAAGATACGGATCCAAACCATATCAGATACACATTGTAAAATGATCATCGTAGTCAAGGTAATTTGTGTGTATATCATCTCACAGAGCTACAATTTTATTTTTTTAAATTTACTGCATATGTGTGTGTGTCTGATGAGAACATCTAAAATCTACCCTTTTAGCAAAAATCGTTTTTACAGTAAAGTATTAACTATAGGAACATTGCTGTACATTAGATTTCCAGAACTCATTCACCCTGCACAACTGAAACTCTGTACCCTTTGATCAACATCACCCAAATTCCCTCTCCTCCCAGGTCCTGACACCCTCTAGTCTACTCTCTTCTTTTAAGACCTTGGATATTTTAGATCCCACACGTAAATGAGATCATGAAGCATTTGTCTTTCTGCATCTGGCTTATTCCACTCAGCATCATGTCCTCTAGGCCCATCCATGTTATTGCAAATGTCAGAATTTCCTTCTTTTCAAAGCGTCATAAATTTAGTTTTATGTATACACATTTTATTTATACATTTATCAATGTATGACCCTTAAATTATTTTACAAATCTACACTATTATTAATAATCTTGCAATGAACATGTCTTTTGCATAATAATTTTATTTCCTTTTAATATATAACAAGAAGTGGAATCACTAGATCATAAGATAGTTTTATTTTCAATTTGTTAAGTAACCAATCCTACCACATCATATAAGGATTCCTTTTTCTCCACATTGTTGCCAACATTTTTAAAGTTTTGTCTTGCTGATAATAGCCATTTTAACTGCTTTGAAGTGATATATCATTGTGCTTTTTATTTGAATTCCCCTGATAATTAGGAATATTGATAAACTTTTCATTTTCCGTTTGCCATGTGTGTGTCTTCTGAAAAAAAAATCTATCCAGAATTTTGCCTTTTTTAATCGGGTCACTTGTTATTTGTTATTGAGTTGTATGGCTTATTTATATATTTTATTTGAACTTCTTGTCAGATATATAATTACACATAGTTTTTCCTGTGTTTTGGTATTAAATTCAAATAAATCAGTTCTGAATCAATGACAGGAAGTTTTTTCTTTTTCCATGTTGTCTATGAGTTTATGGTTTCAGGTATTATGTTCATTTTTAGTTGATTTTTATATCATGTTAGAGGAGGCCTAATTTTATTTCTTTTTATATGGATGCCCAGTTTTTACACCATTATTGAAAAGACTGTCCTTTCTCTACTGTGTGTTCTTGGCACACTCCATCAGGAAGAGACATAATGAAAAAAGTATATAAGATGAATATTCCTGATGAACATAGATCTAAAAGTCCTCAACAAAATACTAGCAAATAGAATCCAGAAGCACTTTAAAATGTAATACATCATGATCAAATGGGATTTACCCTGGGATGCAAGGTTCATTCAACATCCACAAATCAGTAACTGTGATTCGCCATGTGAGCAGAATAAAAGCAAAAAACATAGGATTATCTCAATAGATCCTGCAAAAGCATTTGATAGGATCCAACATCCACTCGTCATAAAAACCTTCAACAGACTAGGCATCAAAACATACCTCAAAATAATAAGAGCCATCTGTGACAAACTCAGTAAACATCATGCTAAATGAGCAAAAGCTCAAACACCTTGAGAACTGGAACAAGAGAAGGATACTGTCTCTCACTACTCCTATTCAATATAACACTATAAATCCTAGTTAGAACAATCAGGCAGGAGCAAAAATGAAAGGCAGCTGATGTGGTTTTGATTTGTGTCCCCACCCAAATCTCATGTCAAACTGTAATCCCCAGTGTTGGAGGTGGGGCCTGGTGAAAGGTGATTCGATCATGGGGTTGTGTTTTCCTCTCTCACGCTGTTCTGGTGACAGAGCTCTCAGGAGATCTGGTTTCTAAGTGTGTGGCACCTCCCCCTTGTCTCTTCCTCCTGCTCCTGCCATGTAAGACATGATGCTTCCCTTTCTGTCATGATTGTCAGGATCCTGATGCCTCCCCAGCCATGCTTCCTGTACAACTCGCAGAACCATGAGCAATTAAAACTCTTTTCTTTATAAATTACCTAGTCTCAGGTGTTTATAGTCTGAGAATGGACTAACACAGCATCCAAACAGGAAAATAAGTCAATCCATCTGTCTTCACTGATGATACAATTCTATGCCTAGAAAATCCCCCAAAGTAATTCTAGAATAGATAAATAACTTTAGTAAAGTGTAAGGATGCAAAATCAATGTACAAAAATCACCAGCATTTCTATATCCCAACCACATCCATGCTGAGAATAAAATCAAGAACACAGTCCTATCCCATGTACAATATCTTCAAAGAAAATGACATGCTTAGGAATGCAGGTAACAAACAAGATGAAAGATCTCTGCAAGGAGAACAACAAAACACTGCAGAAATAAATCATAAATGACACAAATAAATGGAAAAAAACATTTCATGCTCCTGGATTGGAGGAATCAATATTGCCAAAATGGTCATACTGCCCAAAGTAATTTGCAGATTCGATGTTATTTCCATCAAATTATTACCATCATTCTTCACAGAATTAAAAAACCCATACATATTCTAAAATATATATGGAACCAAGAAAGACCCTGAATAGCCAAAGCAATCCTAAACAAAAAGATCAATGCCAGAGGCATCATGCTACCAGATTTAACATTACAAAGTAAGAAAAACAGCTTGGTACTGGTGCAAGAGCAGACACACAGAAAAAAAAAAAGAACAAAACAGAAAACAGAAATAGAGCTACACACCTAAACCATTTGATATTTGATAAGGTTGACAAGAATCAAGCCATAGATTAAAAAAAAAAACTCCGTATTCAGTAAATAGTGCTGGGAGACCTGGATTCGGGCAGATATGCAGAATGCAACAGTGAAGGAGGCTGGGCAGTTTCTACCTTGATTTCAGATGTGCAGAGAGCCCTATGTGCCCAGGAAAAAGCTTGCTGCAGGAGTGGAGCCACCACAGAGAGCCTCTACTAGGGCAGTGCCAAAGATGTGGAAAGATGGGGTTGGAGCCCCCATTCAAAGTCCACACTGGGGCACTACATAGTGGAACTGTGGGAATGTGGCCACAGATCTCAAGACTGCAGAATGGTAGATCCATGGGCAACTTGCACCCTCAGCCTAGAAAAGCTTACAGCACTTGACTCTGACTCATGAATGGAGCCCCAAGGACTGCGCCCAGCAAAACTACAGTGATGGGCTGCCGGAGGTTTTGGGGAGCCAACACTTGTCCCACTGTGCCCTGGTTGAATTACATAAATTTGAGAGAGGTTATTCTGTAACTTTAAGATTTAATATCTGCTCTACTGGGTTATATGTGTGTGTGGGGGGGGGGAGCGCTGTTGGCCATTCCTTTGGCCAATTTATCTATTTTGGATTGGAATAATTTACCCAATGCCTGTACCATAATTGTACCTTGGAATACACAACATTTGCAATGTTTTTTTTTTTTAATTTTGCAAGCTCACAGATGGAGGGAAATTGCCTTAAGACTCAGATGAGACTTTAGACATTTGAGTTGGAGGCTGACCAAGTTAAGACTTTTTGTTATTTTAGTATTATTATACTTTAAGTTTTAGGGTACATGTGCACAATGTGCAGGTTTGTTACATATTTATACATGTGCCATGTTGGTGTGCTGCACCCATTAACTCATCATTTAGCATTAGGTATATCTCTTAATGCTATCCCTCCCCCATCCCCCCACCCCACAACAGTCCCTGGTGTGTGATGTTCCCATTCCTGTGTCCATGTGTTCTCATTGTTCAATTCCCACCTATGAGTGAGAACACGCGGTGTTTGGTTTGTTGTCCTTGCGATAGTTTGCTGAGAATGATGGTTTCCAGCTTCATCCATGTCCCTAGAAATGACATGAACTCATCATTTTTTATGGCTGCATAGTATTCCATGGTGTATATGTGCCACATTTTCTCAATCCAGTCTATCATTGTTTGACATTTGGGTTGGTTCCAAGTCTTTGCTATTGTGAATAGTGCCACAATAAACATACGTGTGCATGTGTCTTTATAGCAGCATGATTTATAATCCTTTGGGTATATACCCAGTAATGGGATGGCTGGGTCAAATGGTATTTCTAGTTCTAGATCCCTGAGGAATCGCCACACTCCCTTCCACAATGGTTGAACTAGTTTACAGTCCCACCAACAGTGTAAAAGTGTTCCTATTTCTCCACATCCTCTCCAGCACCTGTTGCTTCCTGACTTTTTAATGATCGCCATTCTAACTGGTGTGAGATGGTATCTCATTGTCGTTTTGATTTGCATTTCTCTGATGGCCAGTGATGATGAGCATTTTTTCATGCGTCTTTTGGCTGCATAAATGTCTTCTTTTGAGAAGTGTCTGTTCATGTCCTTTGCCCACTTTTTGATGGGGTTATTTGTTTTTTTCTTGTAAATTTGTTTGAGTTCATTGTAGATTCTGGATATTAGCCATTTGTCAGATGAGTAGGTTGCAAAAATTTTGTCCCATTCTGTAGGTTGCCTGTTCACTCTGATGGTAATTTCTTTCACTCTGCAGAAGCTCTTTAGTTTAATTAGATCCCATTTGTCAATTTTCGCTTTTGTTGCCATTGCTTTTGGTGTTTTAGACATGAAGTCCTTGCCCATGCCTATGTCCTGAATGGTATTGCCTAGGTTTTCTTCTAGGGTTTTTATGGTTTTAGGTCTAACATTTAAGTCTTTAATCCATCTTGAATTAATTTTTGTATAAGGTGTAAGGAAGGGATCCAGTTTCACCTTTCTACATATGGCTAGCCAGTTTTCCCAGCACCATTTATTAAATAGGGAATCCTTTCCCCATTGCTTGTTTTTGTCAGGTTTGTCAAAGATCAGATAGTTATAGATATGCGGCATTATTTCTGAGGGTTCTGTTCTGTTCCATTGGTCTATATCTCTGTTTTGGTACCAGTACCATGCTGTTTTGGTTACTGTAGCCTTGTAGTATAGTTTGAAGTCAGGTAGCATGATGCCTCCAGCTTTGTTCTTTTGGCTTAGGATTGACTTGGCAATGCAGGCTCTTTTTTGGTTCCATACGAACTTTAAAGTAGTTTTTTCCAATTCTGTGAAGAAAGCCATTGGTAGCTTGATGGGGATGGCATTGAATCTGTAAATTACCTTGGGCAGTATGGCCATTTTCACGATATTGATTCTTCCTACCCACGAGCATGCAATGTTCTTCCATTTGTTTGTATCCTCTTTAATTTCATTGAGCAGTCGTTTGTAGTTCTCCTTGAAGAGATCCTTCACATCCCTTGTAAATTGGATTCCTAGGTATTTTATTCTCTTTGAAGCAATTGTGAATGGGAGTTCACTCATGATTTGGCTCTCTGTTTGTCTGTTATTGGTGTATAAGAACGCTTGTGATTTTTGCATATTGATTTTGTATCCCGAGACTTTGCTGAAGTTGCTTATCAGCTTAAGGAGATTTTGGGCTGAGATAATGGGGTTTTCTAGATATACAATCATGTCATCTCCAAACAGGAACAATTTGACTTCCTCTTTTCCTAATTAAATATCCTTTATTTCCTTCTCCTGCCTGATTGCCCTGGCCAGAACTTCCAACACTATGTTGAATAGGAGTGGTGAGAGAGGGCATCCCTGTCTTGTGCCAGTTTTCAAAGGGAATACTTCCAGTTTTTGTCCATTCAGTATGATATTGGCTGTGGCTTTGTCATAGACAGCTCTTATTATGTTGAGATACATCCCATCAATACCTAATTTATTGAGAGTTTTTAGCATGAAGTGTTGTTGAATTTTGTCAAAGGCGTTTTCTGCATGTATTGAGATAATCATGTGGTTTTTGTCTTTGGTTCTGTTTATATGCTGGATTACATTTATTGATTTTCGTATGTTGAACCAGCCTTGCATCCCAGGGATGAAGCCCACTTGATCGTGGTGGATAAGCTTTTTGATGTGCTGCTGGATTCGGTTTGCCAGTATTTTATTGAGGATTTTTGCATCGATGTTCATCAAGGATATTGGTCTAAAATTCTCTTTTTTTGTTTTGTCTCTGCCAGGCTTTGGTATCAGGATGATGCTGGCCTCATAAAATGAGTTAGGGAGGATTCCCTCTTTTTCTATTGATTGGAATAGTTTCAGAAGGAATGGTACCAACTCCTCCTTGTACCTCTGGTAGAATTCAGCTGTGAATCCGTCTGGTCCTGGACTTTTTTGGTTTGGTAAGCTATTAATTATTGCCCCAATTTCAGAGCCTGTTATTGGTCTATTCAGAGATTCAGCTTCTTCCTGGTTTAGTCTTGGGAGAGTATATGTGTCCAGGAATTTATCCATATCTTCTAGATTTTCTAGTTTATTTGCGTAGAGGTGTTTATAGTATTCTCTGATGGTAGTTTGTATTTCTCTGGGATCGGTGGTGATACCCCCTTTATCATTTTTTATTGCATCTATTTGATTCTTCTCTCTTTTCTTCTTTATTAGTCTTGCTAGTGGTCTATCAATTTTGTTGGTCTTTTCAAAAAACCAGCTCCTGGATTCACTGATTTTTTGAAGGGTTTTTTGTGTCTCTATTTCCTTCAGTTCTGCTCTGATCTTAGTTATTTCTTGCCTTCTGCTAGCTTTTGAATGTTTGCTCTTGCTTCCCTACTGAAAAAAGATGATCATATTTTGCAATGCAAGGACATGAGAATTTTGGGCTCGAGAGTGCAATGATATAGTTTAGATGTTTTCCCTTCCAAATGTCATGGTGAAATGTGATTCTCAATGTTGGAGGTGGGACCGACTGGGAGGTTTTGGGTCATGGGGAAAGATCCTTCAGGAATGGCTTGGGAACCACCCCATGGCACTTAGTGAATTCTTGCTGTGTTAGCTACTATGAGATCTGATTGTTAAAAAGAGTCTGGCAACCCTTCTTGCCACTCATGTCCCAGCTCTCACCATGTGACATAGCCTGTTCCCCCTTTGCCTTCCATCATGATTGTAAAGCAGATCCTGGTGCCATGCTTCTCACACAGCCTTCAGAACTGTAAGCCAAATGTGCCTCTTTTCTTTGTAAATCACTTGGCCTCAGGTATTAATTTATAGGAATGCAAAAGAGACTAACACACCGTCCAAAGCATTACACAGATTCAACTCTATTTTTATCAAATGACCAATATAATTGATTACATATTTAGAAAAAAATACTAAAATTCCTACAGAATCAAAAAAGAGTCTGAATAGCAAAAGCAATCCTAAGCAAAAAGACCGAAGCTGGAAGCACCACATTCTCTGACCTCAAATTATACTACATGAATATAATAAGAAAGACAGCATGCTACTAGTAGAAAAAAATAGCCCAGAAAGAAAGCCAAATATCTAAAACCAACTGTTGTTTGACAAAACTGACAAAAATATACACTGGAGAAACAACCCTCTATTCAATAAGTGGTGCCGGGAAAATTAGGTGGCTTATGTGGAAGAATAGAACGAGACTTCCATATCACCGTAGACACAAATTAACTGAATATGGATTCAGTGTTTAAATTTATAAACTAAAACTATAAAAATACTTGAATAAAATCTAAAAAGAGTCCTCTGGACATTGGTCTAAGCAAACAATATACGACTAAGACTTCAAAAGCAAATGCAATAAAAACAGAAGTAGACAAACAGGATTTAGTTGAACTAAAGGTCTTCTGCACAGCAAAAGAAATAACCAACATGGTGACCAGACAATCTGCAAATGGAAAAAATATCTGGAATCTATTCATCTTGCAAAGGGCTAATATATAGAATCTACAAGTAACTCAAATAAGTCAACTAAAAATTACAAATAACTTCATTAAAGAATAGACATAAACAGACATTTATCAAAAGAATACACAGAAGTGGCCAACACAAATAAGAAAATATACTCAGCATCACCAATCATCTGATAAATGTAAATTAGAAACAACATGATACGGCATCTTCCACCAGTCAGAATGGCTGTTATTACAAATAAAAACAGCAGGTTTTGCAGACAAACATAGGAAAAATAATGATTTATATATGCTTGGTGAGAATGTAAATTAGTACAACCTCCATGAAAAACAACATAGAAATTTCTCAAAGAACTAAAATTAGAATTACCATTTCTTCCAGTAAGCTGTCCCAGTAGGCATGTTCCTCCCAAACTTTTATATCAGAGAATGTTGCCTGCACTCATATGTTTATTTCAACACCATTTTCAATAGAAAAGTCAAATAATCTAAGTGTCAATCAGTGGATGATTAGATAAAATATGATATATGTAAATCATGGAATACTATGCAGCCAGTATGGTATGAATTCAGTGTGACCAGCCCCTGGACAAGGGCTTGAGTGGATGGGATGGATCATCACCTACACTGGGAACCCAACATATACCAACGGCTTCACAGGACGGTTTCTATTCTCCATGGACACCTCTGTCAGCATGGCGTATCTGCAGATCAGCAGCCTAAAGGCTGAGGACACGGCCGTGTATGACTGTATGAGAGACACAGTGTGGAAACCCACATCCCGAGGGAGTCAGAAACCCCGAGGGAGGAGGCAGCTGTGCTGAGCTGAGGCAGTGGTGCAGCAGTTTCTTTAACTTCCATATGATCTCATTTTGCATCATCTTCTACTTTTATATTAGCTAAGAACTTGGGGTAGACAGGTGCTCCTAAGAGATCCTTAACTTGCCCATTTTGATGGGTTTTCCAGAAGACGTGAGAAGCCACTTTGTTAGCAAAGCATCCCAAATCCATGCCCTGTTCTAGATACATGTGAGCCCATTTCCTGGTCTTTGCTTAACTGACAAGCTCTCATCAGTGCACCTGGGCTAATTTCACATCAGGTAGAGGAACGCGTTATAAAGGAAAGCTAATGTTGTAATAGCAATTCCTGCTTAAAAACCTTCAGCTTCATTGTTTTTGTGTAATCCATCAGCAAATTATGTTAGTTCAAGGTTCTCAATGGGAGTTTCTAATAAATAGAAAGGATGTATAGAGCTTCCCCTAATTAAAATGAAACAATTGTGAACACAACCTCGGTATTCAGCCATGTCTCCACCCTTCACACCCTTCGCCACAAAGGAATTTTCACCTCTCCTGGAAGCTGGGTTCATTTTCAAATTAGTTATTTTTTTCAATGTAATATCTCAAGATTATCGTATATGACTATTTTAGCAGAAAGTGAATTATGGGAACTTGAACTAAACAACTGAAAACAAATTCACAACTAATTAAACAAGATGCCAGAATGTGATTGGCTCCAGGCTTTGTAATTCAGCAGTTCATGTACCCAGACTGGAAATTTACATGTCTTCTTGTTACCTTCACAGCACAGTCAACTCCCATTATGTAAGAAATGGTGACTGCATTCCCAAGGGTTATGCATAGATATGAAAATAGACTGGGTAAGGTGAGGAGTTGATTGTTTAAATTCCCCTCTGAAGAAGCAGCATCAACTCAACAAACCACCTCTCTTCACTCTGTGACTAGAGCTATGTCACAGGCCACATGGACCTAAATCCTTGATGGATATAACATGACTACATAAATTGGGCTGATCATTTTTATGCTATAAAATTAATAGATGACACTGCACTCCAGCCTGCACAACCAAGCAAGTCTTCATCTGTAAAATCTAAAAAAGAAAAATTAGTAGGTACTGACTTCGAAATTTTTGATAATAATATTTTCACCACCCAAATTTAATCACACCCACATGTTACCTGCATCTTCACTGAAAAGTTCCCAGTCACGATGAGTTCCTTCAATGCTCCATGTGTTCAAATCTGGACATCAAGAGAGTCCAGAGAATAAAACACAATGACGGCAGTGAAACTGATATATATTCAGCACCTCTTAACTCAGGAGGACTCCATACACCCTGGCACACAGCTGCTTTTCTAAATGGCTCACAATGACTCCAGCTCACTCACAGAGCTCAGACAGAAACCTCCCTTCAGGGTGGGAGCTGGGTGGCAGGGGGCACTCAGTACCCGCAGAGGTGAAAATGAGCTTTCAGATGGAACTTCCCTGTCACCTCAACATGGAATTTATTGTTTCATTTCATTACCTCTCTTTCCATAATGGTTCATTTCTTTTGGCCTGTTCATTACTGATATTTTTCAGAGCAATCTCACTTGAATCTTTACTCTTTTGCATTTTGTCTCCTTGACAATGTTGGGAAGTTTTACCTCCAGCATCATAACATGATCTAGTGATCTGACACATTGTGCAAACAATACCTACAAATTCAGAACCTCTTTGTTTTTCTTTCCACAAAATATAATTCTTTCTGTTCTGTGTATGAGCATGTCTTAGCAACCCTGTACACACCCACATAGATGTCTACAAGCCTATGAATTGTTCTCTGTAAATAAAAATTTATCTCAAATTCCTTCAATGTTCATAATTCTGAGAGTGAGGAAGGTCCTTCTCAATCTGTTCAAACAAAATGCCCAGAGACCATCCAGTAGGTAAGGAGTTCACCTGGCTCTGGTGTGGGGTCTGTCTCTTTCCCTCTGTTGTCCCACAGGTCAGCCCAGTTGTTCACGTCCTAACAAGAAAGCCCAGGTTTGTCCTGATTTTAAAACACATCAAACTTCTGATGACTCTCCTGTTACCCACATCCATGGAGATAGATTATTTATTATATAATTCAGCAAACTAATGTCAAATGCCCAAGTTGCAATACCGCACATCCTAGGGTATGTTCATGCAATTCAATGGAGGAGAAAATCTTTCAGAGACAGATGGATCTGAAATGATAAATATGTGGGTAAGGACTCTGGGCTTGAGTATCATTGTCCAGCCATGTTTCACAAGTGTGTCCTGTCAGGGAAGGATCAGAGTTCCTTGTGCTGTCAGAGGGAAGGGGTCACAGAGTTCCTCTCTGGTTCCCAGGAAAGGTAATCGCACTAATCTTCATGATCTTCATGAGACTATCCTCCAGTGCTGACCTGTTACGGAGTTTTTGTCTGAAGTTCTCACTGCAATCCCCAATCTACATATTTTCAATCAGAAGTGTTTAGAGGCCAGGACACATCTTCAAGGTCACACATTGAGAAGGATGGAGATATGTCCCACTACCTTCTCCTACGATCTCAGACAGAATCCCAAATTTCAAAAGGACACAGAAGGACAGCTCTCAGGTGCTTTTAAAAAATGACCCACTTCCAGGGACAGTGAGCTTCCCTGTAACCATGGTGGATGTTCTGAACTACAATAAACATTGGATGGATCCAGTATTGTTTGAAGTCACTGTCATTATTACATTCAGCTGTTGTTTCAATGTGTCTGAAAGGGTAAATGACTATTTAGATGGCCTGGGTGTGTGGTTGGTTTTATATGAATCTTTAAGGGTTGAACAGTACTGACCCTATTCCAAAATCTGTCCTTGATCCAGGATCACACTCATCTCTCAGACCAGCTCCTTCAGCACATCTCTTTACCTGGAAGAAGAGGACTCTGGGCTTGGAGAGGGGAGGCCCCAAGAAGAGAACTGAGTTCTCAAAGGGCACAGCCAGCATTCTCCTCCCAGGGTGAGCTCAAAAGACTGGCGCCTCTCTCATCCCTTTTCACTGCTCCGTACAAACGCACCACCCCCATGCAAATCCTCACTTAGGCGCCCACAGGAAGCCACCACACATTTCCTTAAATTCAGGTCCAACTCATAAGGGAAATGCTTTCTGAGAGTCATGGATCTCATGTGCAAGAAAATGAAGCACCTGTGGTTCTTCCTCCTGCTGGTGGCGGCTCCCAGATGTGAGTGTTTCTAGGATGCAGACATGGAGATATGGGAGGCTGCCTCTGATCCCAGGGCTCACTGTGGGTTTTTCTGTTCACAGGGGTCCTGTCCCAGCTGCAGCTGCAGGAGTCGGGCCCAGGACTGGTGAAGCCTTCGGAGACCCTGTCCCTCACCTGCACTGTCTCTGGTGGCTCCATCAGCAGTAGTAGTTACTACTGGGGCTGGATCCGCCAGCCCCCAGGGAAGGGGCTGGAGTGGATTGGGAGTATCTATTATAGTGGGAGCACCTACTACAACCCGTCCCTCAAGAGTCGAGTCACCATATCCGTAGACACGTCCAAGAACCAGTTCTCCCTGAAGCTGAGCTCTGTGACCGCCGCAGACACGGCTGTGTATTACTGTGCGAGACACACAGTGAGGGGAGGTGAGTGTGAGCCCAGACAAAAACCTCCCTGCAGGGAGGCTGAGGGGGCGGGCGCAGGTGCAGCTCAGGGCCAGCAGGGGGCGTGCGGAGCTCACGGAATACAAGGCCGGGTCAGGAGCAGGTGCAGGGTGAGCGGGGCTTGCTCATCTTCTCAGAGATCATCATCTCCCTCCTCGCCAGCACCTCAGCTTTCCGTAGAGGTCCTCTTTCTTTATTGTGTGTGGTTCTACTTCCTCACATCCTTGTGCCAGGAAAGAAAGGAGTAAGGCAAATTTTCCTGTTACAATTGAAGTTTCACCAATTACTAAGAACTTTCCTGCAAGTACCTGCACAGCCCATTATACCTTATTTATATATGTATATATTCTAATGCTTCTCACCATCTCTTGATTTGTGTCATCAATTTAATTGTGCCCTTTTTGAAATTCATATGCTGAAACTTTAAATCCAATGGATCTATATCGGAATTTTAATGGTATAATTAATGTTAAATGTGGTCATAAATGAGACCCTAATGCAATAGAGCTGTTGTCTTTATAAGAAGAGGAAGAGACACCAGATACCTCTCACTTCTCACATGCACTCAGAGAAGAGGCCACGTGGAGACATAGTGCACTAGAAGGTGGGCCTCTGCAAGCCAGGAAGAAGCCGCACCAAGAACCAACCCTGCCAGCACCTTGATCTTCTACATTCAGACTGCAGAATTGTAAGAAAATCAATATTTGTTGTTTAAGCCACCCACTCCTTTTGTCTTCTTACGAAGACCCAGACAGGCTAATACCACACAACTCTGTTAGCTCCATCTCCTGGAGGGAGAAGCAGCCCCCTGAAGCTGGGCACATCGCTCAGATTTTCACATGAATTAGGCAAAAACAGTAGCTCTCATATAAAAACTGTCACGTCCCTGTTGGGACAAGGTCTTTTAAACAAGCCCTGGGGCTTTGTCACAAATGTTGCATTTTATCCTTTATTAGGACTTAATTAATTGACAATGAGTACCAGCTGGATGGAAACTGACCACTGACCATCTTCTGCTGTCTCCTTATTATATCACAGAAAACCACAGCAACATTACTCTATGTCTTCAACTTTCTAAATTTGTACTGAATCTATTGCTAAATGAGGAGCTACATGGGGTCTGAGTTTTGTTACCTTCTTCCCAGTCTTCCCCAATTACCAAGCATAGAAGATACTTTCAGTGAAATTTAGCTGTCAATGCCCCCAACACCACATCATGTTTTAAGGTCCAAGGACTTTCTTTGGGGGGCTATTGAAAAACACTTTTGAATGGAAAATCCTAAAGCATACAACAGCTGAAAGAATGGCCCCTGTGCACATGAAGGCTGAAGGGGTGGATGATAGGGTACGTTCCTCCAAGGTGTTCCTGGGCATGTGATGGTTGGATACCTCATGCATACGAAAACAAGGACTGAACTGAGATAGAAACAAGGGCCATATCCTATAGGAAAACAAGAAAAAAAGGGGCATCCCTGAAGAGAGTTAATTAGACTTGGTGGGTTTAAGATGAAATTTTTTCCAAAGTTTTTTAATGTTCTAAGCTAAATATGAATATTTTCAATAAACTGCAAATTAAAAGGAGAATGAATTTAGAAGTTTAGACAGAAAAAAGCCATGAGGGTGTAGAAAGCAAATCCACAAAAAACTGTCACATGGCAGAGGCCAGAATGGAGCTGATGCAGCTACATCATTATTCTGCAGACCTAGTTGAGACCCTTTGGTGTTTAAGGCAGGTCCAGCAGTGAAGAACTCCTTTAGTTTTTGTCTGGGAAAGTTCTAATCTAATCTTCATTTCTGAAAAGGATTTACATGGTAAAGATTCGTCTTGGCAGGGTTTTATTTATTTTTAGTCCCCCCCAACCCACGTCAATTTGAGTAAAGTCATGTGTTACGTAACAATGCTGCAGTCAACAGTAGACCACATATATGTTTGTGGCCACATAATGTTGTAATACCATATTTTCACTAAACTTTTTCCATGTTTTGATGTGTTTAGATAGAGAGATACTTACCATGGTGTTTCCATTTCCTGCAGTGTTCAGTGCAGTAACACGCTGTACAGGTTAGTTGTCTGGGAACCCTGCGCTAATCCACATACCCTGTGTGTAGTAGGGTATTCCTTGTAGGTTTGTGAAAATTCACCCTTGATGCTTGCACAATGATGAAATTGCCCAGGGACACATTTCTCAAAAAGAACCTCTGTCAATAAACCACACACCATTGAATACAATCCCTGTGCCTTCTGAACTGAAAACCTTCTGCTGAGAAATCTGTTCCTTTTCTTTCTGTTTTCTAAAGCCTCTTTTATTTCCAGCAATGTGGTTTTAAACTGTGTCACATTTTTTGTCATTGGGTTTATCTTACGTAAAATTTATAGAGCTTCTTCATTGTGGATGAATATTTGCTTCCCTTCTCCAAATTTGGAAATATTTTTTGCTATTATTTTGAATAATTTATCTCTTCTCTCTCTCTCTCTCTCTCTCTCTCTCTCTCTCTCTCTCTCTCCCTCTCTCTCTCTCTCTCTCTCTCTCTCTCTCTCTCTCTCTCTCCCCCTCTCTCCCTTCACTACCCCTTTTGTCTTGTCTTTGTATAACTCCTCAAATGCGTAGTTGAGTGTTTAGTGTCTTTCCTGGCCCATAAGTCTTGAACTCTTTTTTATTTCTTTCACTTAAATTTTTCTTCTCTGTCTCTACTATTTCAAATGATCTTTCTTTGAGTTTACTGTTTCTTCTATTACTTGATCTAGTTTGGTCTAAAATCTTGTTAAAATTTTTGGCTGTATTCTTCAGGATCAATATTTTTGTTTAGTCATCTTTTAAATGTTTTATCTTTATTAAAATTCTCACATTGTTCTTGCATGCTGCCACTAGCTCATTGAACATGTTTCTAACATTTACTTTAAAGTTTCTGTCAGGTAATCCATGTTCTTCCTTTTCATTGATGTCAGTTTATGGACCTTTTGGTTGTTCTTCTGTTTGGACCATGTTCCCCTGCTTCTTCATTTTCCTTGACTGTCTTTGTTGTTATCTGTTCTTTATAACAAAAGCCATCATATACTTCTTCAAAGACTAGGCTCATAGAGATCACCCTCACCAATCAGCCCAGACAGTAATTGTGGGTCTCTCAAAACTTGATAGGATTCAAACTTCTGTCTGTTCTTAGTGGCCCCTAGGTTTTAGAGGATGATAGATTGTGCCAGGACTCACAGGTAAGGGAGGTAGAAACTATGTACTCATGACCATGGGGTCTGTGCTGATCTGAGCTTCTCTTGTCATCACTCTCAATATTCAACTTCCCCGTGGATCAGGCTCAGCTGTGGCTGCTCCACGTGGGGCTGTTCTCAGTCTGTTGCCTCTGTGTGTGCAGAAGTCCTCTGTGAAGTTAACTAGTGGAGTCAGACAGGAAAATACTACAGACCAAGAATTCTCAGACTGTTCTGCAAAGCCCCTGGATTCACTGAAAAAAGAACAAGTTTGGTCCAGCAGGATTCATGGCAAGTGTTGGTGAGGGAGATAACAGTAATTCAAGTGGAAGTTCTCAATGGGACTCGCCTTCAGTACAAAGAAGATTAACAGTCCTCAGAGACACTGTTCAGAAGATTCTCTTTTAAGATAATAAAACTGAGAGCCCAAGACAAGTCTGTGTATTACTGTGAGGGACACAGTGTGGGGACATCTATGTGAGCACAGACACAAAAGTCCCTGCAGGGAGACAGGAGGGGACTGCATGTTAGTTGCTGCTCAGAACCACCAGGGGGCATTCAGGACACCAGTAGGCACTCAGAACCACCAAGGAGAGCTCAGAATCACCAGGGGGCACTCAGGAAACTGGCAGGTGCTCAGAACCACCAAGGGGCGCTCAAGATCCCAGCGGGAGCTCATAACCACCAGGGGGCGCTCAGGACACTAGGGGGCTCAGAACCACTAGGGGGCGCCCAGGACCACCAGGTCTCTCAAGACAGGAGGGCGCACTCAGGACACTAGGGGGCGCTCAGAACCATCAGGGGGCAATCAGGACACCAGAGGGACTTCAGAACCACCAGGGGGCGCTGAGAACCACCAGGGGGTGCTCAGGACATGACCGGCCCTCAGGACCACCAGGGGATGTTCAGAACACCAGGAAGCACTCAGGACACCAGAGAGCGATCAGAACACCAGGGGGCACTCAGATCCTCCAGGGGGCACTCAGGACAACAGGGAGCTCTCAGGACACCAGGGTGAGCTCAGTAAACCAGTGTTCGCTCAGAACCACCAGGGAGCACTGAGGACACCACCGCTCCCTTAGGAGGCAGCTCCACATCAGGTCCCTGGATCCGGGCAGGGAGGGCGGTTCCTTTTGGATCTTGCCACTAACCTTTTGGGAGTTTTCCTGCTTCCTTTGTGGTTTCAAGAATCATTTGCAGATTCTTCTCATGTACAAAGCTCTGCTTTCTTGGATTATGTAATGTTTTTGGCTTTGGATGCTACCAGAATTACGTTGTACTGTGAGAGGATTCATTCGTGGTGTGTGCAATAGTGAATGAAAGCTCCAATGTTAGGGGTGGCTTTGAAAGCTACGTTAGGGGTGGCTGAGGGCAGTTAGCAGAAAATGATCATCACTATAGAAGGCTACTCATTTCTTTGCACATTTGCATAAACAATTGTAGTTTATGCCCTAAAAACTGCATGTTTTCTTGGCCCTTTTTCTTAAATGGCTCCACTCTAAGTCCAGTAATCTAATTAAGCTGTGTTTCAAAGACCACCAATCAAGTTAATTCTGTTTAATGCAACACTTTGTAAAGAAAATGTACATCTGTTTTTTAGAGTCAGCTTTAAATTTTACATTACTTTACAAATATTGATTTGTCAAATTTAGTCTCATAACTATCTTCAGTAATTTAAAATCTTAGTCATGTCATGTTAAATTAAGTAATCCTAGGTTTCTCACTTGAATTAGGGTTACTAAGAATTAGAATAGTAAAAGAGTATAATTAGCTTTTGGTGAGGTTTATAAAGAAAGATGAGGATTTTTTTTTTTTTTTGCTTAAAAATATTCTGTTTTCCAGTTTACAGGGCTTTTCAACTGGTTTTAAGATAACCACTGTTTACATCTAAACTTTTTTTTGTAAATGACTGCTGAGTTTCTATACATATTCCATAGCTAGAGTTTCAAAGTAAAAGCTCTAGTATCTTTGTATTAGTGTGTGTATGCGTAGATGTGTTAATATGTGCATGTATATATATGTGTGTGTGTGTGTGTGTGTGTGTGTGTGTGTGTTGTGGCTACTAGGTACAAAATTGGCTTTGAAATAAATATTTTCAAATTAAGTAAATGAGCCCAATGCATTTGAAGTACATGTGACTTAAATAAATATTTAATAAATAAGTTGGCTTTAAAATTATTGGTAAAAACAAATTAGAGATATTTTAACAATTATCAGCATACCTTATAGTTTATATTAATTCATCAAGTGATTTTATATTTAAAATCACAGCTAGATATTATATGGTGTCAAAATTTTTTATGATGATTATAAAATTATTAACCTCGTTGGCCATATGCGGTGGCTCACACCTGTAATCCCAGCTCTTTGGAAGGCTGAGGTGGGTGGATCACGAGGTGAGGAGATTGAGACCATCCTGGCTAACATGGTGAAACCCCATCTCTACTAAAAATACAAAAAGAAAAAAAAAATTAGCTGGGCATGCTGGCAGGCGCCTGTAATCCCAGCTACTCTGGAGGCTGAGGCAGGAGAATGCTTGAACCCCAGAGGTGGAGCTTGCAGTGAGCTGAGATCGCACCACTGTACTGCAGCCTGGATGACAGAGCGAGACTCCGTCTCAAAAAAAAAAATTATAAACCTCATTAAAACCAGAATGATCTTTGTAATTTTTTGACAAATATGATGTTTAATATTGTTGTTTTAATAAAAAACAGGTAAATAGTTATTAGAAAAACAATTATTTGCTTAATTATAAGGTTTTTACTCAGGCAAGCACCTGAAATTCATGGGTTATAACATGGTTAACAGAGAAAAAACTTTAAAGGATGAATTACAATTTTCATAAGTAATCTAGATAAGCTACTTAAATAAAATAGGGAAATGTAATCAAATAAACCTTTTAAATAAACTTGTTCTACAATTTAAAAATCTAAAGTTTAATTAAATAATAGATATTGACTAAATGTTTAGGTCATTACTAATTGTTTTAAAAAATATATAAGAAAATATTTTTCTTAAAAAATTATTCTTAGAAAAATAATGTAATTCAAAGTTATTTATATAACATCATAAAAAGTAAGAGAGTTTTAAAGAAATTTATTGACATAGAGAAGTACTTTTGGTAAGAAAGGTTAAAATAAAAAAATTTTATATGAGAAATAATCTTGCATGGTAATTTTTTATCCTAAAATAAAATGACTAAGAAAGAATGACGTTTAGAATAAAACAAGATGTTCAACTATGCCATAAATGGTTTGTGTAAGTGAAAATAAGATTTATAAAAAGTTAATTTATTAAAAAACCTTCATATTATCAAGTTGACTATAATTGAAAGGGAAGTATTTATAATAGTCTTTATAGAGATCTGGCTTTTATATAAAATATAGTAATACACTGAAGACTGGTTAGAATGACAAAATTGTCTTAAAGTGTTGATTTACTAAATAAAATTATAAGATATTTTAATTTTTTAACCCCCAAATTTAACTTTTATTGCATCTTGCCATTTTGATTTTTTCCCTTTGAGAAGACTTGAGAGGCTCTCCATTTTTTCATCACGTCCTTTAACATTTTTTTTCTTACAGCGATTAGCTTCTTACTGACTTAACTTCTAACTGTTGTTAGCTTTTAACTGCTATTATTGTCTGATGCTAAAAACATTTTATCTTTAAGTTCTAAATAAAATGTTTTCTTTCAATATAACATTCTACACTCTTGGCTTATCTTTAAATGTCTACATTTTTCTATGAAACCAAAGTCTTCACGTGTAATCTGAGTCACATTCTTGGTATGTCTAATTAATTCAAATGCTTTTTTCATTAGAGTTGACCTGCAGGTTATCTACATGCATTTTCCAATAGGGAAAAGCAATCACACTGTAAAAGGTTTTGCTTTGCTATTTGGTAACTGGCATAAAACAAATTTTATATTTTATTGAAATAATTCCTATGTTACTGTTATTAAGGTTTCCAACTTACTGAGATTTTAAGAAAATATAAATTAATGTTATTACATTCATGTAGCTATCTACATTACTTTTAAAGGCCTTGTGCTGCCACATTACTGACCTTTGACTCCTAGGTCTAAAAAGGACACACAGCATTTTGGGAGACTAAGGCAGGCAGATCACCTGAGGTCAGGAGTTTGAGACCAGCCTGGCCAACATGGCGAAACCCTGTCTTTATAAGAAATACAAAAATTACCCAGGCATGGTGGTGGATGCCTGTAATCCCAGCTACTTGGAAGCCTGAGGCAGGGAGAATTGCTTGAACCTGGGAGACAGAGATTGCAGTGAGCCAAGATTGTGCCACTGAACTCCAGCCTGGGTGATAGAGCAATATTCCATCTCAGAAAAAATATATAAATAAGAGAAAAAGGACACTAAGTCCTGCTAAATCTTAAACACTGACAGTAATTAAAGCCCCATCTACAGACCTGGAAGAAAATGACAATAAAAATTCATCATACTCTTAAGACATAAGGCCAGAAATTGAAACTACTCAACAACTCCAGGCCCAGGGACTATTACAGAAGTGGATTTGTAAGATTGTAAAAGCTAATTTTGAGATATAATATTACTTGAGAGTTTCTTTATAAGTTAAGCATTAATATTAAATGCACACTAATGGAAGTCTAGCATCTGGGCCCCTGTGACAGATTGACAAGGGTTTCTTGAAGAAGTAATCCACTCTTTAGCTTAAAAAATTATTAAAATTTATAAAAGACCTATGAAAATTATATTTTATGGTAAAAGTAGTTATAATTTAATAGACTTATTTCTCAGAATTGAGAGATAGTTTTAATTTTTCTCATGATGTTCTTATAAGGGGTTATTGTTTAGAAAATTAATTCTTTCAAAAATAAAAGTTTTTGCTTTTTTAAGAAATCACTGAGTTTTCACTTGGCTAAATAAATAACTTACTTTACAATAATCTGTAATTCCATTTTGTAATATCAAGTGTTCTAAATAAACCTTTGATATTTGACCTCCTTCACAAAATAAAAGTCTAAATTCAGTCATTTGACCTCATTATTCTTTTTTGATATTTGATCTCCTGAAGCCAAAAAGAAACATATTTAGCTTCTTTGGTACAATTAAATTATACTGGAAGCAATGTCAAATTTGAAATGGTGTTTAACTTTGGACTATATTTATATAAATGTGGACTATATAATTGGAGTATATTCATATAAATTAAAGAGTACATGTTCTAAAATGGTATGAGGTTCAATTGACTTTGATATGTCAGTATATTTTGTCAGTAGTACTTATGATTATTATATAAAATTTTTGTTCATCACAGAAATAACCAAACTTTCTCCTCAATTCTGTCTTTAACCGTGGCTATTCTAAAACTTCAGCCATCCACAATTGTTTTCCTTTGATTCTTTATCAGGTGGCTTATAATAATCTATAGAATTTTGAGGGGTACTCTTAAATACACAATTGTGACAATTTTATAAATTGTGCCATTTATATACAGAGAAAAACTTCCAAGACTCTCATGGAGACCTGATGCATTTATGATGGTTGTTAATATAATGTCAAACAGGACAGGACTTAATTGCATGAACTGAACTAACAGGAGCCTGAAATAAATTTTATGGCTTATTCTTTAAAGCATTTGCTAATTACTTACATTTTGTTTTTCAGAATCAAAAAAAAAATTCTCTTAAGCTATTCATTGTTTTTAACAATTGAGTATAGTATATTCTAGTGAGAAAATTCAAAAACACAATTTCTTCTTCTCTACATAATTTCTCCAAAATTTGGAAACTGTGAGTATTGTTATATCAAAATATTAATTCACATAGGTTCAATATAAATCTGCTTTCTTCCGTAACAGGGCACAATTGGAGACAATGATCATTTTACCAAGACTTTAACTTGAATGACATATTTTCATATTTACTTTATAAAATGAATTTAAGCTGGATAGCTGATAAAAGCCCCTTGGGAAAACTGGCATGTAACCTGTTTTGTTCAGGGCCCTGAGCTGTAGTAAGTCAATAATTTTACTTTCTGACAGACCCAGGAATCCCAAGTTGTCTTGGAAAATTGAAAAAAGAAGAAGTAACCCAATTCATATAGCTGTCTGAAGGCACAGATGAAACAATGTCTGGGCTTGATGCTTTTAAAGATTCTACCCTTAGATTTCTTATAAAAAATTTCCAGCAAGGTCAATTTATGAATTAAATAGCCTATGTACAAAAAATAGAAAAAAAGAGAGCTAATATGTTAAATTACTATTTTTGCCTCATCTTATACAAAAAAATTAAGCCTAAAACTTATATTACAAATAAATTTGCCCTACTATGATTGTGTCTCTAATAACTTTGGGGAATTATAGAGAGAAATACTGTTTCAAAATAAACAACAGTGCATCTGTTATTAGATTCTAACCTTGTCCACTTGTTTTTCAATTTATATTATTTTCTACAATTTATATTAGTTTCTACAATTTATATTAGTTTCTATAAAAATTTATATTTGCAGAAGCCTCCAAAATATTTTTCCTGATTTAAAATTACCAGAAGTTAAACTGTGCTTTCTTATAGCTAGACATCTTATACTCTAAAGAAAATAAAATCAATGACATGATTTGGCTCTGTGTCCCCACCCCAATCTCATCTTGGATTGTAATAATTCCCACATGTCAAGTGGAAAAAGGTGGGAATAATTGAATCATGGAGGCTGTTTTCTCCATGCTGTTCTCCTGTTATTCTCACAAGATCTGATGGTTGTATAAGGGGCCTCCCTCTTCCCTTGGCACTTCTCTCTTGCAGCCATGTGAAGAAGCACGTGTTTGCTACCCCTTCCATCATGATTGTAAATTTCTTGTGGCTTTCTCAGCCACGCAGAACTGTAAGACAATTAAACCTTTTTTCTTTATAATTTACCCAGCCTCAGGTATGTCCTTATAGCAGCATGAAAACGGACAAATGTAAGCAACTTAATTATATACAAAAACTCTTTTATACCTGCCTACTGTGAAAGGAAAATAAGTCTTGAGACCGCAAAATCACCAAGCTAAATGGAAGAGTCAAACTGGTGTTACAGGAGATAGAAAGAAATTATTTTGGTAGATAGTTAGGATGACAGAATTTCTGGCAAAAACATTTCTTCTAACAAAAATCAGCTTGGCAATTACTTATTTTCTATTCACACAGAGTTCAAAGAAATCACTTCTAACAAAAAGCAGCCTGAAAGATCAGGCTGTAAAACATATAAGCAACTCTGCCACAGAGAGGGTGTTTCTGGGTGTAATCACCAAACTTCACATACATACACTGGGCCCTAGTAAAAACAGTGGGCCTTAATGAGCACATTCCTTTCCTTTTCTGGGGGCACTATAACATCAGAAAGCTGGAAACTTGCACAAGTTTAGGATGCCTGCACTTGCAAGGAGGTACCTGGGACCTAGCATGGAAAATCCTCTTCCCCTTTTTAGCACTCTGGGAGTGGAGCCCCAGCCTTGGGATTCCCAGGTGTTTCCCTTCAGTGATCAGGACTGAACACACACAACTCATCATGCAGTTTGTGCTGAGCTGGGTTTTCCTTGTTGGTATTTTAAAAGGTGATTCATGGAGAACTACAGATGTTGAGTGTGAGTGGACATGAGTGAGCAAAACAGTGGGTTTGTGTGGCAGTTTCTGACCTTGGTGTCTCTGTGTTTGCAGGTGTCCAGTGTGAGGTGCAGCTGGTGGAGTCTGGGGGAGGCTTGGTACAGCCTAGGGGGTCCCTGAGACTCTCCTGTGCAGCCTCTGGATTCACCGTCAGTAGCAATGAGATGAGCTGGATCCGCCAGGCTCCAGGGAAGGGGCTGGAGTGGGTCTCATCCATTAGTGGTGGTAGCACATACTACGCAGACTCCAGGAAGGGCAGATTCACCATCTCCAGAGACAATTCCAAGAACACGCTGTATCTTCAAATGAACAACCTGAGAGCTGAGGGCACGGCCGTGTATTACTGTGCCAGATATACACAGAGGGGAAGTCATTGTGCGCCCAGACACAAACCTCCCTGCAGGAACGCTGGGGGGAAATCAGCGGCAGGGGGCGCTCAGGAGCCACTGATCAGAGTCAGTCCCGGAGGCAGGTGCAGATGGAGGCTGATTTCCTGTCAGGATGTGGGACTTCATCTTCTTCCAACAGTTTCTCTAATGAACCTCCCTAATTTTAGAATTCTGTGGTTCCTAATGTCATCTCTACATATTTTCAAAAGATCATTTTAATATGAGGACATAACCTCTCATGTACCAAATGCACATTGATGCTTACAAAGATGAAAAGTTCTCAACCATTGTCACCAGGATCGCAGTCCTGAGGAAGCTCACGGGTGTCTGATGAGTCTCCTCCATTCAGGCCCAGGACAGAAACCTCAGGGAGACTCCTGGACTAGAACGGCAGGGATTCTGATCACAGCCAATAGAGAGCCTGGGCCAGGGTCAGTGTCCTGTAGAAGCTCACAGGGTTCACATCTGACCCTTCTCCTGACCCTAAAGCCAATCCGCATCAGCACTGATCTGGTGCTCCTTTTGCTCCCAATACATGTTCTTTCTTTGGAGTGTTTGTTCTCCCTTTTTTATTTGCTTTTCTTTCTTCCTGAAAAAGAAACACATGGTCTCTATGCTCTACACTCCAGGGCTCAAGGCATTTTCTTAGAACTCAGGCAAGGCTCAGGCTTGGCTACTCCAGCCCACGTGGGAGAGGCTGATGGGATTTCCTTCTCTCCCCATATTCTCAGGGCCCTCCTCTGTGTTGTGTGTAGACTCATCTGGGAATGCAATTGGCCGTTAATAGTGAAGGGGATAAACTCATTTGATCAAAATGGGATGTGGATGTGGAATTAACCCTGTTCTATGCACACTGTCAGAGTCATCTTCTTCAGAAGTAGTGTTAGAAAGAGCTTGTGAACTTTATCAGAATCAAAATGGATCCACTTGTGTTAAAACCCTAATGAATGAAGCTGGGGAAGGCCATGAAGGAGGGTTCTAACACACATATTCCTGATAAGAAGAACTATCATAAATAGACCCTGCACAGCCACAACCTTTTACACAGAGGCCACCACAGCCTTAAAAGCTTTATTTCTCCAAGTAAATCTGCCCCGCAACTGCCTATTCAACCTTACACCGCTATCTCAAAATAGCTGCTGTCACCCTCCTCATTTTTCCTTAATTCTCTTTTTTATTATTTTTTAAATTATACTTTAAGTTCTAGGGTACATGTGCACAAAGTGCAGGTTTGTTACATATGTATACATGTGCCATGTTGGTTTGCTGCCCCCATTAACTCATCATTTACATTAGGTATTTCTCCTAATGCTGTCCATCCCCCTTCCCCCAACCCCACTACAGGCCCCGGTGTGTGATGTTTCCCACCCTGTGTCCACATGTTCTCCTTAATTCTTTATCTTCCTTTTCCTACCTGAATGTACCCATACATATTTTAATTGAAACGCACATCCTAGAAAAAATATTATTATACTTTAGAGTCTCTGTCTGTTATTCAGGTTGACATGACAAGCTACAGACGGACATGCCACTTTTCTGTGAGACATAGAGGATGACAGTTTTTGGAGATGTCTAGGAATATCCAATGTCCATAAGATCAGCCATCAATAAGTGCAGACTGGAGGTCCCAGAGAGAGGCGAAGCTGCTGAATCATCGTGGAATTTCATTTTCTCCAGTTCTGCTCTGATGGAATCAGGCCCACCCATTTTATCAATGACAATCTACCTAACCTAGAGTCAGCTGATGACAGTATTAATATCATCTATTAAGTAAAGTCATAACTATATATATAGTGAGAGAGGGAGAGAGAGAGAGACGGAGTCTCGCTCTGTCACCCAGGGTGGAGTGCAATGTCGTGATCTTGGCTCACTGCAACCTCTGTCTCCGGAGTTCGAGCAGTTCTCCTGTCTCAGCCTCCTCCCAGTATCTGGGAATACAGGCACACACCACCATGTCCGGCCAATTTTTGTATTTTTAGTAGAGATGGTGTTTCACCACATTGGTCAGGCTGGTCTCAAACTACTGACCTCAGGTGACCCACCTGCCTTAGCCTCCCAAAGTGCTGGGATTACAGGGGCAGGCCACCAAGTCCAGCTAATTTTTGTATTTTTAGTAGAGACCAGGTTTCACGATATTGGTCAGGCTGGTCTCAAACTCCTGATCTCAGCCTCCCAAAGTGCTGGGATTAAAGATGTGAGCTACTGTGCCCGGCCAACACCACCTATATTAATGTTGGATTGAATAACTACAAAGTCTACCCTAACCAAGTGTACCATCAAACTTACCATTACCCAGAGGAAAGAATCTTTAACATGAGATCTATATTCTTAAATGTTTTAAGGTGTAAAACTGACCACAGTACAATCACCCAATTATGATTTTGCTAATGAGTTGTAGAAACTGCATGTATATTTTGGATATTAACACTTTTTCAGATGCACACCTTATAATTATATTCTCTCATTCTGTAGGTTGCAATTTTTTCCACACTTTGCGGCATCTTTTTGTTGTGATGTAGTTCTGCTTGTTCAATTCTGCTTTTATTATCTGTGACTTTAATTTGAAATATAGAAAATCATCCTTTTTTATATACTTTAAATTTTAGAGTACATGTGCACAACATGCAGGTTTGTTACATATGTATACATGTGCCATGTTGGTGTGCTGCACCCAGTAACTTGTCATTTAACACTAGGTATATCTCCTAATGCTATCCCTCTCCCCTCCCCCCAACCCACAACAGGCCCCGGTGTGTGATGTTCCACTTACTGTGTCCATGTGTTCTCATTGTTCAATTCCCACCTATGAGTGAGAACATGCGGTGTTTGGTTTTTTGTCCTTGTGATAGACTTCTGAGAATGATGATTTCCAGCTTCATCCATGTCCCTACAAAGGGCATGATCTCATCATTTTTTATGGCTGCATAGTATTCCATGGTGTATATGTGCCACATTTTCCTAATCCAGTCTATCATTGTTGGACATTTGGGTTGGTTCCAAGTCTTTGCTATTGTGAATAGTGCCGCAATAAACATACGTGTGCATGTGTCTTTACAGCAGCATGATTTATAATCCTTTGGGTATATACCCAGTAATGGGATGGCTGGGTCAAATGGTATTTCTAGTTCTAGATCCCTGAGGAATCGCCACACTGCCTTCCACAATAGTTGAACTAGTTTACAGTCCCACCAACAGTGTAAAACTGTTCCTATTTCTCCACATCCTCTCCAGCACCTGTTGTTTCCTGACTTTTTAATGATTGCCATTCTAACTGGTGTGAGATGGTATCTCATTGTTGTTTTGATTTGCATTTCTCTGATGACCAGTGATGATGAGCATTTTTTCACGTGTCTTTTGGCTGCATAAATGTCTTCTTTTGAGAAGTGCCTGTTCATATCCTTCGCCCACTTTTTGATGGGGTTGTTTGCTTTTTTCTTGTAAATTTGTTTGAGTTCATTGTAGATTCTGGACATTAGCCCTTTGTCAGATGAGTAGATTGCAAAAATTTTGTCCTATTCTGTAGGTTGCCTGTTCACTCTGATGGTAGTTTCTTTTGCTGTGCAGAAGCTCTTTGGTTCAACATACTCAAATCAATAAACAAAATCCAGCATATAAACAGAACCAATGACAAAAATCATATGATTATCTCAATAGATGCAGAAAAGGCCTTTGACAAAATTCAACAACCTTCATGCTAAAAACTCTCAAAAAATTAGGTATTGATGGGACGTATCTTAAAATAATAAGAGCTATCTATGACAAACCCACAGCCAATATCATACTGAATGGACAAAAACTGGAAGCATTCCCTTTGAAAACTGGCACAAGAAAGGGTTGCCCTCTCTCACCACTCCTATTCAACATAGTGTTGGAAGTTCTGGCCAGGGCAATGAGACAGTAGAAGGAAATAAAGGGTATTCAATTAGGAAAAGAAGAAGTCATATTGTCCCTGTTTGCAGATGACATGATTTTATATCTAGAAAACCCCATTGTCTCAGCCCAAAATCTCCTTAAGCTGATAGGCAACTTCAGCATAGTCTCAGGATACAAAATCAATGTGCAAAAATCACAAGCATTCTTACACACCAATCACAGACAAACAGCCAAATCATGAGTGAACTCCCATTCACAAGTGCTTCAAAGAGAATAAAATACCTAGGAATCCAACTTACAAGGGATGTGAAGGACCTCTTCAAGGAGAACTACAAACCACTGCTCAATGAAATAAAAGAGGATAAAAACAAATGGAAGAATATTCCATGCTCATGGGTAGGAAGAATCAATATCGTGAAAATGGCCATACTGCCCAAGGTAATTTATAGATTCAATGCCATCCCCATCAAGCTACCAATGACTTTCTTCACAGAATTGGAAAAACCTACTTTAAAGTTCATATGGAATCAAAAAGAGCCCGTATTGCCAAGTCAATCCTAAGCCAAAAGAACAAAGCTGGAGGCATCACGCTACCTGATTTCAAACTATACCACAACGCTACAGTAACCAAAACAGCATGGTACCGGTACCAAAACAGAGATATAGACCAATGAAACAGAACAGAGCCCTCAGAAATAATGCCGCCTATCTACAACCATATGATCTTTGACAAACCTGACAAAAACAATAAATGGGGAAAGGATTCCCTATTTAATAAATGGTGCTGGGAAAACTGGCTAGCCATATGTAGAAAGCTGAAACTGGATCCCTTCCTTACACCTTATACAAAAATTAATTCAAGATGGATTAAAGACTTACGTGTTAGACCTAAAACCATAAAAACCCTAGAAGAAAACCTAGGCAATACCATTCAGGACATAGGCATGGGCAAGGACTTCATGTCTAAAACACGAAAATCAAGGGCAACAAAAGCCCAAATTGACAAATGCGATCTAATATGAAATTCTTAATGAGTTCTATAGTTATAAGTACATTATTTCTCCTTATTAAAACTAATCTTTTTTGCTGAATGGGTGGAAGATGGTGGCTTCCCTCCAAAAGAAAACATAGTTGGTTCTGTAAAGAGTTCACCCATTTCTTCCACTATAGGCCTGCCCTGGCATAATACAAGCTCCCAACTTAAGAACTTATGATTTTCCATCCATGGGAGAAGCCATCTTTTCCATCTATTATAAAAACAGAAGACACTTCATTAATATCACTCCCAAAATAGGCTATGTCATATCCAGTGAGGTAGGATGGCTGACAGTGGTGAGAATCCAAGTAATTGGTCAAGCACTGCTATGTGTGAAGAAACACCACAGCATACTCTACACTGTCACTCATGATATGGAATTGTTGCCTCCTCAGCAATGTAACTGAGCCCTTAATATGTGGCTGGGATGACAAAGCAATGCCAGCCTGCAGAGTGGAACCTGTTCTTCCTTCTGGGATTAGCCAAAGGCCGGTGGCACTCATGGCTGACCCTACTTTCCTTACAACTGGACGAAGCGAAGCAACTGGATATGAACTTCTATCCCAGGATGTAACTGTCCAAAGTGCCTTCTCTTTATGTCAACTGGAAAAGTGTGAAAGACAGACACTATTCTCATAAACGGATATCCTAGTTATTCCACCCACTAGCCAGCTCTTCCCCCCAGGTGGCAGTCATAGATTTAGAATTGCAAGTAGAGGCCCTGGCTAAGCATACCACCAGTCCCTTTAACAACACCTACCATACCATCATCATTCTTACTGAAGAAACCTCACAGATTTGACAAGTGACACTATGAAGCTATATGACCCTAGGTATTGCAACTACAGCCAAAGGTAACACTTGTGTATTAATGAACCCTGAATGTTGCATATATATACAAGATTAGTCCCACAATATAACTCAAGCTATGCAAGCATTAGATACCCATATTTCTGCTAGAGATGGATGCCCTCTCTCAGGACCCTGCGACAGCATGGTTTAGTTGACTTCCTAACACATGGAAGACTTTCATATATAGTAGAGCTGGTATACTCTTCATTGCTATCTTCAGTTGCTGTGGATTTTATTGGTACCTTGCACTTTAAGTGAGAATGTAATACTGACCTTCTCAAAAACTCCTAGGTCCTTGCACCATAATGCTCCAACAAACACCTACTGTAATTCCGGAGACTCCAGAATATTTCCAACTCCAGTTTAATGGATTCCCTTCCAATATATACAAGCTATGCCCTTTCTAAGAAGTAGCCAGATTGACTATGACACACGTTTTCCATAGAAACAAAATGGAATTTGACAGTGGGGAATGATATACAGGCAGCTTAATTTCAAAATGCATTTTAAACTTATTTTTTGAGGTTTTAATATTATTTTCATACTCCTTGAAACCTGAAATTTCACACTTACATTCTAATTGAGACTTAATAACAAATAACCAGAACACATGAATTGCCTGTAATCTCTATACCTTGTATTGTAAGCCACATTTCAAGTGTAACCTTACTTGTCAGCACAGTATGTTTACCATAGGCATAATTGCTTGTCCTGACTGTCCAGAAGGCAGGGTGGTATTAAGTATGCGGCCTCTGGAGCTGGGAAGTCTGGCTTTGTATACTGTCTCTGCCACTGCTAACTGAAGGACAATGGGCCAGTTACTTCCTGTACCCCAGTTTTGTCATATGTAAAGTAGGGTTGTTGTAAGAATGAAATTAGTTAATATTTAGTACCTAACAACTAGTAGGCATTACGTGGTAGCTATTCGTATTGCTATCGTCAGAGAACACACAGGAGTCCATTGTTATTTTTACCCTCCCCCTCCAAACAAAATGTGTAAGACACTAGACATGGTAGCTCTGTAACGGGGTTCGTCATGTATTAAACTGTGTACCCAAATGATATGTCAAAGTCCTGACAACCAGCACTTCAGAACACGTCCTTATTTGGAAATATGGTAGCTGGAGATGTTATTAGTGAAGATGAGGTCTTACTTGAGCAGGGCAGGCCCTCAATGTGGGAAGATGGGTGTCTTTCTAAGTACAAGGAAATTTGGACACAGAGACAGAGACATACAGTGTGCCATATGACAGCAGAGGCAAAGATCAGAGTGGTGCAGCAGTAAACCAATGCATGTCCAGGATTACCAGTCACCTCCACAAGTGAGGAAAGGGCAAGGAAGAAGTCTCCTGAGTCTCAGAGGGAGTGCAGCCCAGCTCACACTTGATTTTGGACTTCTAGTCTCTAGAACTGTGAGACAATACAGTCCTGTCATTTTTAAGCCACCCAGTTTGTAGTATTTCATTTTGGCAGCCCTACGATATTCATACAGAGTTCTTCACCCAAAAGGAAGCACTCTTTCTCACAAACAGTCAAAGTCCTGGATGACGGACAACCTGGAGATTGCAAACCTCCAAGGAATCAAAGGAGGTTCTATAAAGTCTAGGAGCCCCATCTTTCAAAGGCTGCTCCTCAAGTCCACACACACACTTTGGAAGGAGAATCCTGCTCTTGGACATGGGATCCTTAGTGAGCCAACTGCCAATAATCCAACATCATCATGAATTAAAGATCTCTGACATTTCCTCGTCACCAACGGGAATTCTGTCAAGTAGTAAGTAAAACCCTTCTTCAGGAATCTCCACACCAAACAGTTCTGCATGGCTTGGGACGCCTCAGGAAACTTATAATCATGGCAGAAGAAAAAGGGGAAGCAAGGCAGTCATACATGGTGGCAGAAGAGAGAGGTTAAACTTTTCAGTCTCTCTTGGGTGTAAAGATACAATCTTGAGGCAAACAGCAGAATCAATTTTCTTATGCCTTGAAATTCTCCCTTTCACCATAAATATTCCCTTCACATTAATCTAACTTTATGTTTGCATCGAACTATGTGCCTTTTTGGAAGTTCCGGAAGCTAATTTGAGACAGATAGACAAAGTCGGGAGACCCTGATGCAGAATTCCAGAGGTGACTTCAATGTTGCTAGTTAACAACCCAGGCATTGCCCAGATGATGCCAGCCCAAGATCCAGGTGGACTGGGATGCCAGAGAGCTGCCAGAACAAGACGCACAGACCTGGTTCTCAGCCCAAATCTTGCATGCCTTTCTTACCAACTTTCCCTTTTTTAAACCCCTGCCTTTCCTTCAAAATTGAAGTGGTTGCTTGGGATGGGAATGCGTTCACTTCCCCTTTACCATTATGGTTAATACAATAATTTTTGTACCAGATCTCTCTCTTGTTAATTGGATCCTGCAGGTGGCAGATTCCGGACCAGAGTGACGTTAGAAACTGAATGCACATACTGGGTGGTTCACAGACACAGTGTTCTGTGAAGTTTATGGGTGGATTCCTGGGGAAGCCTGCAAGCCTGTTAGTGATTAGCAGAACCGCATCCAGCTACTGGGATCTGCACGCCAGGTGCCGTGAGCCCCTCACCATGTTCCCTGGTCCCAGCTGCCCGCGGATGGTTCAGCCTTGACAACGGGCTCGGTGTTCTGGGTGGTGGGAGAGCAAGGGGGCCCCTTGGGCAGCGTGCTACAGGGCTGTGAATCCAGGGGCCCACCCGGTGTTCCCTGTGGAGTCACTGAGGGAATGAGGGGCTTCTCAGGGCACAGAGCTGTAACGCCTTTGTGCAGTGGTGGCTGAATACAGTGACACTGGGCGCGTGGTGAGAAGCGGGGCAAGGTCAGTTCACTGGACCCTCCGCCCTGAGCCTCAGATGAGTCGGGGGTCCCCAGACAGGCCCGGCCTCTGCCCTGCGGCGGACACTGGAGCCTTTGCTGTGGCCGCCACCGAGGAGCCTTGACCTCAAAGCAGCGGGAACCTCTCTACCCACCTCGGAAACCTGAAGGCAGCGGCGGCCTCTCCCAGCCAGGACCTCGCCGGCCTCCGCGTCTCCAGGCCCAACCCTGTACCACATAAAGGAAGTCCGCGCTGAGCTACCGGGACACAGCGCCGTTGGGTGGGCGGGCGCGGCGCGGCGGGAAGCACCGGGGCAGCTGCCACAGAGATGCGCGGGGACTGTCGGGAAGTGGGCGGTCCGGGAGGCGCGGGGCTGATGGGACGTGGGCGGTCCGGGGACGCGCGGGGGATGGCGGGACGTCGGCGATCCGGAGATGCCAGGGGGCAGCTGGGACGTGGGCGGTCTGGAGAGGCGCGGGGGCAGCTGAGATGCAGGTGGTCCGGGACGCGCGGGGGCTGGCGGGTTGTGGGAGGTCCAGGGATGCGAGGGGGCAGCTGGGACGTGGGAGTTCCGGGGACGCGTGGGGTCGCCAGGAAGCGGGGTCTAGGACTTAGATCCGCCTTCTCTTCAGGCCATGCAGCCCCGAAGCTCCGAATCCTGGGATGACTCCTGTCCATGTTGGAAGGGACCCTGCCAGTCCTGGCAAGGTTCAACGGCCTTAGGGCAAGAAATGTTAGTAGAGTCCTGGAAGACGATGTGGGGAACGGGTAGCGGCCACCGGATGGTGATCGTTCTTCTACAAGACCTTGACATGGATGGGGAGAAACAGAGAAGAACCTTCCAAGTTTGTCCCACTGGACATGCCCACCACACTTTACCAGCCCTTTCTAGAAGGCCTGTGCGTAACACATGAAAAAGCTGCTCTCGACCTTTCCCTGACCTTTTAAAAGAAAACATTTGCTGCATCTAATCCGCCTAGATGTAAGGAGGTTCCCAAATGTATGACAGAGTCAGACAATTACATGTCTTGTAAGTTACCATGTGCTTGTCTTTTGTTTTCCGTTTTTTTTCGTTTTTTTGTTTTTTGTTTTTGAGACGGAGTCTCACTCTGTCGCCCAGGCTGGAGTGCAGTGGCAGGATCTTGGCTCACTGCAACCTCTGCTTCCTGAGTTTCAACAATTGTGCTGCCTCAGCCTCCCGAGTAGCTTGGATTACAAGTGTGCACCACCACGCCTGGCTAATTTTTGTAGTTTTTAGTAGAGATGGGGTTTTGCCACGTTGGCCAGGCTGGTCTTGAACTCCTGACCTCAGGTGAGCCACCCACCTTGGCCTCTCAAAGTGCTGGGATTACAGGTGTGAGCCACCGTGCCTGGCCGTAAGTTACCGTGTGCTTTTTAAACAAATCATAGCAAAGGGGTGTCTTCTGGAAATGACATTTTGAAATGGAGTTACTAGACCACCCCTGGAAGGGACACAGTAACCACACGTCCACGTTCGTTCAGTGGGTGAGAGGACATGGAGGGGAGACCTGGGCAGGAAGGGAAGAGGGTTCCATGCCAGGCTGCTCATATTTAAAAGACATTTTCATTGTAGGGACATGGATGAAATTGGAAACCATCATTCTCAGTAAACTATCGCAAGAACAAAAAACCAAACACCGCATATTCTCACTCATAGGTGGGAATTGAACAATGAGATGACATGGACACAGGAAGGGGAATATCACACTCTGGGGACTGTGGTGGGGTGGGGGGAGGGGGGAGGGATAGCATTGGGAGATATACCTAATGCTAGACGATGCGTTAGTGGGTGCAGCACACCAGCATGGCACATGTATACATATGTAACTAACCTGCACAATGTGCACATGTACCCTAAAACTTAAAGTATAATTAAAAAAAAAAAAGAAAAATAAAAGACATTTTCATATCGTTGTCATTGTTTTCTTGTGTGCATTTTATTCCTCGCTATTGTATACATCATTGGAAATTCTAAGTATTCTTTTGAAATATCTAGTCTTTCTAGATGTTCTGAAGTGCCTGATGTATGTTAAAATTACAGGTGGTAAAATAATAAATTTTGTAAATGTCTTTTTGTTAAAATTCATATGCAGTGTTTTATTTTATTTTGATGTTGGTGGGGGGTGGGGAGGATGGCCAAATCCCTGCTTGATCAACACACATTGCGTTTGTGCTCTGGTTCAGGGGAGGAGAGAGGAGGAGAAAGTGCAGACTTCCAGGCCTCTGTGCGCACCGGGAGGAGAGATTAATGATCATCTCTTCTGTCTGTGTGTTTGTTTTATTTATCTATGGATATCCTGTGTATAAAGGATGAACAAGTCCTATTTATAACATCTAATCTTTTCAGGTGTTAAGTTGCCAGCGTATGACGGAAGTAGCATTATTAAACGAATGCAGCTTGTACATATTGTGTTAAAATTCATAAAAAGCCAGTCTTCTGAAAAGAACCCTTGGGCCCTCCCTCCGCAGCCTCCGGCGCCAGCTGCAGGAAGACCTGGCCAGGGGAAGGCGGGCGGCAGAAGCTGCTGCTGGCTGTGGGGAAGGCGGTGGAGCCCAGGCCTCCACAGGCTCCCCACAGGCTCCCCACAGGCTCGCGCGGCTCTGGTTGCTGGGCTCCGCACGGGCCGCGTGGGGGCGCCTGCTGGGAGCGAGGAGGCGCCATCCTGGCTCGCCTGCTCCAGGAGGACGCTCTGGGCCTGCGCAGATGCAGTTCTCCAGGATGGGCGCGGGCGCTGGGGGCGGCGCTCCTTGGGCTGCTGCGCCTCCACTGAGCCGCCTGGGTGTGAGGACCTCGCGCCGGCGCCTCCGGGAAGGACGCGGAGCCGCCGCGGCCGATCCCAGGGCTGCAGCTGCTGCCCGACGCCCGCGGGAAGGCCCTTCCGCCACCGCCCGGGGGTTCGAACTTGGAGCAGCTGCTGCCAGCTGAGGCGCCAGCGGCGTCGGGAGCTCCTCAGAGTCAGTGTTTTGTGCTGGATTCGGCATGTCCTCTGAAAACTCGGGAATTTGTCACTGAAATGGTGACAGGAGGTGAGAAGTTTTTTTAGACGTTGCCTTCGCTGGCCTGGCGCGGGGCTCAGGCCTGGAATCCCAGCACTTTGGGAGGCTGAGGCGGGCGGATCGCTTGAGCTCCGGAGGTGGAGAAGCTGCCTTCGTGGTAACTGTGGTCTTAAGTTCAGCTGAGAACGATAAATGGCTTTTCCTTGAATTGGCTGCTTTTGTGATTTCTCTCAGGCTCATCTTTTGTCAGTTAAAAATCCAGTGGTAGGTGTAGCTTAGAGACGGGAAATTTTTGGTTTTGTTTTGGCTACACGTAAGTGTTGGAAATTATTTTCTTTTACGTTCCAGTGTGAGCAAATCCAGAAGGATGTCAGATTAAACACCGAATTTAACAAATTCAGCCGGGCACGGTGGCTCACGCCTGTAATCCCAGCACTTTGAGAGGCCGAGGCGGGTGGATGATGAGGTCAGGAGTTTGAGAACAGCCTGACCAACATAGTGAAACTCCGTCTCTACTAAAAATACAAAAATTAGCCGGGCGTGGTTGTGCGCGCCTGTAATCCCAGCTACTCAGGAGGCTGAGGCAGGAGAATCGCCGAGATTGCGCCACTGCACTCAGCCTGGGCGACAGAGCGAGACTTCGTCTCAAAAAAACAAAAAAAAATCAATCATTGGAATACTGTTGTTCATTACAATTAATGAACGTTTGATAGACGCATAAACGAACTAAATTCACAAGTACATATAAGTAAAATAAGCCAAAAAAAAAAAACTACATCCCGTATGATGACACTTTTATACATTCTACAGAATAGAAACTAAAGTGATATGAAGGTTGGGAGTTGAATGGAGAAAAGGTGAGCGAAAAGAGGGAGGACGGAGGAGTTGCAAGAGAACAAGAGAAAATGTTGAGGGTAATTGATCTGTTTTCTATCTTAATAATGGTTATGGTTACATCAATAATTTCTAAATTGTACATTTTGTGTGTTAATTATAATTTTATATTATTCAAGCTATTACAAATAAATACCTGTATAAATTTCTTAGGGACGGTTTAAGGGAGATGGATAAATCACATAAAAAGTCAGATATTTCTGAATGTACAATGAATAACCCTTAGCTCTATCTTTATTTTTTGGTAATTCTAAAATGCAGCAGATTTTTTTAATGTTTTTATTACAAGAAGGGTTTCTTCAAACCACACCAGGTGTGTGTAACTCTGGGCTAAAGTTGGTTAAGGGAGCAGTGGGATCCGGTGGAGAGGAGCACAGGCCTCGATCCTGGAGCCCATTCTTGTCACATGTGAGCTCCTGGACACATCTCATAGCTCCCTCATGCTTCTGCGTTTACATTCTCATCTGTAAATGGAGGACCAATGGGCATCTGCCTCTAACAATGTATTTTCATGTGTTAAGATGATGTATGTTAAGTGTTTACTATAGCACAATCTTTTAATAAGAAATTACATTTTTTTCCAAATACTATCATTGTCTTCAAGCCCCACCACCCACCAGAAAACTTAATATGCTCTGTGCCCTGCCCTGTCCTCAGACATCCAGCCCAAGAGACTTTTATATAGTAGGAGATATGCAAATAGTTCCCTCCCTCTGCTGATGATGAAAACCAGCCCAGCCGTGACCGTGCAGCTCTGGGAGACGAGCTCAAGTGCCAGGATTCCCAAGTGTTTTCACTTGGTGATCAGAACTTAACACAGAGGAATCACCATGTTGTTTGGGCTGAGCTGGGCTTTCCTTTTTACTATTTTAAGAGGTGATACATGAAGAACTACAGATATTGTTCGTGAGTGGATATTAGAGAAACAGTGGATATGTGTGGCAGTTTCTGACCAGGATGTCTCTGTGTTTGCAGGTGTGCAGTATGAGGTGCAGCTGGTAGAGTCTGGGGGAGACTTGGTACAGCTGTGGTGGGGTTGGGGGTGTCCTGAGACTCTCATGTGCAGCCTGCGGATTCATCTTGAGAAGCAATGACATGAACTGGGCCCACCGGGCTTCAAGAAAGGGGCTGGAATGGGTCTCATACATTAGTGCTAGTGGTGGTAGCCTATACTATGCAGACACTGAAGGGTAGATTCACCATCTCTAGAGACAATGGCAAGAACATGCTGTACTTGCAAATGAACAGTCTGAGAGATGAGGACTCGGCTGTGTGAGAGACATGGTGAGGGGAAATCAGTATGAGCCCAGCCAGAAACCTCCCTGCAGGAACCCTGGGGTGGGGGGAAATCAGCTGCAGGGGGCACTCAGGACCCACTGATCAGAATCAACCCCAGAAGGAGGTGCACATGGAGATTAGGGGCTGGATTCCTTCCAGGATGTGGGACTTCAACTTCTTCTGACAGTTTCCCCAGGGAACCGCTCTAAGTTTAGAATTCTGTGTCATCTCTATGTATTTAAAAAAGATCATTTTAATGTGAGGAACTAACTATTCTCACATGCACAAAATGCAGATTCACACTCACAGAGATGAAAAGTCCTCAACTGTGGTCACTAGGATCAGAGTCCTGAGGAATCTCAGGCGTTCCTGGTGAGTCTTCTCCAATCAGACCCAGGACAGACACCTCAGTGAGATTCCATGACTAGAACAGGCTTTATGGATTTTAAAAAAAATAGACTGAGCCAGGGTCAGTGTCATGTAGAACCTCACAGGTTTCACATCTGACCCTTCTCCTGACACTAAAGTGTGCAAATCAGCATCAATACTGATCTGGTGCTGCTTTTGCTCCCAATCTGTGTTCTTTCTTGAGTTGTCCCTTTTTCATTTGCTTTTCCTGCTCCCTGAAAAAAGAAAGATGTTGTCTCTGTGGTCTAAATTCCAGGGCTCAAGCCCTTTTCTTGGAGCTCAGGTGGGTCTCAGGTTGTGGCTCCTGCAGCCACGCTGGGGAGGCTGATGGGACTTTCTTCTCTCCCATTGCTCAGGGCCCTCCACTATATTGTGTGGAGACTCATCTCAGAATAGATGTGGCCAGTGGGAGCTGAAGGGGACAAGCTTGTTTGGTCAAAATGAGATACAAATATGGAATTCACCCTGTGCTGTACAAACTGTCACAGAGTCACTTTCTGAAACAATAGTGTTAGAAAGAACTTGAGAAAGTTGTCAGAATCAAAATTGGGTCACTTGTGTTAAAACTCTGCTGAATGAAGCTGGGAAAGGCCGTGACGGAATGTTCTCATGCTCATATCCCTGATACCAAGAACTATCGTAAATAGACTCTTAAAACCACAATCTTGCACAAAGGTGCCCACAACCTTAAAAGAATTACTTCTCTGAGTAATCTTCCCAGCAGCTCTCTGTGTAAGATTGGACTGATGCCACCCTTGTTATTGATTCTTCTATCCCGGAGAAGTTGTCTCAAAACAGCTTATGTAACCCTCCTCATTTTTCTTTAAACCTTTATCTTTCTTTACCTGCCTGAGTGAACCCATGCATGTTCCCATTGCAATGTCCATCTTCAAATAATTATCATTTTACTTTAGAGTCTCTTTTTGTCTGTTATTCAGATTTGACAAGCTGCAGATGGACACATCACGTTTCTGTAAGACTTAGGGGATGACAGTTTTGAGGCATGGCTGGGGAAGTACAATGTCCATAAGATTGACCCTCAATAAGTGCAGGCTGTAAGTCTCAGAGCTGAAGCTGCTGAATCACCATAGAATTTCATCTTTAGTTCTGCTCTGATGGAATCAGGCCCACCTGTGTAATGAATGACACTCTACCTAACCTAGAGTCAACTGATGACAGGTTAAATATCTAGACAGCAAATTTGCAACACCACTTAGATTAGTGTTTGAATAACTACAAAGTATAGCCGAGCCAAGTATATCGTAAAGCAGACTATTATACATGGAGAATCTTTAACATGACATCTACAATTCTTAATTTTTTTTACGTATAAAACTGATGGTTTTACAATCAGGCTGTCATGATTTTGCTAATGAGTTGTAGAAGTTACATGTATGTTTTAAATATTAACAGTTTTTTCAGATGCCTGGTTTGCAACTATATTCTCCCATTCTGTAGATTTGGAATTTTTTCCATGCTTTGCAAAATCTTTATATTTTGATGTAGTTCCAGTCCTTCAATTCTGCTTTTGTTGTCTGTGCTTTTAATCTTAAATTTAGGAAATCATTGCTAACCTTTTGGTGGGAGAGAATTTTACAATTGCAGGCTATACATTTAACTGTTTAACCCATCTAGAGTTGATTTTTTGTGTTTATTCTAACCTAATATTCTTAACTATTTGCAAGTGAAAACCCAGTTTGTTTAACACCCTCTTTAGGGGAGAGTATGATTTAGCCGTTGTGTAGAAAATGTTATAAATCACTTTGCCTTCATATTGGTTCTCAACTTGAAAATGAGTTTGCCATCAATACGTGGGTTTATTTCTGAGCTCTCTATATGTATTTATGCCAGTACCATCCTGTTTTGATTATGTTTGTAATTAATTTTGAAGTCTGAGAGTAAAATGCCTCCAAGTTTATTCTTGCCCTTTTGCAGATATTAGACAAAATATTTTAACATTTCACCATGAAGTATGATAACAGCTATGGCTTTTCATAATGAATTTTATTGTGTTTAGGTTATTTTCTTGTATTTCTATTTTGGGTAGAGTTTTTATGGTGAAACCTTGAATTTTTTTAATGTTATTTTCTGTCTGAGAAGTTAATGGGACCTTCTTCGTATTTAATTTGGCATACCAAATGTATTGATTTGAGGATTTTGAATCATCTGTGCATCTCAAAAATAAATTTGAGTTGGTCATGGTGTATGATCCTTCTAAAGTCCTGTGGAACTTAGTTGACTATTATTTGGTGTGTGGAGGGGGCTCATTTATGTCTACTAGGAATATTGGTCTGTAGTTTACTTTTTTGTGACCTTGTCTATTACTGAAAATACGGTAATTTGGGCCTTATAGAAAGACTGGAAGGTTGGCATCTCACCAATTTTTGAAAAAGTTAGAGAATGGTTGGCATTACTTCTTTAAATGTTGAGAGTCCTTTTTTTACTTAACATGTGACCTATCATGGAGAATATTTAGTCTTTGCTTCGGAAGCATACATATTACACTGCTCTTGGTTGGAAGGTTCTGTAGATGTCTATTAGGTCAATTTGTTCAATAGTGTTGTTCAAGTCCACTGTCTTCTTAAGAATTCTCTTAATGATGTTCTATCCATCATTGAAAGTGAGGTGCTAAAGTCTTCTCCTAATTTTTATTATTTTCTATTTATCTCTCCATATCTCTTAAGGTTTGCTTAATGCAGTTATATTTATTTTTGTACAAATATGTAAAAAATAAATGAAATAATAATTGCTAAGTAATTTTAATGGCAAAATCACATAATAAGAAATTATATTTTCCCAAATGCTGTCATTGACACTAAGCTCCTCCAGGAATCTCACATCTGCTCTGGACACGGCTCTCCTGGTGTCCTACCCCAGAGCTTGCTATAGAGGAGGAGACATGCAAATAGGGCCCTCACTGTCCTGATGAAAACCAGCCTTGCCTGCGTCTACGGGAGAAGAGCCCCAGTCCAGAAGTACCAGGGGTTTCCATTTGGTGGTCAGGTCTCTGAACACAGAGGACTCACTATGGAGTTTGGGCTGAGCTGGGTTTTCCTTGTTGCTAATGTAAAAGGTGACTCATGGAGAACTAGAGATATTGAGTGTGAGTGGACACAAGTGAGAGAAACAGTGGATATGTGTGGCAGGTTCTGACCAGGGTGTCTGTGTGTGTTTGCAGGTGTCCAGTGTGAGGTGCAGCTGGTGGAGTCTTTGGGAGGCTTGTTATAGCCTGGGGGTCCCTGAGACTTTCTTTTGCAGCCTCTGGATTCACCTTTAGTACCTTTATTAGGTACTGGATGAGCTGGGTCCATCAGGCTCCTGGGAAAGGGCTGGAGTAGGTCTCATTTATGAGTTGTTGTGTAGGTAGCACAAGCTATGCAGACTCTGTGAAGGGTCGATTCACCCTCTCCAGAGATGATGCCAAGAAATCACTGTATCTGCAAATGAACAGCGTCAGAGCCGAGGATAGGTCTGTGTATTACTGTGGTGGCATTGTGTGCATCCCTTGTTTAGGTACATGCAGAGATGCTGCTTTGGTGTGTTCAGGGGCTCCTGTTTTGGGGACACCAATTTTGGAGTTTGCAGTATCCTTGAGTCCAGTACGTTCATGGTGGCATTGGGTCTGGGGTGTGCAGTGGCAATGAGTCCAGGATACATGCAGCTGATGCCGTATCTTGTGAGGACAAGAACAACTACAAAACGATCCTATTAATAAATAGGCAAATGACTTGAATACACATTTTTCAAAAAATACATACAAATGACATATAGATATATAAAATGTTAAATATGAGTAATAATTTTTAAAATTCAAATGTAATCTACAATAAATTATCACCCCATACCTGTTAGAATAGCTATTTTTAAAGAAGATGAAAGATAACCAGTATTGGGGCAGAAGTGGAGTAAAGGGAGCCTATATATATTGTTACTGAAAATGTCAATTAGTACAGACATTATGGAGAATACTATGGAGGTTCCTCAAAAAATAAAAATAGAACTACCATAGTTTCCAACAAGCCCACTACTGGCTATGTATCCACAGGAAGTGCAATCAGTATGTCAAAGAGACATCTGTGCCCCCACGTTCATTGCAGGAATATTTATGATAGTAATGATGTGGGAACATCCTAAATTACCATAAATGGATGAATTACTAAAGAAAATGTAGTATGTACCCAATGGAGTAATGTTCATCCTAAAATAAGAAGGGAATCCTGCATTTGCAACAGCAGGCATGACTCTAGAGGACCATATGTGAAGTTCCACAGGCAGGCGCAGAAGACAAGTAATTCGCGATTTCACTGTAGTTTGTTTAAATGGTAGACTCACAGAAGTAGAGTGGAGTGTTGGTTACCAGGGGCTGGAGGGGTGGACTGGAAAAGGCGAGATTTTGGTCAAAGGGTGAAATGTTCCAGTTAGACAGAAGGAGAAAGTTACAGTGTTCTAATGCACAAGATGGAAAATATGGCTAATAATGCATTATATATTTCAAAATGGCTAAAAATGCAAATGTTAAAAATTTTCTCACTAAGAAATGATACAGCCTGGGCGCGGTGGCTCACACCTGTAATCCCGGCACTTTGGGAGGCTGAGGCGGGCGAATCACAAGGTTTGGAGTTCAAGACCAGCCTGGCCAGATGGCAAAACCCCGTCTCCACTAAAAACACAAAAAATAGCCAGGTGTGGTGGCACGCGGTTGTAATGCCAGCTACTCGGGAGGCTGATGCAGGAGAATTGCTTGAACCCGGGAGACAGAGGTTGCAGTGAGCTGAGATCATGCCACTGCACTCCAGCCTGGGTGACAGTGAGACTCCAACTCAAAAAAAAAAAAAAGAATGAAATGATAGCTGTGTGAGGTGATGGATATGTCAAATAGCTTGATTAACAATTCCATAATATATACATGTATCATAGCATGTGTGAGGTGACCTGTATGAAGGTGAAGTGACCTGGGGGCTGTGTAAGATTACCTGGGGGTATGTGTGAGGTGAACACGGCACATATGAGGTGACCAGAGACACATGTGAGGGGACATGGGAGATATGTCGGGTAAGCCAGGGGGATTTGTGAGGTGACACAGAGCAAGTGTGAGGTGACGTGGATGCATGTAAGGTGATTTGGGGCACATGTGAGGTGACGTGGGGGATATGTGTGAGCTGACCTCGGGTGAGTGTGAGGTGATCCAGGATGGATGTGAGGTGACCTGGGGGTGTGTGTGAGGTGACTTGGGCACATGTCAGGTGACATCGGGGATTGGTGGTGATGTGGGTGTGTGTGAGGTGACCTAAGGAGGTATGAGGTCACCTGGGGCATCTGTGGGGACCTGGAAATGTGTGAGGTGGGTACAGGTGAAGTCACCTAGGGCACATGTGAGGTGACCTGTGGAATGTGTATGGTGACCTGGGACCGTTTGAGGTGACATGGGGAATGCGTGAGGTGACCTGGGGCATGTGTGAGGTGACAAAGGGCATGTGTGCAGTGACCTGGGTGCATGTGAGGTGACCTGGTGCATGTGTTAGGTTACCTGGGGGATGTGTGAGGTGAACAGGGGCAGGTGTGAAGTGCCTGAGGAATGTGTGAGGTGAACTGGTGCATGTATGTGGTGACCTGGGGGATTTACGAGGTGACCTGCGGGATGTGTGAGGTGACCTTGGGTGAGCGTGAGGTGACCTGACGTATGTATGAGGTGACCAGGGTGTGTCTGAGGTGATGTGGGGTATATGTGCGGTGACCTGGGAAATGTTTGAGGTGACCTGGTGGATGTGTGAGGTGACCTGCAGGATGTGTAAGGTGACACTGGGGATGTGTGAGGTGACTCAGGGCACATGTGAGGTGAAATTGGGGATGCGTGAGGTGATTCAGGGCATATGTGAGGTGACCTTGGGGATGTGTGAGGTCACCTTGGGTGAGTGTGTGGTCATCTGGGATATTTCCCAACTTCGTAAGGAAAGCCTGCAACAACACATGGCATTAGAAGCTTCACACTCTAGCACCATTAATGCGTACATCCTCAAGGAACTCTAAATGTTTTGAGGTTAGCTTAAATGCCATGGAGCGGCACCTTCCCCAGGCACACTCATATATGCATCCTGGGTCTCCCTGCCAAGCTATATCTCCTCAAATTTACAGTTTATGTTTGCTCTGTGACATCAACTCTGATATGTTCAAGTGTGTTTTTTTTTCTTTATTTGTAGTTGTTCAGGCTTGTTGTTTCACTCTCATTACTCTGGGCTCAGTCCTCTCCTCAGGTGTCCCACTTCAGAGCTCGCTGTGAAATAGGAGACATGCAAATAGGGCCCCCCCTTTCCTGATAAAAAGCAGCCCAGTCCTGACCCTGCAGCCCTGGGAGAGAAGCACCAGCCCTGGGATTCTCAGGTGTTTCCACTTTGTCATCAGCAACAAACAAATTACCATGGAATTTGGGCTGAGCTGGGTTTTTCTTGCTGCTATTTTAAAAGGTGATTCATGAAGAACTAAGGATATTGAGTGAGTGGACATGAGTGAGAGAAACAGTGGATTTGTGTGGCAGTTTCTGACCAGGGTGTCTCTGTGTTTGCAGGTGTCCAGTGTGAGGTGCAGCTGGTGGAGTCTGGGGGAGGCTTGGTACAGCCTGGGGGATCCCTGAGACTCTCCTGTGCAGCCTCTGGATTCACCTTCAGTAACAGTGACATGAACTGGGTCCATCAGGCTCCAGGAAAGGGGCTGGAGTGGGTATCGGGTGTTAGTTGGAATGGCAGTAGGACGCACTATGCAGACTCTGTGAAGGGCCGATTCATCATCTCCAGAGACAATTCCAGGAACACCCTGTATCTGCAAACGAATAGCCTGAGGGCCGAGGACACGGCTGTGTATTACTGTGTGAGAAACACTGTGAGAGGTCGGAAGTGTGAGCCCAGACACAAACCTCCTGCAGGAACGTTGGGGGAAATCAGCTGCAGGGGGCGCTCAGGACCCACTCATCAGAGTCAACCCCAGAGCAGGTGCACATGGAGGCTGGGGTTTGTTTCCTGTCAGGATTTGGGACTTCCTCTGCTTCTGACAGTTTCTCTAGGGAAACTCTTTAATTTTAGATTTCTGTGCCCACCAATGTCATCTCTACATTTTTTTAATCATTGTATATGAGGACTCGTTCTCACATGCACAATATGTATATTGCCACCTATGGGAATGAAAGGTCCTCAACCATGGTCACCAGCATCAGAGTCGTGAGGAAGCTCAGGGGTGCCTGGTGAGTCTTCTCCAGTCAGACTCAGGACAGTAACCTCAAGGGGATTCCCTTGTGAGAACTCACACATTTTCATGAGAACAGCACCAGGAGTCAGTTCTAAACCATTCATGAAAGACCCACTCCATGACCCAGTCACCTCCCACCAGGTCACCCCTTCACAACTGGGGATTATAATACAACATGAGATTTGGGGCAGGACACAAATCCAAACCATATCAGATACACATTGTGAAATACGCATGGTGGTCAGGTAATTTGTATTTCTATCACCTCACAGCGCTACCATTTTATTATTTTTTTTAATTTACTGCATGAGTGAGTGTCTGATGAGAACACCTAAGATCTACCCTTTCAGCAACAATCATTTTTACAATACAGTATTAACTATAGGACCATTGCTGTACGTTAGATCTCCAGAACTCATCCAACCTGCACAACTGAAACTCTGTACAATTTAACACACATCACCCAATTTCCCTCACCTCCCAGGTCCTGGGACCCACTATTCTACTCTCTGCTTTCAAGAGCTTGAATATTTTAGATCCCACATGTAAATGAGATCATGCAGCATTTGTCTTTCTGCATCTGGCTTATTCAACTCAGCATCATGTCCTCCAGGCCCATCCGTGTTGTTGCAAATGTCAGAATTTCCCTCTTTTCAAAGCCAAACAAAATACAGATGTATGTATACACATTTTCTTTATACATTCATCCATTTACAGTCATTAAATTATTTTACAAATCTACACTATTATTAATAATCTTGCAATGAACATGTCTTTGGCAAAGTAATTTTATTTCCTTTGCATATATAACAAGAAGTGGGATCACCAGATTATATGATAGCTTTATTTTTAACTTATCAAGTAACCAATCCTACCACAGGATATTTCCCTTTCCCCCACATTCTTGCCAACATTTGTCATCTGTTACATTTCTGATAATAGCCATATTAACTAGTGTGAGTTGATATTGCATTGTGCTTCTCATTTGAATTCCTCTGATAATTAGGAATGTTGAGAACTTTTTCGTTTTCTGTTTGCCATGCATGTATCTTCTGAAAAAAATTATCCAGGTTTTTGCCCTTTTTTATCAGTTCATTTGTTATTTGCTGTTGAGGTGTATGGGTTATTTATACATTTGGACAGAACTTCTTGTCAGATCCATAATTGCACATAGTTTTTCCTGTGCTTTGTTATTAAATTCAAAGAAATCAGTTCCGAATTAATGGCAGGAATTTTTTTTGCTCCATGTCATTTATGAGTTTATGGCTTCAGGTATTATGTCCATTTTTAGTTGATTTTTTTTTTTTTTGGGAGACGGAGTCTTGCTCTGTAGCCCAGGCTGGAGTGCAGTGGCGCGATCTCGGCTCACTGCAAGCTCCGCCTCCCGAGTTCACGCCATTCTCCTGCCTCAGCCTCCGAGTAGCTGGGACTACAGGCGCTGGCCACCGCGCCTAGCTAATTTTTTTTTGTATTTTTAGTAGAGACGGGGTTTCACTGTGGTCTCCATCTCCTGACCTCGTGATCCGCCCGCCTCGGCCTCCCAAAGTGCTGGGATTACAGGCGTGAGCCACCGCGCGCGGCCTATTAGTTGATTTTTTTATATGGAGTTAGAGAAGGCCTAATTTTATTTCTTTTGCATATGAATGCCAGTTTTACACCATTATTGAAAAGACTGTCCTTTCTCTACTGTGTGCTCTTGGCACACAAAATCAGGAGAGACATAATGACAAAAAAAATATGAGATCAATAGTCCTGATGAACATAGACCTGAAAGTCCTCAACAAAATACCATCAAATTGAATCCAGAAGCACTTTAAAATGTGATACATCATGGTCAGGTGGGCTTTACCCCTGGGATGCAAGGCTCGTTCAATATCCACAGTAACTCTGATTCACAATGTAAACAGAATAAAAGCAAAAAGCATATGATTATGTCAATAGATGCTGAGAAAGCTTCCGATAGGATCTAACATCTACTCATGATAAAAACCCTCAACAGACTAGACATCAAAGAAACATACTTCAGAATAAGAGCCATCTACAACAAACCCACAGTTAACATCATACTAAATGAGCCAATTAAAACACTTATCTTTATAAATGACCCAGTCTCGGGTGTTTCTTTACAGTGCGAGAATGGACTAAGACAGCATCCAAATAGGAAAGGAAGTCAATCCGTCCATCTTCACTGATGATATAATTCTATATCTAGAAAATCCTAAAAACTCTGCCAAAATAATTCTAGAATAAACAACTTTAGTAAAGTGTCAGGATACAAAATCAATGGACAAAAATTACCAGCATTTCTATAAGCCAACCACATCCGAGCTGAGAGTATAATCAAGAACACAATCCTATTCGACTTACAGTATCCACAAAGAAAATGAAATGCCCGGGAATACAGATAACAAAGTGAAAGATCCCTACAAGGAGAACTATGAAACACAGCATACATAAATCATAAATGATACAAATAAATGGGAAAACATTTCATGCTCATGGATTGGAAGAATCAATATTGTAAACATTGTCATAATGCCCAAAGGAATTCAGATTCAATGCTATTTACATAAAACTATCATCATCATTCTTCACAGAATCAGAAAAAAATCTATTCTAAAATTTATATGGAACCAAAAAAGACCCTGAATATCCAAAGCAATCCTAAGGAAAAAGAATAATGCCAGAGGCATCATGATACTGACCTTAAACTACACCATAACGTCTTGCTAACAAAAACAGCCTGTACTGGTACGAAAGCAGACCTGCAGGAAAAAAAATAGATCAAAATAGAAGACAGAAATAAAGTTGCACACCTGCAACCCTTTGATCTTTGACAAAGCTGACAAAAACAAGCAATGGAAAAAAAAAACTCTGTGTTCAGTAAATGGTTCTGGGATAACTGGATTCTGGCAGGTATGCAAAATGCAAGAGTGAAGGAGCCTGTGCAGCTTCTACCTAGATTTCAGATGTGTAGAGAGCCCTGCATGCCCAGGAAGAAGCCTGCTGCAGGAGTGGATCCACCACAGAAAGCCTCTACTAGAGCAGTGCCAAAGATGGGGAAAGATGGAGTTGGAGCCCCCATTCAGAGTCCCCACTAGGGCACTTCATAGTAAAGTTGTGGGAATGTGGCCACAACCCTCAAGACCCCAGAATGGTAGAGCTACGGGCAGCTTGCACCCTCAGCCTAGAAAAGCTTCCAGCACTTGACTCTCACTTGTGAAGGCAGCCCCGTGGTCTGTGCCTAGCAAACCTATAGGGATTGGCTGCCTGAGGTTTTGGGGACCCAATCCTTGTTCCAGTGTGCCCTGGTTGAAGTACATAAAGTCAAGAGAGATTATTTTGTAGCGTTAGGATTTAATATCTGCAGTGCTGGGTTTTATATGTGTGTGGGGCCTGTTGGTTGTTCCTTTGGCCAATTTATCCCTTTGGGATTGGAATTATTTACCCAATGCCTGCATCATCATTGCACCTTGGAAGTAAACAACTTTTATTTTTTAAATTTGCAAGCTCACAGCTGGAGGGACATTGCCTTAAGACTCAGATGAGACTTTGAAAATTTGAGTTGGACGTTGATGAAGTTAAGATTTTGGGCACTATTGAAAAAAGGTGATTATATTTTGCAATGTAAGAAGAATATGAGAACTTTGGGTCCGAGAGTGCAATGATATAATTTAGGGGTTTTCCCCTCCAAATATCATGGTGAAATGTGACCCACAATGTTGGAGGTGGGGCCAACTGGGTGGTTTGGGTCATGGGGAAAGATTTTTCAGGACTGGCTTGGCATCCACCCCATGGTAATTAGTGAATTCTTGCTGTATTAGCTACTGTGAGATCTGATTGTTCAAAAGAGTCTTGCAATCCTGCTACCCTCTCATGTAACCCCTCCTCACAATATGACACAGCCTTCTCCCCCTTTGCCTTCCACCATGACTGTAAGCTTCCTGAGGCCCTCACAAGAAGCAGATGCTGGTGCCATGCTTCTCACACAACCTGCAGATCTGTAAGCCAAATAAGCCTCTTGTCTTTGTAAATCACTTGGCCTCAGGTATTAATTTATAGCAGTGTAAAATAGACTAATACACTGCCCAAAGCAATATACAGAGTCCATGCAATTTCTATCAAGTAACTAATTAATTATGTATTTTTAAAAATCCTAAAATTTATATAGAACCGAAAAACACTCTGAATAGCAAAAGCAGTCCTAACCAAAACGAACAAAGCTGGAAGTACCACATTCCCTGACTTCAAATTACACAGCACAAAGATAATAAGAAAGGCAGCATGGTAGTGGTAGAAAAAAAATCAAGAGCCCAGATATATAGCCAAATATCTACAACCAACAGTTCTTTGACAAAACTGACAAAAATATACACTGGAGAAACAACCCTCTATTCAATAAGTAGTGCTGGGAGAATTAGATAGCCTTATGTAGAAGAATAAAATGAGACTTCTGTATCATCATAGACACAAATTAACTGTGAATATGGATTCAATGTTTATAAACTCATAAAAATACTTGAAAAAATCTAAAAATAATCCTCTGGACATTGGCCTAAGCAAATAAAATATGACTAAGACTTCAAAAGCAAATGCAATGAAAACAAAATTAGACAAACAGGATTAATTGAACCAAAGATCATCTACACATCAAAAGAAAGAACCAATATGGTGAACAGACAACCTGTGAATGGTAAAAAAAAAAAAATGTGCAGTCTATTCATCAAATATATAGAATCTACAAGTAACTCAAATAAGTCAACTAGAAATAACAACTTCATAAAAGAGTGAGCAAAAACGAGATATTTCTCAAAAGAAGACATACAAGTGTTCAACAGAAATAAAACATGCTCAGCATCACAAATCATCTGATAAATGTAAATTACAGACAACATGATATAGCATCTTCCACCAGTCAGAATGGCTATTAAAAATAAAACAGATGTTTGCAGAGAAGCATAGGAAAAATAATGCTTTTTATATGCTTGATGAGAATACAAATTGGTACAACCTCTATGAAAAACAATACAGAAATTTCTCAAAGAACTAAAATTAGAATTACCATTTGACCCAGTAACCCCTCCTGGTGGGTATGTTTCTCCCAAAAGGAAACTTCTATATAAGAAAAAGTCACCTGCATTCCTATTTTTATTGCAACACTATTTTCAATAGAAAAGTCAAGTAATCTCTCTAAGTGTCAATCAGTGGATGATTAAATAAAATATGATAGATGTAAATCATGGAATACTATGCAGCCATAAAAAATGAAATTGTGTCTTTCACAGCAACATGAATAGAGTTGAAGGACATTTCCTAAATAAAATAACTCAAATTCTCTTTTATAATTGGAAAGCAAACAATGGGTACACATGTACATAGAGAAAAACAATAGACACTGGGTACTGCAAAAGAAGGCAAGGTGAGAGGAAAGTGAGGGTTAAAAAATCAGCTATTGGCTCCAATGTTCACTATGGGGTAACAGTTACATCAGAAGCACAAACCTCACCTTTATGAAATATATTCATGTTACAACTCTGCACATGTGCACCCTGATTCTATGAAAATAAAAACAGAAAACATGAACAGAATTGTTAGACTGCTAGCTAGATTGACCAACAAACAAGAAAAATGCAAAAGTAGCAATTCTTTGTTTTGTAACCCTTTCTCATTTTCTGGTACCATAAGAAATTGTAGACTATCGTCCTATATTCTTTTCTGAAGTGCTACCATTAGCCATTTCTCAAAGAAATTCTGGTTCCTTTTTTCTTTTATTTTCTTTCATTTTTTTTAGACAGAGTCTGCAACGTCCACCTCCCAAGTTCAAGCGATTCTCCTGTCTCAGCCTCCCAAGTAGCTGGGATTACAGACGTGCAACACCACACCTGGCTAATTTTTGTATTTTTAGTAGAGATGAGGTTTTGCTATATTGGCCAGGCTGGTCTTGAACTCCTGACCTCAAATGATCTGCCCACCTCAGTCTCCTAAAGTGTTGGAATTATGGGTGTGAGCCACTGCACCCAGCCGCTGGTTCCTTTTACAGAAGAATAGTATTAAAAACTCATATCTTGATTCTTGATGTACTTTTTGTTAATTTCTTGTAGAACATCTCAAGTAATCAATACAGGAAGTATTTGTTGTGTATTAACCCATATATATATATACCCACATCTAAACGGTTTTTATTTATGTTCCTATATTATGCTAAACTTGCAAATCCACTGAGATACCCTAAGTTAATACCACATGAATGATTTTCACCTTCCTTCTATGCCTTTCCCTAACCTAGCACTCCAACCGTGGGGAACCCCCTCCCACCACACACCATCCATTCCCTTTGTAGTCCATTTCCAGGATTCCTGTAGAGTGGAACCCGATTGTGTAAGTTGTGCTCTTTTGTGGAACATCATCAAGTGGAGTCCAGTGCTGACGTGCAGTTTCTTTTTTCTTTAATCTTATGGACTACACTATTTCTGAACCTACTTAGTACCTCTTTTGATTTCATACATTAGTATAATGGCATAAGATATTTTCTATATAGTCTGCATTCCATCCTGGAATTCCTAATCACCTATTTTTTTAAAATTTCTTGTGGATTAAGATTGTATTAGTCAGTGTCCCCTAGAGGGACAGAACAAGTAAGATACACATACACACACACACACACACGGAGTTTATTAAGGAGTATTAACTCACACTATCACAAGGTCCACAATAAGCCATTTGCAAGCTGAGGAGCAAACAAGCCAGTCCAAGTCCCAAAGCTGAAGAACTTGGAATCCGATGTTTGAGATGAGGAAGCATCCAGCAGGGGAGAAAGATGTAGGCTGGAAGGCGAAGCCAGTCTAATCTTTTCATGTTCTTCTGTTTACTTTTTATTCTGGCCACACTTGCAGCTGATTAGATTGTGCCACCCAGATTAAGGGTGTATCTGCCTTTTTCAGCCCACTGGCTCAAAGGTTAATCTCCTTCGGCGACACCGACACAGACACACCCGGGATCAATACTCTGCATCCTTCAGTGAGATCAAGTTGGCACTCAGTATTTAGCATTACAAGTCCACCCTTTGTCAACTTGAACCCATACACATCTCCTGAGATTATACATAATCTTCAAATAAAGACAAGAATAAAGTCATAATTATGCCTAATAATACAATTATTCTTCTTACAACTGGAAACACACCAATCCCCAATCCAAATGGTACTACATATGCTCCACTCCCTCAAGGACACAGCCAGGATCATCTGATGACTTGGTGTCTAGATGGCTTCAGCACTTTTAATTTTACCTCCAATGTTAGACTCCACTTTATCAATGCAGATGTAGCAGAATATTTTAAGACATTGATATGCTGAAAAATTCAACAGTTCATAAAAGTTGCCTTCCCACCACAGCCAGTGGTTACTACTGAATAAGGACCTGCCATCCTCTAGGGAGAAGCTATAATGGATGGGGTGCACTGTTGGTGGTTATGGAAATCGATCCATCGTGGCAAATGGCAGCATCTTTCTTTGATAACATTATATTCTATTGTGCATATATACCACATTGTCTTTATTCATTTGTCTATCTACTGACAGATTTTTTCCATATGTTTGCTGTTATTAATAGTGTTTCAATAAACATAGGATGCAGATATCTTCACAAGGTGGTAATTTCATCTCCTTTGGATATACTCCCAGAAACAGGATTCCTGGTCATACAATATTTCTGGCTTTAATTCATTTAGGAGCCTTTATACTGCTTTCCATAATTGTGAAAATGTAGAATGGTATAGCCATTATGAAAAACAGTTTCAGTTTTGAGGTATGATCTGTAAACAAATAATGTTTGTTATGGCTCTCAATGAGAGTTTCTACTAAATATGATGGAAGGTCAGGAAGGTCTCTCACCTTAAAGCAGGGATGGATTATGCCTCTTATTTCCTAAAAGCAAAAGATTGGAAGCATGCATGATGGAGGTGGTTGGCAGGTTTCAGGATGATCTCATAAGAGGAGAATCTGTTGGATAAAACTGTTGGGTTTTCAGTCATAGACACACCTACACTCAATATGAAATGATGAAATCAAGTGAGGATCTAGAATGTGTTCGCTTGAAGCAACAGCATATTCTCAAAGGCACCTATTGCTCCATCACAAGGGTGATGAACTTTTGAAACCAGTAAAGTGTGAGAGCACAGTAAGTGATAAAGTTATCACATTTACATGAAGTTTGTTTAATGTGCCAAGGGCTCGCACAGATTAATCATAAATAAACACAATGTATTTTAGCATACATAGATGTCTAGAGAAGAATCTTCTTAGAGAAACTTCTTCAGGTTACAGAAATCTGTGTAAGTTGTAGATCTAATGGAGAAGTGTCTATGAATACTGGTCTGTTTTTGAAGTATGGAAAGATGATCTCTTTTGGAGTAGGCTTGCGATTGTGTTGATTTCTTAATTGTTTCTTGAGTTGTAACAAAAGAACCAAAAAAATGACTAACCGGAGTTTCATGGCTGTGTTGATAAAAATTTTTCATAAGCTTTCTGTCAATTATTTGAGACCAGATTTCCTGATTTTTTTCTCCAATAGATACATGTTCACAAGATCTCAGGAAACCACCTCTCAGGTGCTTTAGTTTAAAAGACTAGCTTCCTAGAAAAAGAAGATTCTGTCTAACCATGACAAGTTGGTTTCATCTGCAAACCATCAAGTTTGAGACCTCATTGTCAAGAATCATAAAAATTTTAACTCCAATGTACTGAAAATCATAAATCTCGAATTTAATGTTGATAGGCATTGACAAAATGGTTCATTCTTGGATGCGTCCTATGTTGCTGGCTCAACATATCAGTTAATTGAGAATCCTCACTTAGCTCCCTCTGTTTGTAGCACTGAGTTGATTGTCAATCTTCAGAGTCATCCGTTGAAGGAGAGTCCTGAGGTTCATGGGATTCTTGTAGACACTCAGGGGAACAAAAGAAAGAAACAGAATTGAGGGCTGCCAGCCATTTCCACATCACTAGGAATAATTACCATCTAAGTATAAAGGTCTGCATCATTCAGAACACCCTGCATGACAGGCTGATGCAAAAAATCCAACCCTACAGAGGCTCCACAGCAACCTTTACAGTTCTTTCCGGGAAGAAATAATCTCCAAGTTAAGTGAGTCAGTAAAGCTGCTCTGAGCTACAGTAAAAATTGGATTGGGCCCGATTTGTCTGAGTTCAGTGTAATTATTATACTCAGCTGCTGCCCCAATATAGACTGAGGATGGATAATTTAAATGAGCCTGGCTATGTGGTTTGTTATATATCTGAACTAAATAAACATAAAGGGCCTGTCTGGACTAGCGTGAGGGTGAGAGATCCTGGGAGCCCCAGCCCCCCATACTCTTATCTCCCTTCCTCCAGGAACCTCTAGGTTCTCAGGGTGAGAATCCACAAGATCCATTCATGGCTCTATTACCAGGAGACCAAAATCTCTGACCTTGTTCATACAGACAAACAGGCGAAGGACATTTTTAGATCCTTATCTATGTGGCGAAAGGCAATCTATCCCCATTACAAGCCTTACCAGCAACCTTCCTTTGTCATGAAAATGGGTAAAATTAGCCAATAGGATTACATTTAAGAAAATTTTCCTGTGATGTTCCAGCCAGAAAACAGCAAAAATCAGCTTCACACCTGGAGACTTCTTGCATCGGTCACAGCCCAGAGAAAGAAGATCACCATAGCATTAAAATGCAACTGTAAGAACATGTAATGCTTCCATGTTCCACGCATTACGTCTCACCAGTTTAGTCAATATGGATTAAATATGAGAGTGTGGCAATTCGCAAACTCTATCTGAGGAGGAAAATCGGATAAAAAATGTTATGAAAAATAAAGCAATTTGAAGCCTCTGACTTCAGCAACTTCACCACTAATGAAATGATGTAACCCTCATTGGCCTCAAATTTAGTTTTCACGGGGCATCTGCAGGGTTCCAAAGTGAGACCAGGTGAATTCAATGTGCATGCACTTCCCAAGTGTCCACTTGTATTCTGTTTCTTTACTTCTGTTTACAGAAAGTAGACACATATTCAGTCTTAGTACCAGTGTAGGGAGCGCTTTCCATGAGATGGATACCAGAAAAAAATGGCAAACATGGGATCCGTTAATATAAAAATTAGCCACGATGTATATATATATATGTGTGTGTGTGTGTGTGTGTGTGTACACACGCGCGCGCATGTGTGAGTTGAATAGCAGAGTTGGAGTGGGTTTCTATCCACATGTACCTGCACCTGCAGGTATTCTCAGGTGCCATAATCAACTGTAGGACCCTAAAGGAAATAAGAGTCTCCCCTCAACCCCTGAAGAGTGTTTGGGTTCACCGTGTGTCCAATGATTCTGTGCCTCTTGAGCTCCAGGAAAGGGCTCCCTGGTGATGCATGAGATCTTTTCTTGGAGTCTCTCTGCAGAGTTCACTGGGTTTCCTAAAGGCAATTCACTATTTCAAAAGATGGTGTGAGGAGCATGTGGTGTCCCTAAAGGAGAATTCTGAGCCAGGGCACAACCACTTTATACTGAGCTGGATACACTGGTAGGAATATACTCTGTCAGCTCAGATAGAAACCTCCCTGCATGGTTGGGGCTGGGCTGCAGGGGGCGCTCCGGATACACCCAGCACAGGCTCCCGCCCCAGAGCAGGTGCACAGGAGGCTGGGGAGAGGTTCCTCCCAGGGCCTGGGACTTCCTTTAAAAATATCTAAAATAAGTATTTCACAAAGACTGCTGAAGTTTGTATAAATATCTATTCAATTGTGAGCATTTATCAAACTGGATGTTGTAATGAGAACCACTTTTACAATGGGGATTTCAAACTCTGCTGGAGGTCAGGAAGAGATCCTTTCTTATAAATAAATGCAATTTTTGGATAAACACAGTCATTCCCTAAATAACGCATTCACATATTATGGTCTAGAAATGATGCAAGTTGACCCTGAGACAGTCAAATGTGGTTTCAAAGTGAGGTGCTGTCCTTGAGGAGCTTGTTCTCCAGTGGGGGAAGCTCTGTCAACACAGAGTTCAGGGATGTGTAGGGGACACATGGCCTCTAACAGGATTACGGCTTGAACCCTCAGCTTCTACAGTTGTGTCACCCATGTGTCTGTTTCTCATACTGGGTCAGGAATTGGGCTATTAAATAGCATCCTTCATGAATATGCAATTAACTGAGGTGACTATAGTATCTCCGTTCCCTGAGAGCCTCACCCAACAACCACACCCCTCCTCTGGAGAAGCCCCTAGATCACAGCTCCTCACCATGGACTGGACCTGAAGGATCCTCTTCTTGATGGCAGCAGCAACAGGTAAGGGGCTCCCCAGTCTCAGGGCTGAGGAAGAAACCAGGCCAGTCATGTGAGACTTCACCCACTCTTGTGTCCACTCCACAGGTGCCCACTCCCTGCAGCTGGTGCAGTCTGGGCCTGAGGTGAAGAAGCCTGGGGCCTCAGTGAAGGTCTCCTATAAGTCTTCTGGTTACACCTTCACCATCTATGGTATGAATTGGGTATGATAGACCCCTGGACAGGGCTTTGAGTGGATGTGATGGATCATCACCTACACTGGGAACCCAACGTATACCCACGGCTTCACAGGATGGTTTGTCTTCTCCATGGACACGTCTGTCAGCACGGCGTGTCTTCAGATCAGCAGCCTAAAGGCTGAGGACACGGCCGAGTATTACTGTGCGAAGTACACAGTGTGGAAACCCACATCCCGAGAGTTTCAGAAAGCCTGAGGAAGGAGGCAGCTGTGCTGAGCTGAGGCAGTGGTACAGCAGTTTTCTGAACTTCCATAGTATCTCATTTTGCATTGAGTTCCGCTTTAATATTAGCCAAGAATATGGGATAGACGGGTGCTCCTAAGAGATCCTTAACTTGCCCATTTTGATGGGTTTTCCCAAAGACGTGAGAAGCCACTTTTTTCGCAAAGCATCCCAAAGCCATGCCCTGCTCCAGAAACACGTGTATCCATTTCCTGGTCTTTGATTAACTGACAAACTCTCATCAGCGCACCTGGGCTAATTTCACATCAGGTAGAAATATGTGCTTTAAAGCAAGGCTAACGTTGTAATAGCAATTCCTGCTTAATAACCTTCAGCATTGTTGTTGTGTGCTCCATCAACTAATTACGTTAGTTCAAGGTTCTCAATGGGAGTTTCTAATAAATATAAGGGATGTATAGAAGTTCCCCTAATTAAAACAATTGTGAAGACAACCTCAGTGTTCAACCATATTTCAACCCTTCACCACAAAGGAACTTTCATCTCTCCTGGAAGTTGGGTTCATTTTCAAATTAGTTTTTTTATTTTAATATCTCAAGATTATTGTATGTGACTATTTTAGCAGAAAGTGAATTATGGGAACTTGAACTAACCAACTGAAAATACATTCAGAACTAATTAAACAAGATGCCAGAATGTGATTGGCTCCAGGCATTTTAAATTCAACAGGTTATGTAACCAGGCTTTAAATTTGCACATCTTCGTGTTACCTTCATGACACAGTCAACTCCCATTATGTAAGAAATGGTGAGTGCATTCCCAAGGGTCTTGCACAGTTATAAAAATAGACTTGATGAGGTGAGGAGTTGTTTAAATTCCCCTCTGAAGAAGCAGCATCAACCCAACAAACCACTCTCTTCCCTCTGTGACTAGAGCTCTGTCACAGGCCACATGGACCTAAATCCTTGATGGAGATTACAGGACTACGTAAATTGGACTGATCGTTTTTATGCTGTTAAATTAATAGGTGAGTCTGCACTCCAGCCTGGGCAACAGAATAATCTTGTCTGTAAAATACAAAAGAAAGATAAATTAATAGATACTGACTTTGACATTTCGGATAATAATATTTTCATAAACCGAATTTAATTATACCCACATTGTTACCTACACCTTCACTGAAAAGTTCCTAGTTATGTTGAGTTCCATCAACACTCCACATGTTCAAATCTGGACATCCAAGAGAGTCTAGAGAATAAAACGCAATGAGGGCAGTGAAACTTGCGTATATTCAGCACCTCTTAACTCAGGAGGACTCAATACACCCTGGAACACTCTGCTTTTCTGAATGGCTCACAATGACTCCAGCTCACTCTCCAACCTCCTCAAACATCTGGCCTCTGTTTGCCCTAAGTTCACGCTCTGCTCTTAGTCTATGTTCTGAAGTCTTTGTAGAGGTGAAAATGAGCTGTCAGATGGATCTTCCTTCTCACTGCAACATGGAATTTGCTATTTCACTTAATGACCACTCTTTCCACAATGGTTGATTTCTTTTGGCCTGTTCATTACTGGTGATTTTCAAGGGAATCTCAGTTGAATCTTTACTGTTTTGCATTTTGTCTCCATGACAATGTTGGGAAGTTTTTCTTCTAGCAGCATAACATGATCTAGTGACCTGACACATTTGCAGCAAACAATACCTACAAATTCAGAAGCTCTTTGGTTTTCTTTCCACGAAATATAATTCTTGCTCTTCTGTGTATGAGCACATCCTAGCATCCCTGTACACACCCACGTAGATGTCTACACGCCGATGAAATATTCCCTGTAAATAAAAAAAGTATCTCAGTTTCTCTCAATGTTCATAATTCTCCTGAGGGTGAGGAAGGTACTTCTGGGTCTGCTCAAACAAATGGCCCAGAGACCACCTGGTAGGTAGGTAAGGAGCTCACCTCGCTCTGGATATTGAGTCTGTCTCTTTCCCTCTGTCGTCTCATAGAAGGCCAGCCCACTTGTTCAGCTCCTAAGAAGAGAGCCCAGGTTTATCCAGATTATACAACACAACCAGCTTCTGATGACTCTCCTGTTACAACATCCATGGAGATATTTTGTGTATTATATAATTCACCAAACTAATGTGAAATGCCCAAGTTGCAATACTGCACACCCTAGGGTATGTTCTTGCAATTCAGCGGAGGAGAAATTCTTTCAGAGACAGATGGATCTGAATTGGTAAATATGTGGGTACGAATTCTGGGCTTGAGTGTCATTGTCCAGCCATGTTTCACAGGTGTGACCTGTCAGGGAAGAACCAGAGTTCCTTGTTCTCTCAGAGGGTAGAGCTCACAGAGGTCCTCTCTGGTTCCCAGGAAAGGTAATTTCACTAATCTTGGTGATGAGACTATCCTCCAGTGCTGATGTACTATAGAGTTTTCATCTGAAGCTGTCACTGCTATCCCCAATGTACATCTTTTCACACAGAAATGTTTAGAGGTCAGGCCATATTCTCAGGGTTACACATTGAGAAGGATGGAGATATATTCTACTACCTTCTCCTGAGATCTCACACACAATCTCAAATTTCAAAAGGTCTCAGAAGGGCAGCTCTCAGGTACTATTTAAAAATAACCCACTTCCTGGGACAGGTAGCATCCTTCTAACCATGATGGATGTTCTGAACTACAGTACACATTGCATGGATCCAGGTTTGTCTCAATTCACTGTGATTATTACACTCAGCAGCTGTTTCAATATGTCTGAAGGGGTAAATGACAATTTAGGTGACCTGGGTGTATGGTTGGTGTTATATGAATCTTTAAATGTAGAACAGTATTAACTGTATTCCAAAATCTGTCTTTGATCCATGATCACACTTGTCTCCCAGACCAGCTCCTTCAGCACATTTCCTACCTGGAAGAAGAGGACTCTGGGTTTGGTGAGGGGAGGCCACAGGAAGAGAACTGAGTTCTCAGAGGGCACAGCCAGCATACACCTCCCAGGGTGAGCCCAAAAGACTGGGGCCTCCCTCATCCCTTTTTACCTATCCATACAAAGGCACCACCCACATGCAAATCCTCACTTAGGCACCCACAGGAAATGACTACACATTTCCTTAAATTCAGGGTCCAGCTCACATGGGAAGTGCTTTCTGAGAGTCATGGACCTCCTGCACAAGAACATGAAACACCTGTGGTTCTTCCTCCTCCTGGTGGCAGCTCCCAGATGTGAGTGTCTCAGGAATGCGGATATGAAGATATGAGATGCTGCCTCTGATCCCAGGGCTCACTGTGGGTTTCTCTGTTCACAGGGGTCCTGTCCCAGGTGCAGCTACAGCAGTGGGGCGCAGGACTGTTGAAGCCTTCGGAGACCCTGTCCCTCACCTGCGCTGTCTATGGTGGGTCCTTCAGTGGTTACTACTGGAGCTGGATCCGCCAGCCCCCAGGGAAGGGGCTGGAGTGGATTGGGGAAATCAATCATAGTGGAAGCACCAACTACAACCCGTCCCTCAAGAGTCGAGTCACCATATCAGTAGACACGTCCAAGAACCAGTTCTCCCTGAAGCTGAGCTCTGTGACCGCCGCGGACACGGCTGTGTATTACTGTGCGAGAGGCACAGTGAGGGGAGGTGAGTGTGAGCCCAGACAAAAACCTCCCTGCAGGTAGGCAGAGGGGGCGGGCGCAGGTACTGCTCAAGACCAGCAGGTGGCGCGCGGCGCCCACAGATCCCGAGGCCGGGTCCGGAGCAGGTGCAAGGAGGGCGGGGCTTCCTCAACAGCTCAGTGGTCTGTCTCCTCGCCAGCACCTCAGATGTCCCCAGGACTCTCTTTCTTTATTATCTGTGGTTCTGCTTCCTCACATCCTTGTGGCAGGGAAGAAAGGAGGAAGACAATTTTTCTGTTTACTGTTGAGGTTTCACCAATTACTAGAAACTTTCCTACAAGTTCCTGCATGACTCATTTTGCCATATATGGATTCTCACCATCTCTTGATTTGTTTCATCAATCGAATTGTGCCCTATTTGAAATTAACTTACTGAAACCTTAAATCCAATGGATCTATACTGGAATTTTAATGATGTAATTGAGGTTAAATGTGGTCAAAGTGTGAGACCCTAATGCAATAAACCGTTGTCTTTATAAGAAGAGGAAGAGACACCAGAGACCTCTCACTTTTCACGTGCACACAGAGAAGAGGCCATGTGGAGACGTAGTGCACTAGAAGGTGGCCCTGTGCAAGCCAGGAAGAAGCCATACTAAGAACCAATTTTGCCAGCTCCTTGATCTTCGACATTCAGACTGTAGAATTGTAAGAAAATCAATATTTGTTGTTTAAGCCACCCAATCCTGTTGTCTTCTTACGAAGACCCAAACTGACTAATACCACCTAACTCTGTTAGCTCTGTCTCCTGGAGGGAGAAGCAGCCCCCTGAGGCTGGGCACTGCATCTCTCAGATTTCCACGTGAAGTAGGCAAAAATAGTAGTTCTCATATAAAAATGTGTCATGGCTCTGTTGGCCATTTTTGAGCATGGTCTCTGAAACCAGCCCTGGTGTGTGTGTGTAACAAATGTCCCTTATCTTTTATTTGGACATAACAAATAGACGATAGGTACCAGCTGGATGGAGATTGGCCACTGATCATCTTCTGTTCTCCTTAGTATGTCACAGAAAACCACACCAACATCACCAGCATCACTGTTTTTCTTCTACCACCTCAAACGGACTACAGAAATGATCCCTGCAGTATGGTCTATTTCTTCGGCTTTCGAAATTTGCACTGAATCTCTTCCTAAATGGGGAGCTACATGGGGTCTGAGTTTTGTTCCTTTCTTCCCAGTCTTCCCCAAGTACCAAGGACAGAATAGACTTAAAATTTGGCCATCAATGCCCCCAAACACCACATCACTTTCTAAAATCCACATCCTGCATCCATCCTTCTCTGGACACCCCTCATCAGGCTACCCAGGAATGGCCAGAATCTGGTATCAGCTTATGGGCTGAGGCCACGAGTTATACACATGTGTGATTTCAGTCACACACACTCTACTTCAGGACCACACCTGTGTTCTGAGGAGCTCAGGCACCTGCTGATCTCAGTAATTCTCTAATAAATCACACACCTCTTATTAATAAAGGTCCAGATGGCCCCATCAGCTGCAGAGCAGTGGAGTAAAGCTCATGGGTGGGTCCATCAGGCAGAAGTCAGACAATGGAAGGGATGGCTGGTCACTTCCATTTTCACTGATGTTCGCAATGAATTTTAATGGAATAAAACAATATTAACTACAAAGAGACAGAAAAGAAGACTGGCTCGTCAAGATATTTAAGGACAAGGAACTTTATTTGGGGGGAAAGTGAAAGACACTTCTAAATGGAAATCCCTAAAGCACATACAGCAGCTGACAGAGTGGCCACTGTGCACATGAGGGCTGAGGAGATGGATGGTAGAGTCCATTCCTGCAACATGTCTCTGGGTGTGTGATGGTTAGACTCCTCATGCATATGAATATAAGAGCTGGACTCATGGAGAAAAAAAGGGCCATATCCCATAGGAAAGGAAGAAAAAAAAACAGATGGGCACCCCTGGAGAGAGCTCATTAGATTTGGTGTGTTTAAGATGAAAATTTCTTCCAAAAATTGTAATGTTCTAAGCTAAATATGAATCTCTTCAATAAACTGAGAATAGGAGAATGGAGCTAGGACTTGAGAGAGGAAACAAATCTTGAGAGAGCAGAAAGCAAATCCACAAAAACTGTCACATGACAGAGGTCAGAATGGAGCTGATGTAGCTACTTCACTATTCTGCAGACTTATTGACCATGTGGAGAAGGGGCTTGAACAAATGGAGACGTTCTCCAACCTTCTGAATCAGCCTCCTTCTTATGCATGAGTAGAAATCATAGTTCTGGGGGTGACCTTCCCAATTTTCCTGTCCATACCTCTTCCCCCAGGGGTAGAGTGTCTTCCCAACCACAATGGTTTCTCACCAGTGTTCTCAGCTTCTCCTCCATTGTACTTACCCTGCAGATTAAGAATTTCTTCTAGATGGAGTTCTTTGGGAATTTTCTGTTTTCTTTAGTTTCTGTTGACTCCACCACACCCCCATAGGATACAGGTTTTATTGGATTTCCCCTGGAAATAGTGGGGGTGGATCCAGGCGTTCAACAGTCCTCGCTGTTCTTCCCTTCCTGTCAGCACCACAGGACAGCAGATAAGGGAGTTGACTGTGGATTTTTCAAATTCCTGGGAAAAGCCTGCAAGGACTAGTAGATTCACACTCTAATACCATTAGCACATGTATCCAAAAAGAAACCTCACTAAATATTTCCAGGTTAGCCTGTTCCTCTCTCAGTGCCATCCAGTGGCACCTGCCCTGGGTTCACGAACATGTGGGCCCCAGTCCTCTCTGCTGGCATCTCTCTCCTCACATTTCAGTCTTCTCGTTAGCTCTGTGAAAGCAGCTCAGATATGTTAAAAGGTTTTCTTCTTCATTTATTCAGTTTTTCAGGTTTACTGTTAAGGAGGTCAGAATAAGATCATAGTTTCCTCATTTTTCACATTTGCACGCTGAGTAGCCACTTTCTATATAAAAGCCAGAAACTAAGGGAACAAATCAAATATCCATATCCACTACAGGTGAACGTTAAAAAATTTGACATATGATTATGGACTAAAGTACAATGCAGAATTAGAATCAAGGCATCCTCATTCTCATAAAAGCATGTCTACATTCTCAAATAACTCTGCTGAGTGAAAGTAGCTGAAGAATTAAGAGTGCACTTCATAAACTTCTAATTGTATAAACTGCAGAAGGTACAACTATTCTAAAGTAACAGAGCAGATTTGAAATTTGGGAGAAATGGGTGTTGAAAGTAATTGGGTGGTGAGATGAAATTACAGAGAAGTGACAGAAAGATTTAGGGGTTAACTTAATTGTACACAACCTGATTAAAGTTTGCACACATACGTTACCATTTTCCAAATGGTGCAGTGTAGATTTGAATTAATTATTAATTGTACTTAAAGCAGTAACAAAGAAACAAATGAATATGTTGGTTGAGGAGGAGCAAAAAATAGATGGGTATGAACACTCAAAACATCTCAGACTCTTGAAAGTACACATGCTTGAACACTGGTTTTCTCTGTATACTTTAGGTAAAGAGCAGAATACATTAAAAGAAAACAGAGATGTCCTGGCGGGGGTGGAATCCTGCAAACCTCACTAGGCGTGTCCCACACTGCCCTGGAGTTGTCTCAGGGGAGCAGTCTCCTCTAGTGGTCAGAGACACAGGCATGGATAATGGGGCTAATACTGTCCAGCTGTGTGACCTTGAACACATTGTATAAACACTGTTCCATATGTAATTTATCTTCCTTAAAATGTAACATTGACACTTGCATTAAATGTATTCTACAAATATGTCAAAAAGAAGATGACGACTGCTAAATGATTATCAAGGCACAATCATATAATATAATGATATTTTCCTGAGTGATAAGATGACTACCAATCTCCCCCAGGGCACTTTGTCTGCTCTGAGCCCTGCGCCTCCTCAGGATTCCCATCCCAGAGCTTGCTATACAGTAGGAGACATGCAAATAGGTTTCTCCCTCTGCTGATGAAAACCAGCCCAGTCCTGACCCCACAGCTCTGGGAGAGAAGCGCCAGCCCTGGGATTCCCAGGGGTTTCTATTTGGTGATCAGGACTAAAGACAGAGGACCCACCATGGAGCTTGGGCTGAGCTGGGTTTTCACTGTTGCTGTTTTAAAAGGTGAACTAGAGAGATTGAGCGTGAGTGGATACCCTTGAGAGAAATGGTGGATTATGTCTGGGAGTTTCTGACCAGGATGTCTACGAGTTTGCAGGTGTCTAGTGAGAGGTACAGCTCGTGGAGTCCGGAGAGGACCCAAGACAACCTGGGGGATCCTTGAGACTCTCCTGTGCAGACTCTGGATTAACCTTCAGTAGCTACTGAATGAGCTCGGTTTCCCAGGCTCCAGGGAAGGGGCTGGAGTGAGTAGTAGATATACAGTGTGATGGAAGTCAGATATGTTATGCCCAATCTGTGAAGAGCAAATTCACCATCTCCAAAGAAAATGCCAAGAACTCACTGTATTTGCAAATGAACAGTCTGAGAGCAGAGGGCACAGCTGTGTGTTACTGTATGTGAGGCACCAGGTAAGAGGACATCAGTGTGAACACAGACACAGTTTCCTGCAATGACAAGGGAGGAGGCTGGGCTAAAAGGGGCACTCAGGACCCACTGAAAACGGGCAGCTCTAGGGCAGGTACAGATGGTTATCATGGGCTGCTTTCCTTCAGGGTCTGTGGCCTCCTCTGCATCTACCAGTTCCCCTCGGAGCCTCTGGACATTTATGTTTCTGTGGCCACCCCTGACATCTCTGGATTAGAAAAGTTTATTATAGGAAGAGGAAACATTCTCATTTGTCCCAAAGCAGATGTAAGTAATGGAAGCAAAAAATGCACAGGAGGCCAGGCGGGGCTGTAGATACTGTCACCCCAGAATGTCAATCTCACCACTAGTACTGGAGAGGGAAGGGAGTTTGATGGACCTTCCCTAACAACCCTGTGGTCCAAGATAAGTCCAGGAAGACCATTGGTGCCTCCCAGAGCACAGTTGTCCATCAGGGATGTCCAATGCGTCCCAGCAGCAGCCATGCCTCAGTGTCTCCACTGTGCACAGCCACTGTCTGGGAGGAGCTCCCAGGATGGGTGTCTTTGGCACACACCAGGTGGCGGGTGTTAGAGTGCAGTGCAGCAGCTGGCTGCCTGTTCTATTGGGCTCCCTGATGCTGGAGAGATGGGAGGTGCATTCGCAGGGCCAGCACCCTGTTTGTGAATTTTTATATAAAAACCCTGATTTTACTTCATTTTTGCAGATGACATAGATAACTAAAAACAGAATCTGCAAAGAAATTGTAATTTTCAACTTTACCCCAAATTCATTGTTTCTTAATTCTGTGCAAGATCCAGACATATTATTGCCTTCCTCATGATAATTTATTCTATGTAAAACCGAAATCATTTTTTCTCCTACTCTTTGTTTCTGTTCAAGTACAGAGATCTTGAGCAAAGTAAGTTGGGTTCTTTCCACACACTAACCCTCACCTTCCCCAGAGAATGAGCAGAGATTGTCCTCAGTCTGAGTCTAAGGGAGGAGCTGTTTCTGCACAACTCAGAGCCTGCAGAGACCCCCAGGTGCAGCTTCAGTGAGTCAGACATTTCTCCATGTGGGCGACCTCCAGTGCCTGTGACTGCTGCTCAGGCCTAATTGTTGGTTAAGTATTACGACACCCTTTAGGTGATCACATCTCAAGCCTATTCTGAAAATCACCATGAACAGAGATAGTTCAATGGCCATTCTCCTGACATAAGTTTCTCTTTATTACTTGGTTCCAAGTATGGAGAAAAATGTGACCCTATATTTGTCTGAATCCAACATCAGCATCCACGGCATTACGCTAGGAGACTCACTAATTGAGCACAAGTGAGCTCGTTATTCTCATAGAAATGTAAGTATTTGGAAATTTCAGCGTGTTCTCCAGAACCTGTGGCTGCCAACAACTGTATTTCTCGGTGCACTCTTGGCCTGGTGAAGCCTTCACAGAACCTCTCCCTCACCTGTGCCATCTCTGCATTCTCCATCACAACCAGTGTTTCCTTCTGGAGCTGCATCCATCAGCGCCCCCATGGGAGGTACTGGAGTGGATCGGGTGCATAGGTCATGGAGGGAGCACAGATTACTCCCCTCTTCTCAAGAGTCCAGTCACCATCTCCAGATCCATGTCCAAAAAGTACTTCTTCTTACAGGTGAACTATGTGAGCAACAAACACATAGCCATGTATTTTAGAGCAAAAGACACAGTGAGGAAACCACAGTGTGAACTCATACCCAAGCCTCCCTGTGGGGGTGCATAGGACAGCCAGGGTTACTCAGGACACCAGGCTCCCTCAGGACACCAAGGGGCACTCAAGACCATTGTAGAGGCATGCAGGTAGCTGGGGGCTCTCAGGAACCATGGGGGAAAATCAGGACACCAAAGGGTGCTTGGTACAGCAGGGGGCTCAGGATTATTGTGGGGATTCAGAAAGAGCAGGTTCAAGGCTCAACCTCAGGGCATGTGCAGCTGGTGTGAAAAGGGGCTGGATGAGGCGTTTTGTGTCACCATCATGTTTCACCACCAGACACCCTCCACTACCTCTATTCTAATGCATGTGTTTGTATGATTAGAAAATGATATTGATATAAATATATAACCATAGCTAGGTGTGTCAAGTTGTCCTCTCCATCTTATATCAGCCTTGTCTGTAAGGACTAATTCCCCATAATTACTTGAGAACCTCATAAATTGTGGTCAATTATGTAGGATTCCTCTCTTTTTCTGCCTTCCTTCCTCCCTCCTTCTCTCTCTCACACAGAAACTTATATACAGCCACCCCACAACACACATAAATCTATAACTTTTATTACCTGATGTATTGATAAGTAATCTAAAGTTACATAAAAATCAGTAGTTCACTGTCAATATTGTAGGAGAAGGGAAGGTCTAGGAAGGAGGAATTACAGAACAAGAGGATATTTTGAGGGTAATTGACTTGTTATCTATGTGGATAATGATAATGTCTATGACCATATTTGTAAAATTGAACACTTCGTGTGGAGACTATTATTTTTTTATTTAACCCCATGCCATTATTTTGCCGTATTCTAGCATTTCTCTAAAAATACAGAAATGTTCAGCACTCATTCATGTGTATATTCAGGAGTTTCTGACTTTTCATGTATTTTATTTATCTCTGTCTAATTGCTTTGATACCAAATTTTACCTAGTATAATTAGTACTACCTTTAGCACTGATTATAAGTCTCACTCCTCCATCATCTCCTTTTTTGCCACACAAGCTGAATCTAGTTTGGACTCATAGGAGCTGCTTCATTCAATGCCAGTGGGAGTTTCAAACCCTATCAACCCCCCTATAAACTGTCATTAAGAAAGTTTATCAAACTCCACCAGTCATGTGATATTAGTTCGTTTTCACAGTGGTATAAAGAACTACCTGAGACGAGGAGTTTACAAAGAAAAGAGGTTTAGTTGACTCACAGTTCTGCATGGCTGGGGAGGCCACAGGAAACTTATAATCATGGTGGAAGGTGAAGGCGAAGCACGGCACATCACACAGCGCAGCAGGAGAGAGAGGGGGAAGTGACACATAGTTTTAAACTATCAGCTCTTGTGAGAACTCACTCACTATGATGAGAACAACATGGGAAAACTGCCCTCATGATCCAATAACCTCTCACCTGGTCCCTCCCTTGACATGTGGGGATTAGAATTTGAGATGATATTTAGGTGGGGACACAAAACAAATCTATAGCACATGTCCAGCTGTGTCCTGGAGTTGTTTCAGGGATCCAGTGTGTACTGTTGATAGAAACAGTGATCATCATTCTAGCCGGTGTGAGATGGTATCTCCTTGTGGTTTAGATTTGCATTTCTCTGATGGCCAGTGATGATGAGAATTTTTTCATGTGTCTTTTGGCTGCATAAATGTCTTCTTTTGAGAAGCGTCTGTGAAAAAAAAAAAGAAACAGTGACACCAAGCTCACACCATCCGTTGTAGTTGACAACATGCAAAGCCAAGAGATCTCAACTGAGATTTAGTGTGTGTGTCATGTCTGATGAAGTCATAAGCTCAGAGCAAGTGAATATGGAAAAGTGTATTATCTGCACAGTGTAGGTGTCTGCTGAGTGCAGGGCAGGTCTCGCAGGAAAATCTAAAATGGCTTGAAAGAAGAGGAAAGGAGACTGGCTCAGGGTTTTTATAATGGTTTAGTGGTGGTGGCACAGTGAGGCTTCCCACTCACAGATCGGGGTTTATAAGGTTTGAAACTCCCACTGCCATTGAATGAAGAAGCTCCTGTGAGTCCAAACTAGATTCACCTTGTGTGGCAAAAAAGGAGATGATGGAGGAGTGAGCCTTAAGTAATCAACAGGCATGCACCAAAAGATAGAGCGACAACTTATTCTAGGTAGCAAGAATAAAAATAATGAAAAAGAAATAAGGGTTCAGTATGGGTGGACAAGACCCAGATCTACAGAAATGAGATGACTTTAGAAATATAAGGAAATAATAATGAGAAAAAGAAGGAGGGGATGGGGAATTAGGGTCCTGGCCTAATGTCTTGGGTAGAAGCTTCTCACAATCAAGGACTATCAGCTTATTCTGCAGGTCTTGGGTCACACGTCTGCTTAAAAACATCAGAAATGCCAGGCAATCAATGAGGATGCTCAGTTTAGCATCTCCTATTTGAGTAGATTTACAGTTGTGTGGAATTCTTAATTGATTCTTTTTGGTTTGTTTTTAGAGGCAGGCTCTCACACTGTTCCACAGCTTAAAGTACAGTTGTGTGATCATAGCTCACTGTAATTTTGAGCTCCGGACTCACGTAATCTTCCTGTATTAGCCTCCTGAATATCTAGAATTAGAGGGGAACGCCACCCCTCACCTGCTTATTCTTTAAAATATTTTTTCATAGAAATAGCATCTCTTTATGTTGCCCAGGTTGGCTTCGATTTCCTGGTCTCATGTGATTTCCCTCACTTTGCTTCTGAAAGTGGTGTGATTATAGGGAAGATCCACTGCATCTGTCCTGAATTGATTCTTCAGTTGTAAAACATGAAGCCAATAATTAACTGCCTGACTGTTTTGTGCAGTGAGTTAGTTAAAAGTTTCTGATAAGATTCCTTCCAATATGATTCAAGAGCAGTATTTTCTGCTGATGTTCCTTTCAGTTTCCTTGTTGAAGATCAGAAGACACTGCGGAAAAGATGTAGTAAAAAGGCAGTTTTAACTCTTCATGATTGGAGTGGATATCACATAGGAATCCCTTTCCGTATTTTGTAACACATGCATGCAATAGAACAAAGATGATCCCTTGGTGTAAAATCTATAAACGTATGGGCCTTTTAGCTACCAAGTCATAGGGTAATAACTGATGGACCCTGAGGAGTGAACCATGATTCCATAGTGCTAGTGGGAGAACCCTTGGCCAAGGAAGTTTACATTTTATTAAAATTGATAATTTTTATGTAGCGATGCCATTTTTTAAACATTCCCAGAAGGTTGTGAGTGGGATTGACTCTGTCTTCTGTGAACAATGACAGTGCCCTCCATGGTTAGATAATATTTTAAACTAGATTGAGCTAGAGTGGTTTCTGTATTGAATCACTATATTTTTTTAGCTTCATGTTAGCTTTTTGTGTGTTAGCATTTGCTTTAAAATGATATTAATCAGCCCTCTAGTAGGTAGAAATTCATCTGAGGGTTTCTTCCCTTGTTGTCCATCTCAATAGGATTTCCAGAAGACGTAAGAACCCTCTCTGTTTCTAAAAATATTCCAGGCTGGGCGCTGTGGCTCATGCCTGTAAACCTAGCACTTTGGGAGGCCGAGGTGGGTGGACCCCTCGAGGTTGGGAGTTTGAGACCAGCCTGGTCAGTATGGTGAAACCTCATCTCTACTAAAAATACAAAAATTCGCCGGGCATGGTGGTGTACACTCGTAATCCCAGCTACTTGAGAGGCTGAGGTGAGAGGATTGCTTGAACCCTGGAGGCGGGGGTTGCAGTGAGCCGAGATTGTGCCACTGCACTTCAGCCTGGGCGACACAGCGAGACTCCGTCTCAAACAAAACGACACAAAAAATTCCAAAGTTGTGCACCCTCTAAAAGCATATGTACTTAATTCTCATTTTTAATTTATTAAACATCTCTAATAAGTTCAATGTTTCCTGCCTTCTGAGTTGATTTCCTAACACATAGAAGAATATATCCTAAATGAAAGTTTGTGTTCTTAATACAAATTACTAGTTAATAACCTTTACTTTTATTATTGAGGTATTATACATCAATGTTAATCAATCCTCTCAATGGGACTCTTACCTAAAGAATATATAAAATATTTTCCTGATCATGACATATAATAGATGTGAACACATTCTTAGCATTCAGCCATGTCTCTTGTCTATTAATATTATAAACCACATGCTAACTTTGATTTTATTGGTAATTGTTCTAATTTCTTTTTTTTCCCACTTCTCTGGTTGTTTTTTTTTTAACTTTAAGTTTTAGGGTACATGTGCACAATGTGCAGGTTAGTTACATATGTATACATGTGCCATGTTGGTGTGCTGCACCCATTAACTCGTCATTTAACATTAGGTATATCTCCTAAAGCTATCCCTCCCCCCTCCCCCCACCCCACAACAGGCCCCAGTGTGTGATGTTCCCCTTCCTGTGTCCATGTGTTCTCATTGTTCAATTCCCACCTAGGAGTGAGAACATGTGTTGTTTGGTTTTTTGTCCTTGCGATAGTTTGCTGAGAATGATGGTTTCCAGCTTCATCCATGTCCCTACAAAGGACATGAACTCATCATTTTTTATGGCTGCATAGGATTCCATGATGCATATGTGCCACATTTTCTTAATCCAGTGTATCATTGTTGGACATTTGGGTTGGTTCCAAGTCTTTGCTATTGTGAATAGGGAATTGTTCTAATTTCAAACTAGTTAATTTTTATCTTCATGCAGCTAGATTATTATGTGTGGCTATTTATTCCGAGAGGGATAAAGACAACATTAACAATTTTCACTGCAGGCATGTCTAGGCAACTCCCTGTGCACTATGACCCTGGGGCGTTGGAGATTCTATGGGGACTCTTCCCTACCTGCCTAGGAGAGTTCTCTGCCTTCTACCTCTAGCATTTTCCTCTTTGAAGAAGTACATCTAACTGTCATTAGAATAGAGACAAAGACAAGTCTTAACTGCTTCCAGCTGAGGAGGGATGCTGTTTGGGGAAGATCTCTCTTGGAGGTCTAAGGGACCCCAGGAAAAGGGAGCCATTATCCCAGGCTTCAGTTGCATGACCATTTGGAGTTTGATGGTCTGAAAATGAGAAGAGGCAAATCTGGTTATTAGAAGACATGTATGAAAACCAAACAAGGTGGCAAGGACAGCTTGAAAGAAAATTCCAAGGCTGCTGACATTCCTAGATAACTGCAGCTGTAGTTATGCCTGCTAAGGTTTGGGCGCATGGGGCTTGGCTTTTGTCAGCTCCCTGGGATTTATTTTCCCAAACAAAGAAACCTCCAGGTTAGGGGCACCCTATTCATTCCCATCACCTGGCATGATTTAAAGGATAATTGCTTAGAATTAAAATATTGATCCAGATTTTTTATATTCCCCATCGCTTTTTGTTTCTTCTGGGCTGTAGCCAGAGATCATTGATTGGCGCTCAGGAATAAGCAGAGTTAGTCTAAAATGCAGGCAAATACTTAAACAACTGAAGAGATTAGAATTTAAAGACAAGTGTATGATATGTTTTGAAATACAATGTTTCTCTTTCCAGTTTTGGTTTTTGTCAGCAGCAAATAATGATAAGACTGAGTTGTTTGCAAAATAAACTTTAGTCTTAAACTTGGCCTGATTATTTGCATAAAGTGCAGCAAGAATATTAATAATAATTCTGTAGGAAAAGCCTGCAAGCACCAGGAGCTTCACAGTCTAACACTATGAGCACGTGCATCCTCACGCAACTCACTGAATATGTCCAAGTCAGCCTGTTCCGATCTTAAATGCCATCCAGTGGCATCTGCCCCAGGTACACTAATACATGGGTCCTGCTTCTCTCTGCAGCCGCCTCTCTCCTCAGATTTCAGGTTTTGTGTATTGTTTGTTTTCTCTCTGACATCAACACAGATATGTTGAAGGTTTTCTTTTTTTTATTTGTAGTTGTTCAGCTTTGTTGTTAATGAGGTCAGAATAAGCTCATAGTTTACACATTTTTACATTCCCATGCTGAGTAGCTGCTTTTCTCTATCAAATCCATTAACTGAGAGAACAATCACATTTCGTTACAGGTGAACAGTTAAATAGTTTGGCATATATTTCTGTGCTGGAATCTAATGCAGCTTGAAATCAAGTCATGCCTCACTCATTGAAAAAAACATGGCTAAATTCTCAAAGAATTGTGCTGAGTGAAAGAAACTAAGGAATTAAGAGTAAATTTTACATGATACATTTGTAGAAATTTTAGAAGATGCCACTATTATAAATTAACATGGAGAAGATTTAAATGTTTCTGAGAATATGCTATTGGGAGTAATGGGGATGTGAGTTAAATTTCAGAGGAATAAGAGAAAGATTTAGGGATTAATTTTTTCAAACCTTGATTGAAGTGCTGAGTAAATGGTTGCAAACATAGGTCTACATTTTTCAAATCATTCACCATAAATTTGAATTATTTATTAATTACACTCGAATAAAGCAATAAAGAAACTGATGAGATAATATTTGACTGAATTGCATCAATAAATAGATCGATATTAACACAAGGAATATAACTGATTTCCAAAAACATACACATGAACCGTGGGTCACTCTGCATATTTAGGTAAATAACAGAAAGTTGTCATAACAGATGGGGAATCCTGCAGACTTCACTAGGCATGGGCCATGCTGCCCTGGAGTTGTCTCAGGGGAGCTGCCTCCTCCAGAGGTTAGAGCACAGGCCCAGGTAATAGGACTAAATTTTTAGATGTGTTATCTTAGACACACTGCACAACTGCTGTGTTCTCTATGTAAATTATCTCCTGTAAAATATAACATTGAAGCCTGCATTAAATATATTGTGTAAATATGTAAGAATAAAAGAAAGTTATGAGAGCTAAGTGTTAATCAAGGCACAAGCATATAAGATATAACTATATTTTCCTGAATGATGGAATTACTACCAGTCTCCCCCAGGACACTTCATCTGCCCTGAGCCCAGCCTCTCCTCAGATGTCCCACCCAGAGCTTGCTATATAGTGGGGGACATGCAAATAGGGCCCTCCCTCTACTGATGAAAACCAGCCCAGCCCTGACCCTGCAGCTCTGGGAGAGGAGCCCAGCACTAGAAGTCGGCGGTGTTTCCATTCGGTGATCATCACTGAACACAGAGGACTCACCATGGAGTTTGGGCTGAGCTGGGTTTTCCTCGTTGCTCTTTTAAGAGGTGATTCACGGAGAAATAGAGAGACTGAGTGTGAGTGAACATGAGTGAGAAAAACTGGATTTGTGTGGCAGTTTCTGATAACGGTGTCCTTCTGTTTGCAGGTGTCCAGTGTCAGGTGCAGCTGGTGGAGTCTGGGGGAGGCGTGGTCCAGCCTGGGGGGTCCCTGAGACTCTCCTGTGCAGCGTCTGGATTCACCTTCAGTAGCTATGGCATGCACTGGGTCCGCCAGGCTCCAGGCAAGGGGCTGGAGTGGGTGGCATTTATACGGTATGATGGAAGTAATAAATACTATGCAGACTCCGTGAAGGGCCGATTCACCATCTCCAGAGACAATTCCAAGAACACGCTGTATCTGCAAATGAACAGCCTGAGAGCTGAGGACACGGCTGTGTATTACTGTGCGAAAGACACAGTGAGGGGAAGTCATTGTGCGCCCAGACACAAACCTCCCTGCAGGAACGCTGGCGGGAAATCAGCGGCAGGGGGCGCTCAGGAGCCACTGATCAGAGTCAGCCCTGGAGGCAGGTGCAGATGGAGGCTGTTTCCTGTCAGGGTGTGGGACTTTGTCTTCTTCTGACAGTTCCCCAGGGAACCTCTTAAATTTAGAAAACTGTGCCTAACAATGTCTTCTCTATGTATATGAGGACCTTTTCTCCCTGGCACAAAATGCAGATTGACGCTGACACGGATGAAAATTCCTCAACCATGGTCACAAGGATCAGAGTCCTGAGTAACCTCAGGGCTTCCTGGTGATTCTTCTCCAATCAGACCCAGGACAGGGACCTCCGTGAGATTCCCTGACTGGAACAGTCTTTATGGATCCTGGTCACAGACAATAGAGAGGCTGAACCAGGGTCAGCGTCATGTAGAACCTCACAGATTTCACGTCTGATCCTTCTCCTGACACGAAAGTATGCAAATCAGTATCAGCACCGATCTGGTGCTTCTTTTGTTCCTAATCCATTTACTTTATTTTTTCGTCGTTTTTCTCCTTTTTCCATTTGTTTTTCCTGCTTTTTGCAAAAGGAAGATGTTTTCCCTGTGAGATGCAGGGGATGACAATTTTGGGAGATGGCTGGAACATCCAATATCCTCAGGGCCGGCCATCAGTAAGTGCAGGCTGGAAGTCTCAGAAAGAGCTGAAGCTGCTTAATCACCGTGGAGTTTTACCTTCTCCAGTTCTGCTCTGATGGAATCAGGGCCAAGCAGGTTATCAATGATAATCTACCTAACATAGAGTCAACCGATTCCAGTTTCAATAACGTCTGTTAAAAATTCACACCACCACCTGGATTACTGTTTTGTCAAATCAATACACGGTATTGTCCAGCTAAGTAGACCCAAAGACGGACCGTTGCCCATGGAGAAAAACATTAACCTGAGTTCTAGGTTCTTACAGTGTTAAAGGTGTAAAACTGATTATTAAAAATGAGGCTATTTTTCTTTTTGCTGTTGAGTTGTAGAAGTTTCTTTTCCATTTGGACATTAAAACTTTTTGAGATATATGGCATATTATCCAATTCTGTAAGTTGTAGTTACTTGGTTGCTTTGCAGAATCTTTTTCATAATCTATTCCCACTTGTTCAATTCTGCTTTTTTTTTGTAGGTGATTTGAATGTAAAATCCAGAAAAAGATTGCTAATTTTTTGAGGGTTGAGAGTTTTACGATTACAGGTATTAAAGTTAGATATTTGAGGCATTTGGAGTGAATTTTTGTGTTTATTCTAACCTAAAATTCTTAATTCTTTTCATGGGAAAATCCAGTTTTCATACCACCCTCTTTGGAAGACACTACAATTTAGCCATGTTATATTGATGGTTCTCATGCTAAAAATCAGCTCGTCATCAATATGTGGGTTTATATCTAAGCTCTGTATAGGTATTTATGCCAAAACTTTCTATGTTTTTAACAAATGTTAAGGCCTGGAAGTGAAATGCCTAAAGCTTTCTTCTTGCCTTGTTACAGATATTGGACCAAAATATTCTAACCTTTTACTATTGAGTGTAATAATAGCTGTGGCCTTTCTTAACGGCTTTTATTATGTTCAAGTTGTTTTCTTGTCTTCCTACTTTGTTCATAGTTTTTATAATGAAACTGATTTTTTTCAAAGTCTTTTTCTGTGTCTGATGAAATGTTACTGAGGTATTTTTTCTTTAGTTTTTTAATGTGGTGTACCAAATTGGTTGATTTGAGAATGTTGAATCAAGTATGCATCTCAGGAAGAAATTTGAGTTGGTCATGGTGTATGTCTTCTAAAACACTTTGGAGCTTAGTTTACTATTGTTGGGGATTAATTCATGTCTACTAATGATATTGGTCTGTAGTTTTCTTTTATTGTGGTGCCTTTGTCTATTACTGGTAATACTATCATGGTAGCCTCATAGAAAGAGTTTAGAAGATATATGGCAGACTACCTTTAAAATAGATTTTATCAGTGGAGAAATGGTGATAGTTTTTTCTTCACTTTTCTGTTGGGAAGAATTTTATGTTGTTTAAAAGATATTCAGAATGACTTAACCTGGTTTATGAGCTTTCATTCTATTCCTTTCTTCCATTCTTTTTGAAGAACTGCTTACCTTTCCTATTTATTTTTAAGTTTGTTTTTAGACGTATGCAATACATTTTGAGGTGAAACCTGGTGGAATTTTTTCCAATAAATTAGAAAAAATAAATCATTTAATTGACTATTTTATTCAGGTTGATTTGTTTAATATTTGCTAAAGGCCAGTTCTTTAAGCTATGACACATAATAAATCCCAAATGGCAGTACCTCATTGTTTACTTAGCTTTTGTACTTATATTTTTCAGAGGAAGAACCACTACTGTAAATTGTAAATAGCCAAGACATAATTGTATTGTATGCAAATCTGTGACTGTTTACAGTGTCATCTCTGAGAAACATAAAGTTTATTTACTATATATATATAAAGAGTTTGGAAGGTGGACTCCTCACCAATTTTTGAAAGAGTTACAGAAGGGCTGGCATTACTTCTTTAAATGTTAAGGTTCATTTTATGATGTGACATATAACCCATCATGGAGAATGTTCAATGTGTTCTTGAGAAGGATGTGTATTACGTGACTCTTGGTTGGAAGGTTCTGTAAATATCATTCAGATAAATTTGTTCAATAGTGTTGTTCAAGTTCAGAGGCACATTAGGAATTTTCTTTCCGGATTTGCTATACATTATGGTCATGAGGTATTAAGGTCTTGTGTTATTTTTGTATTGTTTTCTATTTCTTTATATCTCTTACAATTTGCTTAATGCAGTTATATTTGTATTTGTACACATGTGTAAAAACAAAAATCATAATTGCTAAATGAGTTTTATGGCACAGTCACATTATAAGTAATATTTTTCCAAATGCTACCATTGCCACTAAACTCCTCCTGGAGTCTGACGTCTGCTCTGGGCACTGCCTTCTTCTCAGGCATCCCACACTGGAGCTTGCTATAGAGGAGGAGGGAGGGCCCCTCTCCTGGTGAAAACAAGCCCAGACCTGACCCTGCAGCTCTGGGAGAAGAGCCACAGCCCTGGGATTCCCAGGGTTTTCCATTTGGTAATCAGGACTGAACACAGAGAACTCACTATGGGGTGTGAATTAAGCTGAATTTTTCTTGTTGGTATTTTAAAAGGTAACTCATAGGGAACTAGAGTGAGTGAGAGTGAGTGGATATGAGTGAGAGAAACAGTGGATATGTTTGCCAGTTTCTGACCAGGATGTGTGTGTATTTTCAGGTGTTCAGTGTGAGGTGGAGCTGATAGAGCCCATAGAGGACCTGAGACAACCTGGGAAGTTCCTGAGACTCTCCTGTGTAGCCTCTAGATTCGCCTTCAGTAGCCTCTGAATGAGCCCAGTTCACCAGTCTCCAGGCAAGGGGCTGGAGTGAGTAATAGATATAAAAGATAATGGAAGTCAGATACACCATGCAGACTCTGTGAAGGGCAGATTCTCCATCTCCAAAGACAATGCTAAGAACTCTCTGTATCTGCAAATGAACAGTCAGAGAACTGAGGACATGGCTGTGTATGGCTGTACATAAGGTTCCAAGTGAGGAAACATCGGTGTGAGTCCAGACACAAAATTTCCTGCAAAAAGAAGAAAGGAGTCTGGGCCAAAGGGGACACTCAGCACTCACAAAACAGGTGCAGCCCCAAGGCAGGTGCAGATGGAGGGAGGGTAAGGGCTGCTTTCCTTCAGGATCTGTGGTTTCCTCTGCTTCTAATATTTCCCCTCTGAGCCTCTGTACATTTATATTGTGTGCCCGCCATGAGGTCCCTGGATTAGAAAACTAATTTGAAAGAAGAAATATTCTCATATGTCCCAAAAACAGATGTAAGTTTTGGAGGCATAAAAATGCATAGGAGCCAGGTGAGTCTGTAGACACTGCCACCCCACAATGCCAGACCCACAACTAGTGCTGGAGAAGGGTGGGAGTTTGATGGAGCTTCCCTGATGACCCCGTGGTCCAAGCTAAGTCCAGCAAGGCCATTGGTGCCTCGCTGAGCACAGTTGTCCATCAGGGATCTCCCATGTGTCCCAGCAGCAGCCATGCCTCAATCTCTCCACTGTGCACAGCCATTGTCTGGGAGGAGCTCCCAGGATGGGTGTCTTTGGCACACACAGGTGATGGGTGTTAGAGTGCAGTGCAGCAGCTGGCTGCCTGGTCTATTGGGCTCCTGGATATTGGAGGGATTGGAGGTGCATTCTCAGGGCCAGCACGCTTTGACAATTTTTGTATAAAAACCATGTGATTTAATTCATTTTCTCAGATGACATAGATAATTAATAACACAATCTGCAAACAATTATAATTTTCAACTTTACCCCAACTTCATTGTTTCTGAATTCCGTGCAGGATCCAGACATGGTACTGCCCTTCTCATGAGAAATTGTTCTACCTAAACTGAAACAAGTTGTTTCTCGTATACTTTGGTTCTCCCCATGTGCAAAGATCTTGATTAGAGCAAGTTTGGTACTTTCCACACACTCACCCTCACCTCCCCAGATAAAGAGCAGAAGTTCTCCTTAGACTGAGTCTGAGGGAGGAGCTGTTCCTGTACCACTCAGGGCCTGCGGAGACCCCCAGGTGCAGCTTCACTGAGTCAGGTGTTTCACTCCCTGTGATTGCTGCTCAGGTCTAATTGTGGGCTCAGAATTAGGACAGTATTCAGGTTATCACAGGTCAATCCTATTGTAAAAATCATCGTTATCACACACCGTGGTAACAATTCAATGTTGATTTTTCTAACGGCAGTTTCTCTTTTTTATTTGGTTGCAAGTTTGAGGAAAGGAACATGTGATAATACTTTTTAATCTAACCTCGAGATCTACTGAATTGTTCTAGGAGACTCACAAATTGGACAAGAGTGAGCTCTTTATGCTCATAAAAAATGCATGTATTTGGGAATTTCACCGTGTCGTCCAGAACCTGTTAACATCAACAACAATGTTTCGCAGTGCACTTCTGGCTTGAGACATCCTCACAGACCCTCTCCCTCACCTGCACTGTCTCTGGATTCCCCATCATAACCAGTGTTTCCTTCTAGAATTGTATCTGCTTGCCCCTAGAAGATGGACAGGAGTGGATCAGGTGCATGGGCTGTGAAGGGAGCACAAATTACAACCCACTTCTCAAGAGTCCATATCCATATCCAAGAAACAGTTCTTACAGTTGAGCTCTGTGCCCAGTGAACACACCACTACACATTTTGAAGCAAAAGACGCAATGAAGGGCCTTCATTGTGAGCCTAGACACAACCCTCCCTGCAGGGGTGAATAGGAGCAGAAGGGGGCATTTGGGGCAGTATGGGGGCTTAGGATGATTGTTAGGGGTCAGGATGAGCAGGATCAAGGCTTCGCATCAGGGCAAGTGCAACAGGGCAGAAAAGGGGCTGTAGATGTGGGTTGTTCTCACCATCATATTTCACCACCAGACACCCTCCACTACATCTCTTCTAATGTGTCTGAGTGTTGATATGATTAGAAAATGGCATTTATGTAAATACTACTATGTACCCATATGGAGGTGCATCCAGTTGTCTTCTCCATCTTACGTGGACCTTGTCCATCAAGCACTAAGTCCCTGTATTTACTTGAGTACCTCACACATTATGGTCAAAACAGGTAGGGTCTCCTTTTGGCATGGTCTCTCCTCCTGCCTTCTCTCTCTGTCACACAAAAACACGTGAATTGACACACACACAGAGCTTCCCAACTTTAATTATGTGATGTATTGAAGCAAATTGATTAGTGTGCAGCTTTTCTGCTTTGCCTGCTATTCATGTTATGTAAAAATAAGAACCATGTGTTTCTCAGCTTGTTACTTCTCTAAGCTAAGTAGCATCTTTGTTTATTATACCCAGAGACCAAAAGCGATCCAACTGTTATTCAGCAGCTTAACTGGTAAACAAATTGTGGAAAATTCACTTACTGGAATCATACCCACTGCTACAATCAAGTAATGCTGGATACACCCAACACCATGCTTAAAATAGCAAGTACTTGAATAAGTAAAATAAGTCAAACAAATAAAAGTACATACATACGATTCCACTTTTATAATTTCTATAAAGTAAAAATGAACTTAAAGTTACATAAAAAGATCTGTAGTTGACTGGGGACATGGTACAAGAAGAGAAGGTATAGAAAGGAGAAACTACAGGAGAACAAAAGGAAATTTCTAGGATAATTGATTTTTTTTCTCTGTTAGTAAAAGTGAGGATTATGTCAATATTTGTAAAATTGTACACTTTATGTAAAGATTCTTATTTGCTAATTTCACCTCATTAAAATATTGCAATTTTTTAAATGTCTAGTTTGGTAGAAAAGGTAGTAGAGAGAGATGAATAAAATACATAAAAATCAGAGAGTCCTGAATACACACATGAATGGACCCTGGGTCTCACTGTACTTTGAGGGAGACACTAGAATACAAAAACATAATGACAGGATTTCAGTACATGAAAGGAGCTTCTCAGACCCCAGGAGGCCTGTCCAACTGCATCTTGGAGTTAACTCAGGGAGCAGGCATGTCCTTTGGAAGGAGCCGTGACACCAAGCTCCCAGCATCCATTGTAGCCGACACCATGCCAATGCCAAGAGATCTCGACTAAAATTTTCTGTGGATGTTGAGTGTGATTATGCCACACACTCACACCAACTGAGTATGGAAAGGATAGTTACCTGCATCCTTAAGGTGTCTGCTGAGAGCAGGGCAGGTCTCTCATTAAGGTCCAAAGTGGCTTGATAGGGCAGGGAAGGAGACTGGCTCAGGGTTGTTATCATGGTTTGGTGGGGAGCGGGGCAAGAGCGTCCTACTTGCAGGAAGGGTTTTGTGGGGTTTCAAGGTCAAATTGGCATCAAATGAGGGAGCTCCTGTGATTTCTGACTAGATTTACCTTGTATGCTTAAAAAAAGAGATGATGGAGGAAAGAGCCTGAAGTTCTCAGCAGTCAGGCCTAAACATAGAGTCTGATGACTTACTCTAAATAGCAAGTATACAAATGATGAGTAAGAAGAGAGACAAGACTCCAGTATGGGTGGACAACAGCCAGGTCTGCAGAAAATGAGAAGACTGTTTATAAGCAAAGAATAATGAGTAGGATATGGAGGAGGATTCTGGTCCAATGTCTTGTGTGGAAGCTTTTCATGATTTGAGATCATCAGCTTATTCTGAAGGTCTTAGGTCACATGTTTTCTTCAAAATATCAGAAGTGCTAGATGATATGTGAGGATGCGCAGTTTAACTTCCTCTGAGTAGCTTTACAATTGTGTGAAATTAATTTTTTTTTTTTTGAGACAGAGTCTCACTCTGTTGTGCAGGTTGGACTGCAGTGCTGTGATCATAACATAGCTCAGGGTGATTTCAAATTCCTGGCTCATAGAATCCTCCCACCTCAACCTCCTGGCTAGCAAGTAGCTAGGTTTCCAGGGCGCTTCATCTACACTTGGCCATTCTTGTCATTCTTTTTTTTTTTTTTTAAGGTGGATTTTCCCTCTTCTTGCCCAGACTGGAGTGCAATGGTGCCATCTCAGCTCACTGCAATCTCCCCCTCCCAGGTTCAGGTGATTCTCCTACCTCAGCCTCCAGAGTAGCTGGGATCACAGGCATGTGACACCATGCCCCACTAATCTTGTATTTTTATCAGAGATGACATTTCTCAATATTGGTCAGGCTGGTCTCAAACTCCCTACCTCAGGTGATCCTTCCACCTCAGCCTCCCAAAGTGCTGGGATCACAGGCGTGAGGCACCGCAACTGGCCTCTTCATTTTTATTCATATGTTCCTTCAGCAGCCACTATGTCTTCCCACTGATTTCTTCAGTTTCTGCCTTTTCCTTTTGAATAAGGCATTATTCCTAAGGGAAGACAGGAGGTGGGCCTGGACAGGGACTTGGTGCATTCCTCTCTCCCCTCCCAGTTCTTATTGGTTTCTCCAGTGTCTGTAGAACAGTGGTTTTGGTGGCTTTACCTCCGCAGATAATTTCTCTTGCAATGTAGTGGTGATGGGGAGGTGTGCCTGGATGCACTTCACCTATAGTTGCTGTTTTGCTTTCCCAGACAGCACCATCCCAAGGGGTAGAGGGTGGAGCATTTTGTGATGTATCCCCAGTACTGAAGAAAAAGGCTTCAATAGCAGGAGGAATTCCTCAACTGTATACACTCTGAGAATTTAAACAATAACTTCTCTATCACACTCAAATTGAAACCATCCAATGAATATGTCTACTTTAATCGTGTGCTAACTTAAATGGCATTTGGCAGCCTCTGTGCCAGAAAAGATTATCATCTGCTCCTGTTTATTTCCCTGCAAGTCCTTATCTCTCTTCAGATTTCAGATATATTGTTTGTCCTATAACATCAAAAATTTGATGTATATGTGCTAATTTGCAGATCAGTAAGTTTAGTAGCTGTTGTAAGAATAATAACATATTTTTATGGGGTGCTTACATCTCCAAGCTGAGAGGCACCTCTATGTGTAATACTAAGAAACTAGAAATGATACAAATATCAAGAAGATACATAGATAAAAGTAATGGCATGCTAATTTACTGTAATAACATCCATCATGAGAATCAATACATTGTTGATGCTCAACATGTTTGCATCATAAGTAGTTATGTGCGAGAAGCCACACAAATAGAACACATACTATATAATTCCTGTATAATTCTTGAAACTCAAAACTAAAGCATTAAATATGAAGGACTGACTCAGAATATGGTGGGGAAGAAAATATTTGGGAAGGAGGAATTGTAGAGGAACACAAGGAAACTTTTAAGTGTAATTTGTTCATTATTTGGATGGCTTTTGGGGATGCAAAGGTGAGCACGAGTGGAATAACATTTTGTTTTGTTTGTTTGTTTGTTTTTCTGAAGAGATGTGGTCCTTCTCTGTGACCCAGGCTGGATTGTAGTGGTGGGATCATAGTGCAATGTAACCTCGAACTTCTGGTCTCCAACAATACTCCTGCATCTGCCATCTAAGTAGCTGAAACTACCGTTGTGTGCCAGCAGGCTTGGCTTGAGTACTTATTAAACTACACACTTTTTGCAATATTTAATGTATAGTAATAATGTCTCAATAAGACTATTACAAATCAATGAATGAATAATTTGTTCAGTACAGATTCATGGAAAAATAGACACTAACATGATGAGTGTCTGACATTTATGAAAATACAGCTGCATGAAATGTGCTTCTCTTTACATTCATTAGGTAAACACAATAGTGCATACACATCACACCGTGCTTTCATTACAGGAAGAAAGTTCTGAAAATGTCACTGGGGTGAACCACATTGTGCTGGGCTTGGTTCAGGGAGCAGTCAGGCCCAGTGTTGTGACCTTCAACCACAGAATCCTAAAAAAAAAAAAAAAAAAAAAAAAGAGGCTGCCTCAAAGTCCCCATCAGTTCCCGGACTCGCTATGTTTCTCGATCGTATCAGTGCATCCGGAGCTCCCTGGTGGCTTTAGTGATTCCTTGCTTGCCATGCTGAGGTCTCGCTGTAGATTATGTTGGGTTTTCTAAGACCGTTTTGCTATTGTAAGATCCACTCCCTGGGACAGAGCGATTCCCTCTAAACCTGATGGAGGTTCTGAACTACAAATAACGTTAAGTGAATCCTGGTGTGTCTGAACTCAAGTGATTGTTACATTAAGCTGCTGTTGCAATCTGTTTCCTCACCTGGGAAAAGAGGAGCCAGGACATAGTGAGTTGAGGCCCCAGGAAGATAACTGAATTCTCAGAGGGCACAGCCAGCATCCTCTTCCCAGGGAGAGTCTAAAAGACTGGGGCCTCCCTCATCCCTTTTCACCTGTCCATACAGAGGCACCACCCACATGCAAATCTCACTTAGGCACCCACAGAAAACCACCACACATTTCCTTAAATTCAGGGTCCTGCTCACATGGGAAATACTTTCTGAGAGTCCTGGACCTCCTGTGCAAGAACATGAAACACCTGTGGTTCTTCCTCCTGCTGGTGGCAGCTCCCAGATGTGAGTGTCTCAAGGCTGCAGACATGGAGATATGGGAGGTGCCTCTGATCCCAGGGCTCACTGTGTGTCTCTCTGTTCACAGGGGTCCTGTCCCAGCTGCAGCTGCAGGAGTCGGGCCCAGGACTGGTGAAGCCTTCACAGACCCTGTCCCTCACCTGCACTGTCTCTGGTGGCTCCATCAGCAGTGGTGATTACTACTGGAGCTGGATCCGCCAGCCCCCAGGGAAGGGCCTGGAGTGGATTGGGTACATCTATTACAGTGGGAGCACCTACTACAACCCGTCCCTCAAGAGTCGAGTTACCATATCAGTAGACACGTCCAAGAACCAGTTCTCCCTGAAGCTGAGCTCTGTGACTGCCGCAGACACGGCCGTGTATTACTGTGCCAGAGACACAATGAGGGGAGGTGAGTGTGAGCCCAGACACAAACCTCCCTGCAGGGAGGCGGAGGGGACCGGCGCAGTTGCTGCTCAGGACCAGCAGGGGGTGCGCGGGGCCCACAGAGCATGAGGCCGGGTCAGGAGCAGGTGCAGGGAGGGCGGGGCTTCCTCATCTGCTCAGTGCTCTCCCTCCTCGCCAGCACCTCAGCTGTCCCCAGGGCTCCTCTTTCTTTATTATCTGTGGTTCTGCTTCCTCACATCCTTGTGGTAGGAAAGGAAAGAGGAAGGCAAATTTTCCTCTTAGAGTCAAAGTGTCACTAATTACTAGGAACTTTCCTACAAGTTCCTGAATGTCCCATTTTTCCTTCTTAATTAAAAAAAATATATATTCTAATACTTCTCACCATCTCTTGATTTGTGTCATCAGTTGAATTGTGCTGTCTTTGAAATTCAAATGCTGAAACCTTAAATCCAATTGATCTATATTGGAATTTTAAGGATGGAATTAAGGTTAAATGTGATCATAAGTCTGAGATTCTAATGCAATAGATCTGTTGTCTTTATAAGAAGTGGAAGAGTCACCAGAGACCTCTCACTTTTCCCGTGCACGCAGAGAAGAGGCCATGTGGAGACATAGTGGACTAGAAGGTGCAAGCCAAGAAGAAGCCGCACCAAGAACCAACCCTGCCAGCACCTGGACCTTGGACATTCAGACTTCAGAATGGTGAGAAAATCAATGTTTGTTGTTTAAGCCACCCACTCCTGTTGTCTTCTTATGAAGACCCAGACAGACTAATACCACATAACTCTGTTAGCTCCTGGAGGGAGAAGCAGCTCCCTGAGGCTGGGCACATCTCTCAGATATCCATATGAAGTAGGCAGAAATAGTAGTTCTCATATAAAAATGTGTCATGGCCCTGTTGGCCATTTTTTTTTGACGGAGTCTCACTCTGTGGCCAGGCTGGAGTGCAGTGGTGCAATCTCAGCTGACTACAACCCCCGTCTCCTGGGTTCAGGCAATTCTCCTTCCTCAACCTCCTGAGCAGCTGGGACTACAGGTGTCCACCACCATGCCAGGCTATTTTTTTTTTTTTTGTATTTTTAGCAGAGACAGGGTTTCACTGTGTTAGGATGGTCTCAAATCTCCTCCCTGCATGATCTGCCTGCCTCGGTTTCCCAAAGTGTTGGGATTACAAGTGTGAGCCACCGCACCTGGCCCCTGTTGGCCATTCTTGGGGCAATGTCTATGAAACCAGCCCTGGTGCCTGTACCACAAAATTTTCTTTTATCTTTCATGTGGATATAACAAATGGACAATGAGGACCAGCTGCATGGAGACTGACCACTGAACATCTTCTGCTGTCTCCTAAGTAAGTCACAGGAAAACACACCAACATCACCAACATAACTGTTTTCCTTCAACTTCCTCGAACGAACTATAGAAATGATCCCTTAAAGTATAGTCTATTCCTTCAACTTTCTCAATTTGCACTGAATCCCTTCCTAAATTAGGAGCTACATAGGGTCTGAGTTTTGTTCCCTTTCTCCCAGTCTTCCCCAAGTATCAAGGACAGAATAGATTTAAATTAAATTTGGCCGTCCATGCCCCCAACACCACATCGGTTTCTAACATCCTTGTCATGTACCCATCCTTCTGTGGGCATCCCACATCAGGTTGCCCAGGAATGGCCAGAAGGTGTCATCACCTTATGGGCTGAGGCTACAAGTTATACACACGTGTGATTTCAGTCACACACACTCTACTGCAGGACACACCTGTGTTCTGAGGAACTCAGGCACCTGCTGATCTCAGGTCTTCTCTAATAAATTACACACCTCTTATGAATGAAGGTCCAGATGGCCCCATCAGCTGCAGAGCAGTGGATTAAAGCTCATGGGTGGGTCAGTCAGGCAGAAGTCAGACAATGGGATAATAGAAGTCAGACAATAGTCACTGAGGTTCCCAGTGTATTTTAATGGAATAAAACAATATTAGCAACAAAGGGGCAGTAAAGAAGACTGGCTTTTGAAGGTATTTAAGGACCAGGAACTTTATTTGGGGGGAAAGTGAGAGACACTTTTACATGGAAAGCCCTAAAGCACATACAGCAGCTGACAGAGTGGCCACTGTGCACATGAGGGCTGAGGAGACGGATGATAGGTTACGTTGCTCCAAGATGTCCCTGGGTGTGTGATGGTTGGACTCCTCATGCATATGAAAATAAGAGCTGGACTCAGGGAGAAACAAGGGCCATACCCCATAGAAAAGGAAGAAAAAAAGCAGATGGGCACCCCTGGAGAGAGCTCATTAGATTTGGTAGGTTTGAGATGAAAATTACTTCCAAAGGTTTTAATGTTCTAAGCTAAATATGAATCTCTTCAATAAAGTGAGAATTAAAAGAAGAATGGAGCTAGGAGTTGAGAGAGGAAACAAATTATGAGAGAGCAGAAAGCAAATCCACCCAAACTGTCACATGACAGAGGCCAGAATGGAGCTGATGCAGCTACTTCACTATTCTGCAGACCTAGTTGACCATGTGGAGAAGGGGTTCGAACAAACGGGGACGTTCTCCAACCTTCCAAAACAACCTCCTTCTTATGCATATGCAGTAATCATGATTCTCAGGGTGGCCTTCCCAAGTTTCCTGTTCTTACCTCTTCCCCCAGGGGTAGAGTGTCTTTTCCAACCCACAGTGGTTTCTCTGCCATGTCCTCAGCTTCTCCTCCATTGTACTTAACCTGAAGATTAAGGATTTCATCTGGATGGAGTCTCCTGGGAATCCTCTGTTTTCTTTGGTTTCTGTTGACCACATCACAGGCCATAGGACACAGGTTTTAGTGGATTTCCCCTGGAGACAGTGGAGGTGAATCCAGGCGTTCCACAGTCCTTACCGTTCTTCTCTTCCTGTCAGCACCGCAGGACAGCAGATAAGGGAGCTGACTGTGGATTTTTCAGATCCCCGGGAAAAAGCCTGCAAGGACTAATAGTTTCACATCTAACACCATTAGCACATGCATCCAAAATTTAAAAAAAAAATCCTCACTAAATATTTCCAGGTTAACCTGTTCCTCTCTCAATACCATACTGTGGCACCTGCCCTGGGTTCGGTAACATGTGGGCCCCAGTCCTCTCTGTAGGCGTCTGCCTCCTCAGATTTCAGTCCTCTTTTTTGCTCCGTGAAAGCAACTCAGATATGTTAAAAGGTTTTCTTCTTCATTTATTCATAATTTTTCAGGTTTGTTGTTAATGAGGAAAGAGTAAGATCATGGTTTCCTCATTTTTCACATTCCCATACTGAGTAACTGCTCTCTCTCTATGAAAGCCAGAAATTAAGAGAACAACTCAAGTATCCATATCCATTACAAGTGAATGTTAGACAATTTGATGTATGATTATGAACTAAAGTACAACACAGGATTAGAATCCAGGCATCCACATTCTCATAAAATCATGGCTGCATTCACAAATAACTGTGCTGAGTGGAAGTAGCTAACAAATTAACAGTGCACTTCATAAACTTCTATTTGTATAAACTGCAGAAGGTACAGCTATTCTAAAGCAACAGAGAAGATTACATATTGGTGGGAACTGGGTTTTGAAAGTAATGGGGTGGTGAGATGAAATTACAGAGAAGTGACACAAAGATTTAGGTGTGAATTGTACACAGATTAATTGAAGCTCTGATTAAAGGGTTGCACACATGTTACCATTTTCCAAATTATGCAGTATATATTTGAATTAATTATTAATTGTACTTAAATAAAGCAGTAACAAAGAAACAAATGAATACATTTATTGAGGTGGAGCCAAAACTAGATGGGAATGAACACTCGAAACATCTCTGACTCTTGAAAATACACAAGCGTGAACACTGGTTCTCTCTATGTATTTCAGGTCAATAGCAGAATACACTAAAAGAAAACAGAGATGTCCTGGCAGGGGTGGAATCCTGCAGACCTCACTAGGCATGTCTCACACTGCCCTGGAGTTGTCTCAGGGGAGCAGTCTCCTCTAGTGGTCAGAGGCACAGGCCGAGATAATGGGGCTAACTCTGTCCAGCTGTGTGACCTTGAATGCATTGTATAAACACTCTGTTCTCTGTGTGATTTATCTTCCTTAAAATGTGACATTGACACTTGCATTAAATGTATTCTACAAATATGTCAAAAAGATGATGACTGCTAAATGATTATCAAGGCACAATCATATAATATAATGATATTTTCCTGAGTGATAAGATGACTGCCAATCTCCCCCAGGGCACTTTGTCTGCTCTGAGCCCTGCACCTCCTCAGGATTCCCATCCCAGAGCTTGCTATACAGTAGGAGACATGCAAATAGGTTTCTCCCTCTGCTGATGAAAACCAGCCCAGTCCTGACCCCACAGCTCTGGGAGAGAAGCGCCAGCCCTGGGATTCCCAGGGGTTTCTATTTGGTGATCAGGACTAAAGACAGAGGACCCACCATGGAGCTTGGGCTGAGCTGGGTTTTCACTGTTGCTGTTTTAAAAGGTGAACTAGAGAGATTGAGCGTGAGTGGATACCCTTGAGAGAAATGGTGGATTATGTCTGGGAGTTTCTGACCGGGATGTCTACGAGTTTGCAGGTGTCTAGTGAGAGGTACAGCTCGTGGAGTCCGGAGAGGACCCAAGACAACCTGGGGGATCCCTGAGACTCTCCTGTGCAGACTCTGGATTAACCTTCAGTAGCTACTGAAGGAGCTCGGTTTCCCAGGCTCCAGGGAAGGGGCTGGAGTGAGTAGTAGATATACAGTGTGATGGAAGTCAGATATGTTATGCATAATCTTTGAAGAGCAAATTCACCATCTCCAAAGAAAATGCCAAGAACTCACTGTATTTGCTAATGAACAGTCTGAGAGCAGAGGGCACAGCTGTGTGTTACTGTATGTGAGGCACCAGGTAAGAAGACATCAGTGTGAACACAGACACAGAGTTTCCTGCAATGATAAGGGAGGAGGCTGGGCTAAAAGGGGCACTCAGGACCCACTGAAAACGGGCAGCTCTAGGGCAGGTACAGATGGTTATCATGGGCTGCTTTCCTTCGGGGTCTGTGGCTTCCTCTGCATCTACCAGTTCCCCTCAGAGCCTCTGGACATTTATGTTTCTGTGGCCACCCCTGACATCTCTGGATTAGAAAAGTTTATTATAGGAAGAGGAAACATTTTCATTTGTCCCAAAGCAGATGTAAGTAATGGAAGCAAAAAATGCACAGGAGGCCAGGTGGGGCTGTAGATACTGTCACCCCAGAATGTCAATCTCACCACTAGTACTGGAGAGGGATGGGAGTTTGATGGACCTTCCCTAACAACTCTGTGGTCCAAGATAAGTCCAGGAAGACCATTGGTGCCTCCCAGAGCACAGTTGTCCATCAGGGATGTCCAATGCTTCCCAGCAGCAGCCATGCCTCAGTGTCTCCACTGTGCACAGCCACTGTCTGGGAGGAGCTCCCAGGATGGGTGTCTTTGGCACACACCAGGTGGCGGGTGTTAAGAGTGCAGTGCAGCAGCTGGCTGCCTGGTCTATTGGGCCTGATGCTGGAGAGATGGGAGGTGCATTCTTGGGGCCAGCATGCTGTTTGTGAATTTTTATATAAAAACTCTGATTTTACTTCATTTTCGCAGATGACATAGATAACTAAAAACAGAATCTGCAAAGAAATTGTAATTTTCAACTTTACCCCAAATTCATTGTTTCTTAATTCTGTGCAAGATCCAGACATATTATTGCCTTCCTCATGATAATTTATTCTATGTAAAACCGAAATCATTTTTTCTCCTACTCTTTGTTTCTGTTCAAGTACAGAGATCTTGAGCAAAGTAAGTTGGGTTCTTTCCACACACTAACCCTCACCTTCCCCAGAGAATGAGCAGAGATTGTCCTCAGTCTGAGTCTAAGGGAGGAGCTGTTTCTGCACAACTCAGAGCCTGCAGAGACCCCCAGGTGCAGCTTCAGTGAGTCAGACATTTCTCCATGTGGGCGACCTCCAGTGCCTGTGACTGCTGCTCAGGCCTAATTGTTGGTTAAGCATTAGGACACTCTTTAGGTGATCACATCTCAAGCCTATTCTGAAAATCACCATGATCAGAGATAGTTCAATGGCCATTCTCCTAACATAAGTTTCTCTTTATTACTTGGTTCCAAGTATGGAGAAAAACGTGACCCTATATTTGTCTGAATCCAACATCAGCATCAACTGCATTATGCTAGGAGACTCACTAATTGAGCACAAGTGAGCTCGTTATTCTCATAGAAATGTAAGTATTTGGAAATTTCAGCGTGTTCTCCAGAACCTGTGGCTGCCAACAACTGTATTTCTCGGTGCACTCTTGGCCTGGTGAAGCCTTCACAGAACCTCTCCCTCACCTGTGCCATCTCTGCATTCTCCATCACAACCAGTGTTTCCTGCTGGAGCTGCATCCATCAGCGCCCCCATGGGAGGTACTGGAGTGGATCGGGTGCATAGGTCATGGAGGGAGCACAAATTACTCCCCTCTTCTCAAGAGTCCAGTCACCATCTCCAGATCCATGTCCAAAAAGTAGTTCTTCTTACAGCTGAACTATGTGAGGAACAAACACATAGCCATGTATTTTAGAGCAAAAGACACAGTGAGGAAACCACAGTGTGAACTCATACCCAAGCCTCCCTGTGGGGGTGCATAGGACAGCCAGGGTTACTCAGGACACCAGGCTCCCTCAGGACACCAAGGGGCACTCAAGACCATTGTAGAGGCATGCAGGTAGCTGGGGGCTCTCAGGAACCATGGGGGAAAATCAGGACACCAATGGGTGCTTGGTACAGCAGGGGGCTCAGGATTATTGTGGGGATTCAGAAAGAGCAGGTTCAAGGCTCAACCTCAGGGCATGTGCAGCTGGTGTGAAAAGGAGCTGGATGAGGCGTTTTGTGTCACCATCATGTTTCACCACCAGACACCCTCCACTACCTCTATTCTAATGCATGTGAGTGTTTGTATGATTAGAAAATGATATTGATATAAATATATAACCATAGCTAGGTATGTCAAGTTGTCCTCTCCATCTTATATCAGCCTTGTCTGTAAGGACTAATTCCCCATAATTACTTGAGAACCTCATAAATTGTGGTCAATTATGTAGGATTCCTCTCTTTTTCTGCCTTCCTTCCTCCCTCCTTCTCTCTCTCACACAGAAACTTATATACAGCCACCCCACAACACACATAAATCTATAACTTTTATTACCTGATGTATTGATAAGTAATCTAAAGTTACATAAAAATCAGTAGTTCACTGTCAATATTGTAGGAGAAGGGAAGGTCTAGGAAGGAGGAATTACAGAACAAGAGGATATTTTGAGGGTAATTGACTTGTTATCCATGTTGATAATGATAATGTCTATGACCATATTTGTAAAATTGAACACTTCATGTGGAGACTATTATTTTTTTATTTAACCCCATGCCATTATTTTGCCGTATTCTAGCATTTCTCCAAAAATACAGAAATGTTCAGCACTCATTCATGTGTATATTCAGGTGTCTCTGACTTTTCATGTATTTTATTTATCTCTGTCTAATTGCTTTGATACCAAATTTTACCTAGTATAATTAGTACTACCTTTAGCACTGATTATAAGTCTCACTCCTCCATCATCTCCTTTTTTGCCACACAAGCTGAATCTAGTTTGGACTCACAGCAGCTTCTTCATTCAATGCCAGTGGGAGTTTCAAACCCTATCAACCCCCCTATAAACTGTCATTAAGAAAGTTTATCAAACTCCACCAGTCATGTGATATTAGTTCGTTTTCACAGTGGTATAAAGAACTACCTGAGACGAGGAGTTTACAAAGAAAAGAGGTTTAGATGACTCACAGTTCTGCATGGCTGGGGAGGCCACAGGAAACTTACAATCATGGTGGAAGGTGAAGGCGAAGCAAGGCACATCACACAGGGCAGCAGGAGAGAGAGGGGGAAGTGACACATAGTTTTAAACTATCAGCTCTTGTGAGAACTCACTCACTATGACGAGAACAACATGGGAAAACTGCCCTCATGATCCAATAACCTCTCACCTGGTCCCTCCCTTGACATGTGGGGATTAGAATTTGAGATGATATTTAGGTGGGGACACAAAACAAATCTATAGCACATGTCCAGCTCTGTCCTGGAGTTGTTTCAGGGATCCAGTGTGTCCTGTTGATAGAAACAGTGTTTGCCATTCTAACTGGTGTGAGATGGTATCTCCTTGTGGTTTAGATTTGCATTTCTCTGATGGCCAGTGACGATGAGAATTTTTTCATGTGTCTTTTGTCTGCATAAATGTCTTCTTTTGAGAAGTGTCTGTGAAAAAAAAAGAAACAGTGACACCATCAGTTGTAGTTGACGACATGCAAAGCCAAGAGATCTCAACTGAGATTTAGTGTTTATGTCATGTCTGATGAAGTCATACACTCAGAACAAGTGAATATGGAAAAGTGTATTATCTGCACAGTGTAGGTGTCTGCTGAGTGCAGGGCAGGTCTCGCAGGAAAATCTAAAATGGCTTGAAAGAAGAGGAAAGGAGACTGGCTCAGGGTTTTTATAATGGTTTAGTGGTGGTGGCACAGTGAGGCTTCCCACTCACAGATCAGGGTTTATAAGGTTTGAAACTCCCACTGCCATTGAATGAAGAAGCTCCTGTGAGTCCAAACTAGATTCACCTTGTGTGGCAAAAAAGGAGATGATGGAGGAGTGAGCCTTAAGTAATCAACAGGCATGCACCAAAAGATAGAGTGACAACTTATTCTAGGTAGCAAGAATAAAAATAATGAAAAAGAAATAAGGGTTCAGTATGGGTGGACAAGACCCAGATCTACAGAAATGAGATGACTTTAGAAATATAAGGAAATAATAATGAGAGAAAGAAGGAGGGGATGGGGAATTAGGGTCCTGGCCGAATGTCTTGGGTAGAAGCTTCTCACAATCAAGGACTATCAGCTTATTCTGCAGGTCTTAGGTCACATGTCTGCTTCAAAACATCAGAAACTCCAGGCAATCAATGAGGATGCTCAGTTTAACATCTCCTGTTTGAGTAGATTTACAGTTGTGTGGAATTCTTAATTGATTCTTTTTGGTTTGTTTTTAGAGGCAGGCTCTCATACTGTTCCACAGCTTAAAGTACAGTTGTGTGATCATAGCTCACTGTAAATTTGAGCTCCGGACTCACGTAATCTTCCTGTATTAGCCTCCTGAGTATCTAGAATTAGAGGGGAATGCCACCCCTCACCTGCTTATTCTTTAAAATATTTTTTCATAGAAATAGCATCTCTTTATGTTGCCCAGGTTGGCTTCGATTTCCTGGTCTCATGTGATTTCCCTCACTTTGCTTCTGAAAGTGGTGTGATTATAGGGAAGATCCACTGCATCTGTCCTGAATTGATTCTTTACTTGTAAAACATGAAGCCAATAATTAACTGCCTGACTGTTTTGTGCAGTGAGTTAGTTAAAAGTTTCTGATAAGATTCCTTCCAATATGATTCAAGAGCAGTATTTTCTGCTGATGTTCCTTTCAGTTTCCTTGTTGAAGATCAGAAGACACTGCGGAAAAGATGTAGTAAAAAGGCAGTTTTAACTCTTCATGATTGGAGTGGATATCACATAGGAATCCCTATCCGTATTTTGTAACACATGCATGCAATAGAACAAAGATGATCCCTTGGTGTAAAATCTATAAACGTATGGGCCTTTTAGCTGCCAAGTCATAGGGTAATAACTGATGGACCCTGAGGAGTGAACCATGATTCCATAGTGCTAGTGGGAGAACCCTTGGCCAAGGGAGTTTACATTTTATTAAAATTGATAATCTTTATGTAGCGATGCCATTTTTTAAACATTCCCAGAAGATTGTGAGTGGGATTGACTCTGTCTTCTGTGAACAATGACAGTGCCCTCCATGGTTAGATAATATTTTAAACTAGATTGAGCTAGAGTGGTTTCTGTATTGAATCACTATATTTTTTTAGCTTCATGTTAGCTTTTTGTGTGTTAGCATTTGCTTTAAAATGATATTAATCAGCCCTCTAGTAGGTAGAAATTCATCTGAGGGTTTCTTCCCTTGTTGTCCATCTCAATAGGATTTCCAGAAGACGTAAGAACCCTCTCTGTTTCTAAAAATATTCCAGGCTGGGCGCTGTGGCTCATGCCTGTAAACCCAGCACTTTGGGAGGCCGAGGTGGGTGGACCCCTTGAGGTTGGGAGTTTGAGACCAGCCTGGTCAGTATGGTGAAACCTCATTTCTACTAAAAATACAAAAATTCGCCGGGCGTGGTGGTGTACACTCGTAATCCCAGCTACTTGAGAGGCTGAGGTGAGAGGATTGCTTGAACCCTGGAGGCGGGGGTTGCAGTGAGCCGAGATTGTGCCACTGCACTTCAGCCTGGGCGACACAGCGAGACTCCGTCTCAAACAAAACGACACAAAAAATTCCAAAGTTGTGCACCCTCTAAAAGCATATGTACTTAATTCTCATTTTTAATTTATTAAACAGCTCTAATAAGTTCAATGTTCCTGCCTTCTGAGTTGATTTCCTAACACATAGAAGAATATATCCTAAATGAAAGTTTGTGTTCTTAATACAAATTACTGGTTAATAACCTTTACTTTTATTATTGAGGTATTATCCATCAATGTTAATCAATCCTCTCAATGGGACTCTTACCTAAAGAATATACAAAATATTTTCCTGATCATGACATAAAGTAGATGTGAACACATTCTTAGCATTCAGCCATGTCTCTTGTCTATTAATATTATAAACCACATGCTAACTTTGATTTTATTGGTAATTGTTCTAATTTCTTTTTTTTCCCACTTCTCTGGTTGTTTTTTTTTTAACTTTAAGTTTTAGGGTACATGCGCACAATGTGCAGGTTAGTTACATATGTATACATGTGCCATGTTGGTGTGCTGCACCCATTAACTCGTCATTTAGCATTAGGTATATCTCCAAAGGCTATCCCTCCCCCCTCCCCCCACCCCACAACAGGCCCCAGTGTGTGATGTTCCCCTTCCTGTGTCCATATGTTCTCATTGTTCAATTCCCACCTAGGAGTGAGAACATGTGGTGTTTGGTTTTTTGTCCTTGCGATAGTTTGCTGAGGATGATGGTTTCCAGCTTCATCCATGTCCCTACAAAGGACATGAACTCATCATTTTTTATGGCTGCATAGTATTCCATGGTGTATATGTGCCACATTTTCTTAATCCAGTGTATCATTGTTGGACATTTGGGTTGGTTCCAAGTCTTTGCTATTGTGAATAGGGAATTGTTCTAATTTCAAACTAGTTAATTTTTATCTTCATGCAGCTAGATTATTATGTGTGGCTATTTATTCTGAGAGTGATAAAGACAACATTAACAATTTTCACTGCAGGCATGTCTAGGCAACTCCCTGTGCACAATGACCCTGGGGCGTTGGAGATTCTATGGGGACTCTTCCCTACCTGCCTAGGAGAGTTCTCTGCCTTCTACTTCTAGCATTTTCCTCTTTGAAGAAGTACATCTAACTGTCATTAGAATAGACACAAAGACAAGTCTTACCTGCTTCCAGCTGAGGGGGATGCTGTTTGGGGAAGATCTCTCTTGGAGGTCTAAGGGACCCCAGGAAAAGGAAGCCATTATCCCAGGCTTCAGTTGCATGACCATTTGGAGTTTGATGGTCTGAAAATGAGAAGAGGCAAATCTGGTTATTAGAAGACATGTATGAAAACCAAACAAGGTGGCAAGGACAGCTTGAAAGAAAATTCCAAGGCTGCTGACATTCCTAGATAACTGCAGCTGTAGTTATGCCTGCTAAGGTTTGGGCGCATGGGGCTTGGCTTTTGTCATCTCCCTGGGATTTATTTTCCCAAATAAAGAAACCTCCAGGTTAGGGGCACCCTATTCATTCCCATCACCTGGCATGATTTAAAGGATAATTGCTTAGAATTAAAATATTGATCCAGATCTTTTATATTCCCCATCGCTTTTTGTTTCTTCTGGGCTGTAGCCAGAGATCATTGATTGGCGCTCAGGAATAAGCAGAGTTAGTCTAAAATGCAGGCAAATACTTAAACAACTGAGGAGATTAGAATTTAAAGACAAGTGTATGATATGTTTTGAAATATAATGTTTCTCTTTCCAGTTTTGGTTTTTGTCAGCAGCAAATAATGATAAGACTGAGCTGTTTGCAAAATAAACTTTAGTCTTAAACTTGGCCTGATTATTTGCATAAAGTGCAGCAAGAATATTAATAATAATTCTGTAGGAAAAGCCTGCTAGCACCAGGAGTTTCACAGTCTAATACCATGAGCACGTGCATCCTCACGCAACTCACTGAATATGTCCAAGCCAGCCTATTCCAATCTTAAATGCCATCCAGTGGTATCTGCCCCAGGTACACTAATATATGGGTCCTGCTTCTCTCTGCAGCCTCCTCTCTCCTCAGATTTCAGGTTTTGTTTATTGTTTGTTTTCTCTCTGATATAAACTCAGATATGTTGAAGGTTTTCTTTTTTTTATTTGTAGTAGTTCAGCTTTGTTGTTACTGAGGTCAGAATAAGCTCATAGTTTACACATTTTTACATTCCCATGTCGAGTAGCTGCTTTTCTCTATCAAATCCATTAACTGAGAGAACAATCACATTTCGTTACAGGTGAACAATTAAATAGTTTGGCATATATTTATGTACTGGAATCTAATGCAGCTTGAAATCAAGTCATGCCTCACTCATTGAAAAAAACATGGCTAAATTCTCAAAGAACTGTGCTGAGTGAAAGAAACTAAGGAATTAAGAGTAAATTTTACGTGATACATTTGTAGAAATTTTAGAAGATGCCACTATTATAAATTAACATGGAGAAGATTTAAATATTTCTGAGAATATGCTATTGGGAGTAATGGGGATGTGAGTTAAATTTCAGAGGAATAAGAGAAAGATTTAGGGATTAATTTTTTCAAACCTTGATTGAAGTGCTGAGTAAATGGTTGCAAACATAGGTCTACATTTTTCAAATCATTCACCATAAATTTGAATTATTTATTAATTACACTCGAATAAAGTAATAACAAAGAAACTGATGAGATAATATTTGACTGAATTGCAGCAATAAATAGATCGATATTAACACAAGGAATATAACTGACTTCCAAAAACATACACATGAACCGTGGTTCACTCTGCATATTTAGATAAATTACAGAAAGTCGTCATAACAGATGGGGAATCCTGCAGACTTCACTAGGCATGGGCCATGCTGCCCTGGAGTTGTCTCAGGGGAGCTGCCTCCTCCAGTGGTTAGAGCACAGGCCCAGATAATAGGACTGATTGTTTTTAGATGTGTTATCTTAGACACTCTGCACAACTGCTGTGTTCTCTATGTAAATTATCTCCTGTAAAATATAACATTGAAGCCTGCGTTAAATATATTGTGTAAATATGTAAGAATAAAATAAAGTTATGAGAGCTAAGTGTTAATCAAGGCACAATCATATAATATATATTTTCCTGAATGATGGAATTATTACCAATCTCCCCCAGGGCACTTCATCTGCCCTGAGCCCAGCCTCTCCTCAGATGTCCCACCCCAGAGCTTGCTATATAGTGGGGGACATGCAAATAGGGCCCTCCCTCTACTGATGAAAACCAGCCCAGCCCTGACCCTGCAGCTCTGGGAGACGAGCCCAGCACTGGAAGTCGCCGGTGTTTCCATTCGGTGATCATCACTGAACACAGAGGACTCACCATGGAGTTTGGGCTGAGCTGGGTTTTCCTCGTTGCTCTTTTAAGAGGTGATTCATGGAGAAATAGAGAGACTGAGTGTGAGTGAACATGAGTGAGAAAAACTGGATTTGTGTGGCATTTTCTGATAACGGTGTCCTTCTGTTTGCAGGTGTCCAGTGTCAGGTGCAGCTGGTGGAGTCTGGGGGAGGCGTGGTCCAGCCTGGGAGGTCCCTGAGACTCTCCTGTGCAGCCTCTGGATTCACCTTCAGTAGCTATGCTATGCACTGGGTCCGCCAGGCTCCAGGCAAGGGGCTGGAGTGGGTGGCAGTTATATCATATGATGGAAGCAATAAATACTACGCAGACTCCGTGAAGGGCCGATTCACCATCTCCAGAGACAATTCCAAGAACACGCTGTATCTGCAAATGAACAGCCTGAGAGCTGAGGACACGGCTGTGTATTACTGTGCGAGAGACACAGTGAGGGGAAGTCATTGTGCGCCCAGACACAAACCTCCCTGCAGGAACGCTGGCGGGAAATCAGCGGCAGGGGGCGCTCAGGAGCCACTGATCAGAGTCAGCCCTGGAGGCAGGTGCAGATGGAGGCTGTTTCCTGTCAGGATGTGGGACTTTGTCTTCTTCTGACAGTTCCCCAGGGAACCTCTTAAATTTAGAAAACTGTGCCTAACAATGTCTTCTCTATGCATATGAGGACCTTTTCTCCCTGGCACAAAATGCAGATTGACGCTGACACGGATGAAAATTCCTCAACCATGGTCACAAGGATCAGAGTCCTGAGTAACCTCAGGGCTTCCTGGTGATTCTTCTCCAATCAGACCCAGGACAGGGACCTCCGTGAGATTCCCTGACTGGAACAGTCTTTAGGGATCCTGGTCACAGACAATAGAGAGGCTGAACCAGGGTCAGCGTCATGTAGAACCTCACAGATTTCACGTCTGATCCTCCTCCTGACACGAAAGTATGCAAATCAGTATCAGCACCGATCTGGTGCTTCTTTTGTTCCTAATCCATTTACTTTCTTTTTTCATCGTTTTTCTCCTTTTTCCATTTGTTTTTCCTGCTTTTTGCAAAAGGGAGATGTTTTCCCTGTGAGATGTAGGGGATGACAATTTTGGGGGATGGCTGGAACATCCAATATCCTCAGGGCCGACCATCAGTAAGTGCAGGCTGGAAGTCTCAGAAAGAGCTGAAGCTGCTTAATCAGCATGGAGTTTTACCTTCTCCAGTTCTGTTCTGATGGAATCAGGGCCAAGCAGGTTATCAATGATAATCTACCTAACATACAGTCAACCTATTCCAGTTTCAATAACGTCTGTTACAAATTCACACCACCACATGGATTAGTGTTTTGTCAAATCAATACACAGTATTGTCCAGCCAAGTAGACCCAAAGATGGACCGTTGCCCATGGAGAATCAAGTATGCATCTCAGGAAGAAATTTGAGTTGGTCATGGTGTATGTCTTCTAAAAAGCTTTGGAGCTTAGTTTACTATTATTGGGGATTAATTCATGTCTACTAATGATATTGGTCTGTAGTTTTCTTTTATTGTGGTGCCTTTGTCTATTACTGGTAATACTATAATGGTAGCCTCATAGAAAGAGTTTAGAAGGTATATGGCAGACTACCTTTAAAATAGATTTTATCAGTGGAGAAATGGTGATAGTTTTTTCTTCACTTTTCTGTTGGGAAGAATTTTATGTTGTTTAAAAGATATTCAGAATGACTTAACCTGGTTTATGAGCTTTCATTCTATTCCTTTCTTCCATTCTTTTTGAAGAACTGCTTACCTTTCCTATTTATTTTTAAGTTTGTTTTTAGACTTATGCAATACATTTTGAGGTGAAGCTTGGTGGAATTTTTTCTAATAAATTAGAAAAAAATAAATCATTTAATTGACTATTTTATTCAGGTTGATTTGTTTAATATTTGCTAAAGGCCAGTTCTTTAAGCTATGACACATAATAAATCCCAAATGGCAGTACCTCATTGTTTACTTAGCTTTTGTACTTATATTTCTCAGAGGAAGAACCACTACTGTAAATTGTAAATAGCCAATACATATTTGTATTGTATGCAAAACTGTGACTGTTTACAGTGTCATCTCTGAGAAACAGATAAAGTTTATTTACTATATACATATAAAGAGTTTGGAAGGTGGACTCCTCACCAATTTTTGAAAGAGTTACAGAAGGGCTGGTATTACTTCTTTAAATGTTAAGGTTCATTTTATGATGTAACATATAACGCATCATGGAGAATGTTCAATGTGTGCTTGAGAAGGATGGGTATTACGTGACTCTTGGTTGGAAGGTTCTGTAAATATCATTCAGATACATTTGTTCAATAGTGTTGTTCAAGTTCAGAGGCACATTAAGAATTTACTTTCTGGATTTGCTAAACATTATGGTCATGAGGTATTAAGGTCTTGTGTTATTTTTGTATTGTTTTCTATTTCTTTATATCTCTTACAGTTTGCTTAATGCAGTTATATTTGTATTTGTACACATGTGTAAAAACAAAAATCATAATTGCTAAATGAGTTTTATGGCACAGTCACATTATAAGTAATATTTTCCCGAATGCTACCATTGCCACTAAACTCCTCCTGGAGTCTGACATCTGCTCTGGGCACTGCCTTCTTCTCAGGCGTCCCACACTGGAGCTTGCTATAGAGGAGGAGGCATGAAAACAGGGCCCTCCCTCTCCTGGTGAAATCAAGCCCAGACCTGACCCTGCAGCTCTGGGAGAACAGCCACAGCCCTGGGATTCCCAGGGGGTTTCCATTTGGTAATCAGGACTGAACACAGAGAACTCACTATGGGGTGTGAATTAAGCTGAATTTTTCTTGTTGGTATTTTAAAAGGTGACTCATAGGGAACTAGAGTGAGTGAGAGTGAGCGGATATGAGTGAGAGAAACAGTGGATATGTTTGCCAGTTTCTGACCAGGATGTGTGTGTATTTTCAGGTGTTCAGTGTGAGGTGGAGCTGATAGAGTCCATAGAGGACCTGAGACAACCTGGGAAGTTCCTGAGACTCTCCTGTGTAGCCTCTAGATTCGCCTTCAGTAGCTTCTGAATGAGCCGAGTTCACCAGTCTCCAGGCAAGGGGCTGGAGTGAGTAATAGATATAAAAGATGATGGAAGTCAGATACACCATGCAGACTCTGTGAAGGGCAGATTCTCCATCTCCAAAGACAATGCTAAGAACTCTCTGTATCTGCAAATGAACAGTCAGAGAGCTGAGGACATGGACGTGTATGGCTGTACATAAGGTCCCAAGTGAGAGCTGAGGACATGGCTGTGCATGGCTGTACATAAGGTCCCAAGTGAGCAAACATCGGTGTGAGTCCAGACACAACACTTCCTGCAAAAACAAGAAAGGAGTCTGGGCCGAAGGGGACACTCAGCACTCACAAAACAGGTGCAGCCCCAAGGCAGGTGCAGATGGAGGGAGGGTAAGGGCTGCTTTCCTTCAGGGTCTGTGGTTTCCTCTGCTTCTAATATTTCACCTCTGAGCCTCTGTACATTTATGTTTTGTGCCCACCATGAGGTCCCTGGATTAGAAAACTAATTTAAAAGAGGAAATATTCTCATATGTCCCAAAAGCAGATGTAAGTATTGGAGGCATAAAAATGCATAGGAGCTGAGTGTGTCTGTAGACACTGCCACCCCACAATGCCAGACCCAAAACTAGTGCTGGAGAAGGGTGGGAGTTTGATGGAGCTTCCCTGATGACCCCGTGGTCCAAGCTAAGTCCAGCAAGGCCATTGGTGCCTCGCTGAGCACAGTTGTCCATCAGGGATCTCCCATGTGTCCCAGGAGCAGCCATGCCTCAGTATCTCCACTGTGCACAGCCACTGTCTGGGAGGAGCTCCCAGGATGGGTGTCTTTGGCACACACAGGTGATGGGTGTTAGAGTGCAGTGCAGCAGCTGGCTGCCTGGTCTATTGGGCTCCTGGATATTGGAGGGATTGGAGGTGCATTCTCAGGGCCAGCACGCTGTTTGTTAATTTTTTATAAAAACCATGTGATTTAATTCATTTTCTCAGATGACATAGATAATTAATAACACAATCTGCAAACAATCGTAATTTTCAGCTTTAGCCCAAGTTCATTGTTTCTGAATTCTGTGCAGGATCCAGACGTGGTATTGCCCTTCTCATGAGAAACTGTTCGATCTAAACTGAAACCAGTTGTTTCTCGTATACTTTGGTTCTCCCCACGTGCAGAGATCTTGATTAGAGCAAGTTTGGTACTTTCCACACACTCACCCTCACCTCCCCAGATAAAGAGCAGAAGTTCTCCTTAGACTGAGTCTGAGGGAGGAGCTGTTCCTGTACCACTCAGGGCCTGCGGAGACCCCCAGGTGCAGCTTCACTGAGTCAGGTGTTTCACTCCCTGTGATTGCTGCTCAGGTCTAATTGTGGGCTCAGAATTAGGACAGTCTTCAGGTTATCACAGGTCAATCATATTCTAAAAATCATCATTATCACACACCGTGGTAATAATTCAATGTTCATTTTTCTAAACAGCAGTTTCTCTTTTTTATTTGGTTGCAAGTCTGAGGAAAGGAACATGTGATAATACTTTTTAATCTAACCTCTAAATCTACTGAATTGTTCTAGGAGACTCACAAATCGGACAAAGTGAGCTCTTTATGCTCATAAAAAAATGCATGTATTTGGGAATTTCACCGTGTTGTCCAGGACCCGTTAACATGGACAACTGTGTTTCGCAGTGCACTTCTGGCTTGAGACATCCTCACAGACCCTCTCCCTCACCTGCACTGTCTCTGGATTCCCCATCATAACCAGTGTTTCCTTCTAGAATTGTATCTGCTTGCCCCTAGAAGATGGACAGGAGTGGATCAGGTGCATGGGTTGTGAAGGGAGCACAAATTACAACCCACTTCTCAAGAGTCCATATCCGGATCCAAGAAACAGTTCTTACAGCTGAGCTCTGTGCCCAGTGAACACACAACTACGCATTTTGAAGCAAAAGATGCAATGAAGGGCCTTCATTGTGAGCCTAGACACAAACCTCCCTGCAGGGGTGAATAGGAGCAGCAGGGGGCATTCGGGGCAGTATGGGGGCTTAGGATGATTGTTAGGGGTCAGGATGAGCAGGACCAAGGCTTCGCATCAGGGCAAGTGCAACAGGGCAGAAAAGGGGCTGTAGATGTGGGTTGTTCTCACCATCATATTTCACCACCAGACACCCTCCACTACATCTCTTCTAATGTGTCTGAGTGTTGATATGATTAGAAAATGGCATTTATGTAAATACTACTATGTACCCATATGGAGGTGCATCCAGTTGTCCTCTCCATCTTATGTGGACCTTGTCCATCAAGCACTAAGTCCCTGTAATTACTTGAGTACCTCACACATTATGGTCAAAAGATGTAGGGTCTCCTTTTGACATGGTCTCTCCTCCTGCCTTCTCTCTCTGTCACACAAAAACACGTGAACTGACACACACACAGAGCTTCCCAACTTTAATTATGTGATGTATTGAAGCAAATTGATTAGTGTGCAGCTTTTCTGCTTTGCCTGCTATTCATGTTATGTAAAAATAAGAACCATGTTTTTCTCAGCTTGTCACTTCTCTAAGCTAAGTAGCATCTTTGTTTATTATACCCAGAGACCAAAAGCGATCCAACTGTTATTCAGCAGCTTAACTGGTAAACAAATTGTGGAAAATTCATTTACTGGAATAATACCCACTGTTACAATCAAGTACTGCTGGATACACTCAACACCATGCTTAAAATAACAAGCACCTGAATAAGTAAAATAAGTCAAACAAATGAAAGTGCATACATACGATTCCACTTCTATAATTTCTATAAAGTAAAAATGAACTTAAAGTTACATGAAAAGATCTGTAGTTGACTGGGGACATGGTACAAGAAGAGAAGGTATAGAAAGGAGAAACTACAGGAGAGCAAAAGGAAATTTCTAGGATAATTGATTTTTTCTCTGTTAGTAAAAGTGAGGATTATGTCACTATTTGTAAAATTGTACACTTTATGTAAAGATTCTTATTTGCTAATTTCATCTCATTAAAATATTGCAATTTTTTAAATGTCTAGTTTGGTAGAAAAGGTAGTAGAGAGAGATGAATAAAATACATAAAATTCAGAGAGTCCTGAATACACACATGAATGGACCCTGGGTCTCACTGTACTTTTAGGGAGACACTAGAATACAAAAACATAATGACAGGATTTCAGTACATGAAAGGAGCTTCTCAGACCCCAGGAGGCCTGTCCAACTGCATCTTGGAGTTAACTCAGGGAGCAGGCATGTCCTTTGGAAGGAGCCGTGACACCAAGCTCCCAGCATCCATTGTAGCCGACACCATGCCAATGCCAAGAGATCTCAACTAAAATTTTCTGTGGATGTTGAGTCTGATTATGCCACACACTCACACCAAGTGAGTATGCAAAGGATAGTTACCTGCATCCTTAAGGTGTCTGCTGAGAGCAGGGCAGGTCTCTCATTAAGGTCCAAAGTGGCTTGATAGAGCAGGGAAGGAGACTGGCTCAGGGTTGTTATCATGGTTTGGTGGGGAGTGGGGCAGAGCATCGTACTTGCAGGAAGGGTTTTGTGGGGTTTCAAGGTCAAATTGGCATGAAAAGAGGGAGCTCCTGTGATTTCTAACTAGATTTACCTTGTATGCTTAAAAAAAGAGATGATGGAGGAAAGAGCCTGAAGTTATCAGCAGTCAGGCCTAAACATAGAGTCTGATGACTTACTCTAAATAGCAAGTATACAAATGATGAGTAAGAAAAGAGACAAGACTCCAATATGGGTGGACAACAGCCAGGTCTGCAGAAAATGAGAAGACAGTTTATAAGCAAAGAATAATGAGTAGGAGGAGGATATGGAGGAGGATTCTGGTCCAATGTCTTCTGTGGAAGCTTTTCATGATTTGAGATCATCAGCTTATTCTGAAGGTCTTAGGTCACCTGTTTTCTTCAAAATATCAGAAGTGCCAGATGATATGTGAGGATGCGCAGTTTAATTTCCTCTGAGTAGCTTTACAATTGTGTGAAATTCTTAATTTTTTTTTGAGATGGAGTCTCATTCTGTTGTGCAGGTTGGACTACAGTGCTGTGATCATAACATAGCTCATGGTGATTTCAAATTCCTGGCTCATAGAATCCTCCCACCTCAACCTCCTCACTAGCAAGTAGCTAGGTTTCCAGGGCGCTTCATCTACACTTGGCCATTCTTGTCATTCTTTTTTTTTTTTTTTTTTTTTTTAGGTGGATTTTCCCTCTTCTTGCCCAGACTGGAGTGCAATGGTGCCATCTCAGCTCACTGCAATCTCCCCCTCCCAGGTTCAGGTGATTCTCCTACCTCAGCCTCCAGAGTAGCTGGGATCACAGGCATGTGACACCATGCCCCGCTAATCTTGTATTTTTATCAGAGATGACATTTCTCCATATTGGTCAGGCTGGTCTCAAACTCCCTACCTCAGGTGATCCTTCCACCTCAGCCTCCCAAAGTGCTGGAATTATAGGCGTGAGGCACCGCAACTGGCCTCTTCATTTTTATTCATATGTTCCTTCAGCAGCCACTATGTCTTCCCACTGATTTCTTCAGTTTCTGCCTTTTCCTTTTGAATAAGGCTGTTACTCCTGAGGGAAGATGGGAGGTGGGCCTGGACAGGGACTTGGTGCATTCCTCTCTCCTGTCCCAGTTCTTATTGGTTTCTCCAGTGTCTGTAGAACAGTGGTTTTGGTGGCTTTACCTCTGCAGATAATTTCTCTTGCAATGTAGTGGTGATGGGGAGGTGTGTCTGGATGCATTTCAGCTATAGTTGCTGTTTTGCTTTCCCAGACAGCACCATCCCAAAGGGTAGAGGCTGGAGCATTTTGTGATGTATCCCCAGTACTGAAGAAAAAGGCTTCAATAGCAGGAGGAATTCCTCAACTGTATACACTCTGAGAATTTAAACAATAACTTCTCTATCACACTCAAATTGAAACCATCCAATGAATATGTCTACTTTAATCGTGTGCTAACTTAAATGGCATTTGGCAGCCTCTGTCCCAGAAAAGATTATCATCTGCTCCTGTTTATTTCCCTGCACGTCCTTATCTCTCTTCAGATTTCAGATATATTGTTTGTCCTATAACATCAAAAATTTGATGTATATGTGCTAATTTGCAGATCAGTAAGTTTAGTAGCTGTTGTAAGAATAATAACATATTTTTATCGGGTGCTTACATCTCCAAGCTGAGAAGCACCTCTATGTGTAATACTAAGAAACTAGAAATGATACAAATATCAAGAAGATACATAGATAAAAAGTAATGGCATGCTAATTTACTGTAATAACATCCATCATGAGAATCAATACATTGTTGATGCTCAACATGTTTGCATCATAAGTAGTTACGTGCGAGAAGCCACACAAATAAAACACATACTATATAATTCCTGTATAATAAATTCTTGAAACTCAAAACTAAGGTATTAAATGTGAAGGACTGACTCAGAATATGGTGGGGGAAGAAAATAATTGGGAAGGAGGAATTGTAGAGCAACACAAGGAAACTTTTAAGTGTAATTTGTTCATTATTTGGATGGCTTTTGGGGATGCACAGGTGAGCACGAGTGGAATTACATTGTGTTTTGTTTGTTTCTTTTTTTTTTCTGAAGAGATGTGGTCCTTCTCTGCGACCCAGGCTGGAGTGTAGTGGTGGGATCATAGTTCAATGTAGCCTCTAACTTCTGGTCTCCAACAATACTCCTGCATCTGCCATCTAAGTAGCTGGAACTACCGTTGTGTGCCAGGAGGTTTGGCTTGGCTTGAGTACTTATTAAACCACACACTTTTTGCAATATTTAATGTATAGTAATAATGTCTCAATAAGACTACTACAAATCAATGAATGAATAATTTGTTCAGTACAGATTCATGGAAAAATAGACACTAACATGATGAATGTCTGACATTTATGAAAATACAACTGCATGAAATGTGCTTCTCTTTACATTCATTAGGTAAACACAATAGTGCATACACATCACACCGTGCTTTCATTACAGGAAGAAAGATCTGAAAATGTCACTGGGGTGAACCACATTGTGCTGGGCTTGGTTCAGGGAGCAGTCAGGCCCAGTGTTGTGACCTTCAACCACAGAATCCTTAAAAAATAATAAAAGAGGCTCCCCCAAAGTCCCCATCAGTTCCCGGACTCGCTATGTTTCTGGATCGTATCAGTGCATCCGGAGCTCCCTGGTGGCTTTAGTGATTCCTTGCTTGCCATGCTGAGGTCTCCCTGTAGATTATGTTGGGTTTTCTGAGGCCGTTTTGCTATTTAAGACCCACTCCCTGGCACAGAGCGATTCCCTCTAAACCTGATAGAGGTTCTGAACTAAAAATAACATTAAGTGAATCCTGGTGTGTCTGAACTCAAGTGATTGTTACATTAAGCTGCTGTTGCAATCTGTTTCCTCACCTGGGAAAAGAGGAGCCAGGACATAGTGAGTTGAGGCCCCAGGAAGATAACTGAATTCTCAGAGGGCACAGCCAGCATCCTCCTCCCAGGGAGAGTCTAAAAGACTGGGGCCTCCCTCATCCCTTTTCACTTCTCCATACAGAGGCACCACCCCCATGCAAATCTCACTTAGGCACCCACAGGAAACCACCACACATTTCCTTAAATTCAGGGTCCAGCTCACATGGGAAATACTTTCTGAGAGTCCTGGACCTCCTGCACAAGAACATGAAACACCTGTGGTTCTTCCTCCTGCTGGTGGCAGCTCCCAGATGTGAGTGTCTCAAGGCTGCAGACATGGAGATATGGGAGGTGCCTCTGAGCCCAGGGCTCACTGTGGGTCTCTCTGTTCACAGGGGTCCTGTCCCAGCTGCAGCTGCAGGAGTCCGGCTCAGGACTGGTGAAGCCTTCACAGACCCTGTCCCTCACCTGCGCTGTCTCTGGTGGCTCCATCAGCAGTGGTGGTTACTCCTGGAGCTGGATCCGGCAGCCACCAGGGAAGGGCCTGGAGTGGATTGGGTACATCTATCATAGTGGGAGCACCTACTACAACCCGTCCCTCAAGAGTCGAGTCACCATATCAGTAGACAGGTCCAAGAACCAGTTCTCCCTGAAGCTGAGCTCTGTGACCGCCGCGGACACGGCCGTGTATTACTGTGCCAGAGACACAATGAGGGGAGGTGAGTGTGAGCCCAGACACAAACCTCCCTGCAGGGAGGCGGAGGGGACCGGCGCAGGTGCTGCTCAGGACCAGCAGGGGGCGCGCGGGGCCCACAGAGCATGAGGCCGGGTCAGGAGCAGGTGCAGGGAGGGCGGGGCTTCCTCATCAGCTCAGTGCTCTCCCTCCTCGCCAGCACCTCAGCTGTCCCCAGGACTCCTCTTTCTTTATTATCTGTGGTTCTGCTTCCTCACATCCTTGTGGTAGGAAAGGAAGGAGGAAGGCAAATTTTCCTCTTAGAGTCAAAGTGTCACTAATTACTAGGAACTTTCCTACAAGTTCCTGAATGTCCCATTTTTCCTTCTTAATTAAAAAAAATATATATTCTAATACTTCTCACCATCTCTTGATTTGTGTCATCAGTTGAATTGTGCTGTCTTTGAAATTCAAATGCTGAAACCTTAAATCCAATTGATCTATATTGGAATTTTAAGGATGGAATTAAGGTTAAATGTGATCATAAGTCTGAGATTCTAATGCAATAGATCTGTTGTCTTTATAAGAAGTGGAAGAGTCACCAGAGACCTCTCACTTTTCCCGTGCACGCAGAGAAGAGGCCATGTGGAGACATAGTGGACTAGAAGGTGCAAGCCAAGAAGAAGCCGCACCAAGAACCAACCCTGCCAGCACCTGGACCTTGGACATTCAGACTTCAGAATGGTGAGAAAATCAATGTTTGTTGTTTAAGCCACCCACTCCTGTTGTCTTCTTATGAAGACCCAGACAGACTAATACCACATAACTCTGTTAGCTCCTGGAGGGAGAAGCAGCTCCCTGAGGCTGGGCACATCTCTCAGATATCCATATGAAGTAGGCAGAAATAGTAGTTCTCATATAAAAATGTGTCATGGCCCTGTTGGCCATTTTTTTTTGACGGAGTCTCGCTCTGTGGCCAGGCTGGAGTGCAGTGGTGCAATCTCAGCTGACTACAAACCCCGTCTCCTGGGTTCAGGCAATTCTCCTTCCTCAACCTCCTGAGCAGCTGGGACTACAGGTGTCCACCACCATGCCAGCCTATTTTTTTTTTGTATTTTTAGCAGAGACAGGGTTTCACTGTGTTAGGGTGGTCTCAAATCTCCTCACTGCATGATCTGCCTGCCTCGGTTTCCCAAAGTGTTGGGATTACAAGTGTGAGCCACCGCACCTGGCCCCTGTTGGCCATTCTTGGGGCAATGTCTCTGAAACCAGCCCTGGTGCCTGTACCACAAAATTTTCTTTTATCTTTCATGTGGATATAACAAATGGACAATGAGGACCAGCTGCATGGAGACTGACCACTGAACATCTTCTGCTGTCTCCTAAGTAAGTCACAGGAAAACACACCAACATCACCAACATAACTGTTTTCCTTCAACTTCCTCGAACGAACTATAGAAATGATCCCTTAAAGTATAGTCTATTCCTTCAACTTTCTCAATTTGCACTGAATCCCTTCCTAAATTAGGAGCTACATAGGGTCTGAGTTTTGTTCCCTTTCTCCCAGTCTTCCCCAAGTATCAAGGACAGAATAGATTTAAATTAAATTTGGCCGTCCATGCCCCCAACACCACATCGGTTTCTAACATCCTTGTCATGTACCCATCCTTCTGTGGGCACCCCACATCAGGTTGCCCAGGAATGGCCAGAAGGTGTCATCACCTTATGGGCTGAGGCTACAAGTTATACACACGTGTGATTTCAGTCACACACACTCTACTGCAGGACACACCTGTGTTCTGAGGAACTCAGGCGCCTGCTGATCTCAGGTCTTCTCTAATAAATTACACACCTCTTATGAATGAAGGTCCAGATGGCCCCATCAGCTGCAGAGCAGTGGATTAAAGCTCATGGGTGGGTCAGTCAGGCAGAAGTCAGACAATGGGATAATAGAAGTCAGACAATAGTCACTGAGGTTCCCAATGTATTTTAATGGAATAAAACAATATTAGCAACAAAGGGGCAGTAAAGAAGACTGGCTCTTGAAGGTATTTAAGGACCAGGAACTTTATTTGGGGGGAAAGTGAGAGACACTTTTACATGGAAAGCCCTAAAGCACATACAGCAGCTGACAGAGTGGCCACTGTGCACATGAGGGCTGAGGAGACGGATGATAGGTTACGTTGCTCCAAGATGTCCCTGGGTGTGTGATGGTTGGACTCCTCATGCATATGAAAATAAGAGCTGGACTCAGGGAGAAACAAGGGCCATACCCCATAGAAAAGGAAGAAAAAAAGCAGATGGGCACCCCTGGAGAGAGCTCATTAGATTTGGTAGGTTTGAGATGAAAATTACTTCCAAAGGTTTTAATGTTCTAAGCTAAATATGAATCTCTTCAATAAAGTGAGAATTAAAAGAAGAATGGAGCTAGGAGTTGAGAGAGGAAACAAATTATGAGAGAGCAGAAAGCAAATCCACCCAAACTGTCACATGACAGAGGCCAGAATGGAGCTGATGCAGCTACTTCACTATTCTGCAGACCTAGTTGACCATGTGGAGAAGGGGTTCGAACAAACGGGGATGTTCTCCAACCTTCCAAAACAACCTCCTTCTTATGCATATGCAGTAATCATGATTCTCAGGGTGGCCTTCCCAAGTTTCCTGTTCTTACCTCTTCCCCCAGGGGTAGAGTGTCTTTTCCAACCCACAGTGGTTTCTCTGCCATGTCCTCAGCTTCTCCTCCATTGTACTTAACCTGAAGATTAAGGATTTCATCTGGATGGAGTTTCCTGGGAATCCTCTGTTTTCTTTGGTTTCTGATGACCACATCACAGGCCATAGGACACAGGTTTTAGTGGATTTCCCCTGGAGACAGTGGAGGTGAATCCAGGCGTTCCACAGTCCTTACCGTTCTTCTCTTCCTGTCAGCACCGCAGGACAGCAGATAAGGGAGCTGACTGTGGATTTTTCAGATCCCCGGGAAAAAGCCTGCAAGGACTAATAGTTTCACATCTAACACCATTAGCACATGCATCCAAAATTAAAAAAAAAATCCTCACTAAATATTTCCAGGTTAGCCTGTTCCTCTCTCAATACCATACCGTGGCACCTGCCCTGGGTTCGGTAACATGTGGGCCCCAGTCCTCTCTGTAGGCGTCTGCCTCCTCAGATTTCAGTCCTCTTTTTTGCTCCGTGAAAGCAACTCAGATATGTTAAAAGGTTTTCTTCTTCATTTATTCATAATTTTTCAGGTTTGTTGTTAATGAGGAAAGAGTAAGATCATGGTTTCCTCATTTTTCACATTCCCATACTGAGTAACTGCTCTCTCTCTATGAAAGCCAGAAATTAAGAGAACAACTCAAGTATCCATATCCATTACAAGTGAATGTTAGACAATTTGATGTATGATTATGAACTAAAGTACAACACAGGATTAGAATCCAGGCATCCTCATTCTCATAAAATCATGGCTGCATTCACAAATAACTGTGCTGAGTGAAAGTAGCTAACAAATTAACAGTGCACTTCATAAACTTCTATTTGTATAAACTGCAGAAGGTACAGCTATTCTAAAGCAACAGAGAAGATTACATATTGGTGGGAACTGGGTTTTGAAAGTAATGGGGTGGTGAGATGAAATTACAGAGAAGTGACACAAAGATTTAGGTGTGAATTGTACACAAATTAATTGAAGCTCTGATTAAAGGGTTGCACACATGTTACCATTTTCCAAATTATGCAGTATATATTTGAATTAATTATTAATTGTATTTAAATAAAGCAGTAACAAAGAAACAAATGAATACATTTATTGAGGTGGAGCCAAAACTAAATGGGAATGAACACTCGAAACATCTCTGACTCTTGAAAATACACAAGCGTGAACACTGGTTCTCTCTATGTATTTCAGGTCAATAGCAGAATACACTAAAAGAAAACAGAGATGTCCTGGCAGGGGTGGAATCCTGCAGACCTCACTAGGCATGTCTCACACTGCCCTGGAGTTGTCTCAGGGGAGCAGTCTCCTCTAGTGGTCAGAGGCACAGGCCGAGATAATGGGGCTAACTCTGTCCAGCTGTGTGACCTTGAATGCATTGTATAAACACTCTGTTCTCTGTGTGATTTATCTTCCTTAAAATGTGACATTGACACTTGCATTAAATGTATTCTACAAATATGTCAAAAAGATGATGACTGCTAAATGATTATCAAGGCACAATCATATAATATAATGATATTTTCCTGAGTGATAAGATGACTACCAATCTCCCCCAGGGCACTTTGTCTGCTCTGAGCCCTGCACCTCCTCAGGATTCCCATCCCAGAGCTTGCTATACAGTAGGAGACATGCAAATAGGTTTCTCCCTCTGCTGATGAAAACCAGCCCAGTCCTGACCGCACAGCTCTGGGAGAGAAGCGCCAGCCCTGGGATTCCCAGGGGTTTCTATTTGGTGATCAGGACTAAAGACAGAGGACCCACCATGGAGCTTGGGCTGAGCTGGGTTTTCACTGTTGCTGTTTTAAAAGGTGAACTAGAGAGATTGAGCGTGAGTGGATACCCTTGAGAGAAATGGTGGATTATGTCTGGGAGTTTCTGACCAGGATGTCTACGAGTTTGCAGGTGTCTAGTGAGAGGTACAGCTCGTGGAGTCCGGAGAGGACCCAAGACAACCTGGGGGATCCCTGAGACTCTCCTGTGCAGACTCTGGATTAACCTTCAGTAGCTACTGAAGGAACTCGGTTTCCCAGGCTCCAGGGAAGGGGCTGGAGTGAGTAGTAGATATACAGTGTGATGGAAGTCAGATATGTTATGCATAATCTTTGAAGAGCAAATTCACCATCTCCAAAGAAAATGCCAAGAACTCACTGTATTTGCTAATGAACAGTCTGAGAGCAGCGGGCACAGCTGTGTGTTACTGTATGTGAGGCACCAGGTAAGAAGACATCAGTGTGAACACAGACACAGTTTCCTGCAATGATAAGGGAGGAGGCTGGGCTAAAAGGGGCACTCAGGACCCACTGAAAACGGGCAGCTCTAGGGCAGGTACAGATGGTTATCATGGGCTGCTTTCCTTCGGGGTCTGTGGCTTCCTCTGCATCTACCAGTTCCCCTCGGAGCCTCTGGACATTTATGTTTCTGTGGCCACCCCTGACATCTCTGGATTAGAAAAGTTTATTATAGGAAGAGGAAACATTTTCATTTGTCCCAAAGCAGATGTAAGTAATGGAAGCAAAAAATGCACAGGAGGCCAGGTGGGGCTGTAGATACTGTCACCCCAGAATGTCAATCTCACCACTAGTACTGGAGAGGCATGGGAGTTTGATGGAGCTTCCCTAACAACTCTGTCTTCCAAGATAAGTCCAGCAAGACCATTGGTGCCTCCCAGAGCACAGTTGTCCATCAGGGATGTCCAATGCTTCCCAGCAGCAGCCATGCCTCAGTGTCTCCACTGTGCACAGCCACTGTCTGGGAGGAGCTCCCAGGATGGGTGTCTTTGGCACACACCAGGTGGCGGGTGTTAAGAGTGCAGTGCAGCAGCTGGCTGCCTGGTCTGTTGGGCCTGATGCTGGAGAGATGGGAGGTGCATTCTTGGGGCCAGCATGCTGTTTGTGAATTTTTATATAAAAACTCTGATTTTACTTCATTTTCGCAGATGACATAGATAACTAAAAACAGAATCTGCAAAGAAATTGTAATTTTCAACTTTACCCCAAATTCATTGTTTCTTAATTCTGTGCAAGATCCAGACATATTATTGCCTTCCTCATGATAATTTATTCTATGTAAAACCGAAATCATTTTTTCTCCTACTCTTTGTTTCTGTTCAAGTACAGAGATCTTGAGCAAAGTAAGTTGGGTTCTTTCCACACACTAACCCTCACCTTCCCCAGAGAATGAGCAGAGATTGTCCTCAGTCTGAGTCTAAGGGAGGAGCTGTTTCTGCACAACTCAGAGCCTGCAGAGACCCCCAGGTGCAGCTTCAGTGAGTCAGACATTTCTCCATGTGGGCGACCTCCAGTGCCTGTGACTGCTGCTCAGGCCTAATTGTTGGTTAAGCATTAGGACACTCTTTAGGTGATCACATCTCAAGCCTATTCTGAAAATCACCATGATCAGAGATAGTTCAATGGCCATTCTCCTAACATAAGTTTCTCTTTATTACTTGGTTCCAAGTATGGAGAAAAATGTGACCCTATATTTGTCTGAATCCAACATCAGCATCAACTGCATTATGCTAGGAGACTCACTAATTGAGCACAAGTGAGCTCGTTATTCTCATAGAAATGTAAGTATTTGGAAATTTCAGTGTGTTCTCCAGAACCTGTGGCTGCCAACAACTGTATTTCTCGGTGCACTCTTGGCCTGGTGAAGCCTTCACAGAACCTCTCCCTCACCTGTGCCATCTCTGCATTCTCCATCACAACCAGTGTTTCCTTCTGGAGCTGCATCCATCAGCGCCCCCATGGGAGGTACTGGAGTGGATCGGGTGCATAGGTCATGGAGGGAGCACAAATTACTCCCCTCTTCTCAAGAGTCCAGTCACCATCTCCAGATCCATGTCCAAAAAGTAGTTCTTCTTACAGCTGAACTATGTGAGGAACAAACACATAGCCATGTATTTTAGAGCAAAAGACACAGTGAGGAAACCACAGTGTGAACTCATACCCAAGCCTCCCTGTGGGGGTGCATAGGACAGCCAGGGTTACTCAGGACACCAGGCTCCCTCAGGACACCAAGGGGCACTCAAGACCATTGTAGAGGCATGCAGGTAGCTGGGGGCTCTCAGGAACCATGGGGGAAAATCAGGACACCAAAGGGTGCTTGGTACAGCGGGGGGCTCAGGATTATTGTGGCGATTCAGAAAGAGCAGGTTCAAGGCTCAACCTCAGGGCATGTGCAGCTGGTGTGAAAAGGAGCTGGATGAGGCGTTTTGTGTCACCATCATGTTTCACCACCAGACACCCTCCACTACCTCTATTCTAATGCATGTGTTTGTATGATTAGAAAATGATATTGATATAAATATATAACCATAGCTAGGTGTGTCAAGTTGTCCTCTCCATCTTATATCAGCCTTGTCTGTAAGGACTAATTCCCCATAATTACTTGAGAACCTCATAAATTGTGGTCAATTATGTAGGATTCCTCTCTTTTTCTGCCTTCCTTCCTCCCTCATTCTCTCTCTCTCACACAGAAACTTATATACAGCCACCCCACAACACACATAAATCTATAACTTTTATTACCTGATGTATTGATAAGTAATCTAAAGTTACATAAAAATCAGTAGTTCACTGTCAATATTGTAGGAGAAGGGAAGGTCTAGGAAGGAGGAATTACAGAACAAGAGGATATTTTGAGGGTAATTGACTTGTTATCTATGTGGATAATGATAATGTCTATGACCATATTTGTAAAATTGAACACTTCGTGTGGAGACTATTATTTTTTTATTTAACCCCATGCCATTATTTTGCCGTATTCTAGCATTTCTCTAAAAATACAGAAATGTTCAGCACTCATTCATGTGTATATTCAGGAGTTTCTGACTTTTCATGTATTTTATTTATCTCTGTCTAATTGCTTTGATACCAAATTTTACCTAGTATAATTAGTACTACCTTTAGCACTGATTATAAGTCTCACTCCTCCATCATCTCCTTTTTTGCCACACAAGCTGAATCTAGTTTGGACTCATAGGAGCTGCTTCATTCAATGCCAGTGGTTGTTTCAAACCCTATCAACCCCCCTACAAACTGTCATTAAGAAAGTTTATCAAACTCCACCAGTCATGTGATATTAGTTCGTTTTCACAGTGGTATAAAGAACTACCTGAGACGAGGAGTTTACAAAGAAAAGAGGTTTAGTTGACTCACAGTGCTGCATGGCTAGGGAGGCCACAGGAAACTTATAATCATGGTGGAAGGTGAAGGCGAAGCACGGCACATCACACAGCGCAGCAGGAGAGAGAGGGGGAAGTGACACATACTTTTAAACTATCAGCTCTTGTGAGAAGTCACTCACTATGATGAGAACAACATGGGAAAACTGCCCTCATGATCCAATAACCTCTCACCTGGTCCCTCCCTTGACATGTGGGGATTAGAATTTGAGATGATATTTAGGTGGGGACACAAAACAAATCTATAGCACATGTCCAGCTGTGTCCTGGAGTTGTTTCAGGGATCCAGTGTGTACTGTTGATAGAAACAGTGATCATCATTCTAGCTGGTGTGAGATGGTATCTCCTTGTGGTTTAGATTTGCATTTCTCTGATGGCCAGTGATGATGAGAATTTTTTCATGTGTCTTTTGGCTGCATAAATGTCTTCTTTTGAGAAGCGTCTGTGAAAAAAAAAAAGAAACAGTGACACCAAGCTCACACCATCCGTTGTAGTTGACAACATGCAAAGCCAAGAGATCTCAACTGAGATTTAGTGTGTGTGTCATGTCTGATGAAGTCATAAGCTCAGAGCAAGTGAATATGGAAAAGTGTATTATCTGCACAGTGTAGGTGTCTGCTGAGTGCAGGGCAGGTCTCACAGGAAAATCTAAAATGGCTTGAAAGAAGAGGAAAGGAGACTGGCTCAGGGTTTTTATAATGGTTTAGTGGTGGCGGCAGAGTGAGGCTTCCCACTCACAGATCGGGGTTTATAAGGTTTGAAACTCCCACTGCCATTGAATGAAGAAGCTCCTGTGAGTCCAAACTAGATTCACCTTGTGTGGCAAAAAAGGAGATGATGGAGGAGTGAGCCTTAAGTAATCAACAGGCATGCACCAAAAGATAGAGTGACAACTTATTCTAGGTAGCAAGAATAAAAATAATGAAAAAGAAATAAGGGTTCAGTATCGATGGACAAGACCCAGATCTACAGAAATGAGATGACTTTAGAAATATAAGGAAATAATAATGAGAGAAAGAAGGAGGGGATGGGGAATTAGGGTCCTGGCCGAATGTCTTGGGTAGAAGCTTCTCACAATCAAGGACTATCAGCTTATTCTGCAGGTCTTAGGTCACACGTCTGCTTAAAAACATCAGAAATGCCAGGCAATCAATGAGGATGCTCAGTTTAGCATCTCCTATTTGAGTAGATTTACAGTTGTGTGGAATTCTTAATTGATTCTTTTTGGTTTGTTTTTAGAGGCAGGCTCTCACACTGTTCCACAGCTTAAAGTACAGTTGTGTGATCATAGCTCACTGTAATTTTGACCTCCAGACTCACGTAATCTTCCTGTATCAGCCTCCTGAGTATCTAGAATTAGAGGGGAATGCCACCCCTCACCTGCTTATTCTTTAAAATATTTTTTCATAGAAATAGCATCTCTTTATGTTGCCCAGGTTGGCTTCGATTTCCTGGTCTCATGTGATTTCCCTCACTTTGCTTCTGAAAGTGGTGTGATTATAGGGAAGATCCACTGCATCTGTCCTGAATTGATTCTTTACTTGTAAAACATGAAGCCAATAATTAACTGCCTGACTGTTTTGTGCAGTGAGTTAGTTAAAAGTTTCTGATAAGATTCCTTCCAATATGATTCAAGAGCAGTATTTTCTGCCGATATTCCTTTCAGTTTCCTTGTTGAAGATCAGAAGACACTGCGGAAAAGATGTAGTAAAAAGGCAGTTTTAACTCTTCATGATTGGAGTGGATATCACATAGGAATCCCTTTCCGTATTTTGTAACACATGCATGCAATAGAACAAAGATGATCCCTTGGTGTAAAATCTATAAACGTATGGGCCTTTTAGCTACCAAGTCATAGGGTAATAACTGATGGACCCTGAGGAGTGAACCATGATTCCATAGTGCTAGTGGGAGAACCCTTGGCCAAGGAAGTTCACATTTTATTAAAATTGATAATTTTTATGTAGGGATGCCATTTTTTAAACATTCCCAGAAGGTTGTGAGTGGGATTGACTCTGTCTTCTGTGAACAATGACAGTGCCCTCCATGGTTAGATAATATTTTAAACTAGATTGAGCTAGAATGGTTGCTGTATTGAATCACTATATTTTTTTAGCTTCATGTTAGCTTTTTGTGTGTTAGCATTTGCTTTAAAATGATATTAATCAGCCCTCTAGTAGGTAGAAATTCATCTGAGGGTTTCTTCCCTTGTTGTCCATCTCAATAGGATTTCCAGAAGACGTAAGAACCCTCTCTGTTTCTAAAAATATTCCAGGCTGGGCGCTGTGGCTCATGCCTGTAAACCCAGCACTTTGGGAGGCCGAGGTGGGTGGACCCCTCGAGGTTGGGAGTTTGAGACCAGCCTGGTCAGTATGGTGAAACCTCATTTCTACTAAAAATACAAAAATTCGCCGGGCATGGTGGTGTACACTCGTAATCCCAGCTACTTGAGAGGCTGAAGTGAGAGGATTGCTTGAACCCTGGAGGCGGGGGTCGCAGTGAGCCGAGATTGTGCCACTGCACTTCAGCCTGGGCGACACAGCGAGACTCCGTCTCAAACAAAACGACACAAAAAATTCCAAAGTTGTGCACCCTCTAAAAGCATACGTACTTAATTCTCATTTTTAATTTATTAAACATCTCTAATAAGTTCAATGTTTCCTGCCTTCTGAGTTGATTTCCTAACACATAGAAGAATATATCCTAAATGAAAGTTTGTGTTCTTAATAGAAATTACTAGTTAATAACCTTTACTTTTATTATTGAGGTATTATACATCAATGTTAATCCTCTCAATGGGACTCTTACCTAAAGAATATATAAAATATTTTCCTGATCATGACATAAAGTAGATGTGAACACATTCTTAGCATTCAGCCATGTCTCTTGTCTATTAATATTATAAACCACATGCTAACTTTGATTTTATTGGTAATTGTTCTAATTTCTTTTTTTTTCCCACTTCTCTGGTTGTTTTTTTTTTTAACTTTAAGTTTTAGGGTACATGTGCACAATGTGCAGGTTAGTTAGATATGTATACATGTGCCATGTTGGTGTGCTGCACCCATTAACTCGTCATTTAATATTAGGTATATCTCCTAATGCTATCCCTCCCCCCTCCCCTCACCCCACAACAGGCCCCGGTGTGTGATGTTCCCCTTCCTGTGTCCATGTGTTCTCATTGTTCAATTCCCACCTAGGACTGAGAACATGTGGTGTTTGGTTTTTTGTCCTTGCGATAGTTTGCTGAGAATGATGGTTTCCAGCTTCATCCATGTCCCTACAAAGGACATGAACTCATCATTTTTTATGGCTGCATAGGATTCCATGGTGCATATGTGCCACATTTTCTTAATCCAGTGTATCATTGTTGGACATTTGGGTTGGTTCCAAGTCTTTGCTATTGTGAATAGGGAATTGTTCTAATTTCAAACTAGTTAATTTTTATCTTCATGCAGCTAGATTATTATGTGTGGCTATTTATTCCGAGAGTGATAAAGACAACATTAACAATTTTCACTGCAGGCATGTCTAGGCAACTCCCTGTGCACTATGACCCTGGGGCGTTGGAGATTCTATGGGGACTCTTCCCTACCTGCCTAGGAGAGTTCTCTGCCTTCTACCTCTAGCATTTTCCTCTTTGAAGAAGTACATCTAACTGTCATTAGAATAGAGACAAAGACAAGTCTTAACTGCTTCCAGCTGAGGAGGGATGCTGTTTGGGGAAGATCTCTCTTGGAGGTCTAAGGGACCCCAGGAAAAGGGAGCCATTATCCCAGGCTTCAGTTGCATGACCATTTGGAGTTTGATGGTCTGAAAATGAGAAGAGGCAAATCTGGTTATTAGAAGACATGTATGAAAACCAAACAAGGTGGCAAGGACAGCTTGAAAGAAAATTCCAAGGCTGCTGACATTCCTAGATAACTGCAGCTGTAGTTATGCCTGCTAAGGTTTGGGCGCATGGGGCTTGGCTTTTGTCAGCTCCCTGGGATTTATTTTCCCAAACAAAGAAACCTCCAGGTTAGGGGCACCCTATTCATTCCCATCACCTGGCATGATTTAAAGGATAATTGCTTAGAATTAAAATATTGATCCAGATTTTTTATATTCCCCATCGCTTTTTGTTTCTTCTGGGCTGTAGCCAGAGATCATTGATTGGCGCTCAGGAATAAGCAGAGTTAGTCTAAAATGCAGGCAAATACTTAAACAACTGAAGAGATTAGAATTTAAAGACAAGTGTATGATATGTTTTGAAATACAATGTTTCTCTTTCCAGTTTTGGTTTTTGTCAGCAGCAAATAATGATAAGACTGAGTTGTTTGCAAAATAAACTTTAGTCTTAAACTTGGCCTGATTATTTGCATAAAGTGCAGCAAGAATATTAATAATAATTCTGTAGGAAAAGCCTGCAAGCACCAGGAGCTTCACAGTCTAACACTATGAGCACGTGCATCCTCACGCAACTCACTGAATATGTCCAAGTCAGCCTGTTCCGATCTTAAATGCCATCCAGTGGCATCTGCCCCAGGTACACTAATACATGGGTCCTGCTTCTCTCTGCAGCCGCCTCTCTCCTCAGATTTCAGGTTTTGTGTATTGTTTGTTTTCTCTCTGACATCAACACAGATATGTTGAAGGTTTTCTTTTTTTTATTTGTAGTTGTTCAGCTTTGTTGTTAATGAGGTCAGAATAAGCTCATAGTTTACACATTTTTACATTCCCATGCCGAGTAGCTGCTTTTCTCTATCAAATCCATTAACTGAGAGAACAATCACATTTCGTTACAGGTGAACAGTTAAATAGTTTGGCATATATTTCTGTGCTGGAATCTAATGCAGCTTGAAATCAAGTCATGCCTCACTCATTGAAAAAAACATGGCTAAATTCTCAAAGAATTGTGCTGAGTGAAAGAAACTAAGGAATGAAGAGTAAATTTTATATGATACATTTGTAGAAATTTTAGAAGATGCCACTATTATAAATTAACATGGAGAAGATTTAAATGTTTCTGAGAATATGCTATTGGGAGTAATGGGGATGTGAGTTAAATTTCAGAGGAATAAGAGAAAGATTTAGGGATTAATTTATTCAAACCTTGATTGAAGTGCTGAGTAAATGGTTGCAAACATAGGTCTACATTTTTCAAATCATTCACCATAAATTTGAATTATTTATTAATTACACTCGAATAAAGCAATAAAGAAACTGATGAGATAATATTTGACTGAATTGCAGCAATAAATAGATCGATATTAACACAAGGAATATAACTGACTTCCAAAAACATACACATGAACCGTGGTTCACTCTGCGTATTTAGGTAAATAACAGAAAGTTGTCATAACAGATGGGGAATCCTGCAGACTTCACTAGGCATGGGCCATGCTGCCCTGGAGTTGTCTCAGGGGAGCTGCCTCCTCCAGAGGTTAGAGCACAGGCCCAGGTAATAGGACTAAATTTTTAGATGTGTTATCTTAGACACACTGCACAACTGCTGTGTTCTCTATGTAAATTATCTCCTGTAAAATATAACATTGAAGCCTGCATTAAATATATTGTGTAAATATGTAAGAATAAAAGAAAGTTATGAGAGCTAAGTGTTAATCAAGGCACAAGCATATAAGATATAACTATATTTTCCTGAATGATGGAATTACTACCAGTCTCCCCCAGGACACTTCATCTGCCCTGAGCCCAGCCTCTCCTCAGATGTCCCACCCAGAGCTTGCTATATAGTGGGGGACATGCAAATAGGGCCCTCCCTCTACTGATGAAAACCAGCCCAGCCCTGACCCTGCAGCTCTGGGAGAGGAGCCCAGCACTAGAAGTCGGCGGTGTTTCCATTCGGTGATCAGCACTGAACACAGAGGACTCACCATGGAGTTTGGGCTGAGCTGGGTTTTCCTCGTTGCTCTTTTAAGAGGTGATTCATGGAGAAATAGAGAGACTGAGTGTGAGTGAACATGAGTGAGAAAAACTGGATTTGTGTGGCATTTTCTGATAACGGTGTCCTTCTGTTTGCAGGTGTCCAGTGTCAGGTGCAGCTGGTGGAGTCTGGGGGAGGCGTGGTCCAGCCTGGGAGGTCCCTGAGACTCTCCTGTGCAGCCTCTGGATTCACCTTCAGTAGCTATGGCATGCACTGGGTCCGCCAGGCTCCAGGCAAGGGGCTGGAGTGGGTGGCAGTTATATCATATGATGGAAGTAATAAATACTATGCAGACTCCGTGAAGGGCCGATTCACCATCTCCAGAGACAATTCCAAGAACACGCTGTATCTGCAAATGAACAGCCTGAGAGCTGAGGACACGGCTGTGTATTACTGTGCGAAAGACACAGTGAGGGGAAGTCATTGTGCGCCCAGACACAAACCTCCCTGCAGGAACGCTGGCGGGAAATCAGCGGCAGGGGGCGCTCAGGAGCCACTGATCAGAGTCAGCCCTGGAGGCAGGTGCAGATGGAGGCTGTTTCCTGTCAGGATGTGGGACTTTGTCTTCTTCTGACAGTTCCCCAGGGAACCTCTTAAATTTAGAAAACTGTGCCTAACAATGTCTTCTCTATGCATATGAGGACCTTTTCTCCCTGGCACAAAATGCAGATTGACGCTGACACGGATGAAAATTCCTCAACCATGGTCACAAGGATCAGAGTCCTGAGTAACCTCAGGGCTTCCTGGTGAGTCTTCTCCAATCAGACCCAGGACAGGGACCTCCGTGAGATTCCCTGACTGGAACAGTCTTTATGGATCCTGGTCACAGACAATAGAGAGGCTGAACCAGGGTCAGCGTCATGTAGAACCTCACAGATTTCACGTCTGATCCTTCTCCTGACACGAAAGTATGCAAATCAGTATCAGCACCGATCTGGTGCTTCTTTTGTTCCTAATCCATTTACTTTATTTTTTCGTCGTTTTTCTCCTTTTTCCATTTGTTTTTCCTGCTTTTTGCAAAAGGAAGATGTTTTCCCTGTGAGATGCAGGGGATGACAATTTTGGGAGATGGCTGGAACATCCAATATCCTCAGGGCCGGCCATCAGTAAGTGCAGGCTGGAAGTCTCAGAAAGAGCTGAAGCTGCTTAATCACCGTGGAGTTTTACCTTCTCCAGTTCTGCTCTGATGGAATCAGGGCCAAGCAGGTTATCAATGATAATCTACCTAACATAGAGTCAACCGATTCCAGTTTCAATAACGTCTGTTAAAAATTCACACCACCACCTGGATTAGTGTTTTGTCAAATCAATACACAGTATTGTCCAGCTAAGTAGACCCAAAGACGGACCGTTGCCCATGGAGAAAAACATTAACCTGAGTTCTAGGTTCTTACAGTGTTAAAGGTGTAAAACTGATTATTAAAAATGAGGCTATTTTTCTTTTTGCTGTTGAGTTGTAGAAGTTTCTTTTCCATTTGGACATTAAAACTTTTTGAGATATATGGCATATTATCCAATTCTGTAAGTTGTAGTTACTTGGTTGCTTTGCAGAATCTTTTTCATAATCTATTCCCACTTGTTCAATTCTGCTTTTTTTTTGTAGGTGATTTGAATGTAAAATCCAGAAAAAGATTGCTAATTTTTTGAGGGTTGAGAGTTTTACAATTACAGGTATTAAAGTTAGATATTTGAGGCATTTGGAGTGAATTTTTGTGTTTATTCTAACCTAAAATTCTTAATTCTTTTCATGGGAAAATCCAGTTTTCATACCACCCTCTTTGGAAGACACTACAATTTAGCCATGTTATATTGATGGTTCTCATGCTAAAAATCAGCTCGTCATCAATATGTGGGTTTATATCTAAGCTCTGTATAGGTATTTATGCCAAAACTTTCTATGTTTTTAACAAATGTTAAGGCCTGGAAGTGAAATGCCTAAAGCTTTCTTCTTGCCTTGTTACAGATATTGGACCAAAATATTCTAACCTTTTACTATTGAGTGTAATAATAGCTGTGGCCTTTCTTAACGGCTTTTATTATGTTCAAGTTGTTTTCTTGTCTTCCTACTTTGTTCATAGTTTTTATAATGAAACTGATTTTTTTCAAAGTCTTTTTCTGTGTCTGATGAAATGTTACTGAGGTATTTTTTCTTTAGTTTTTTAATGTGGTGTACCAAATTGGTTGATTTGAGAATGTTGAATCAAGTATGCATCTCAGGAAGAAATTTGAGTTGGTCATGGTGTATGTCTTCTAAAACACTTTGGAGCTTAGTTTACTATTGTTGGGGATTAATTCATGTCTACTAATGATATTGGTCTGTAGTTTTCTTTTATTGTGGTGCCTTTGTCTATTACTGGTAATACTATCATGGTAGCCTCATAGAAAGAGTTTAGAAGATATATGGCAGACTACCTTTAAAATAGATTTTATCAGTGGAGAAATGGTGATAGTTTTTTCTTCACTTTTCTGTTGGGAAGAATTTTATGTTGTTTAAAAGATATTCAGAATGACTTAACCTGGTTTATGAGCTTTCATTCTATTCCTTTCTTCCATTCTTTTTTTTTTTTTTTTTTTTTTTTTTTTTTTTTTTTTTTTGAGACGGAGTCTCGCTCTGTCGCCCAGGCTGGAGTGCAGTGGCGGGATCTCGGCTCACTGCAAGCTCCGCCTCCCGGGTTCACGCCATTCTCCTGCCTCAGCCTCCCAAGTAGCTGGGACTACAGGCGCCCGCCACTACGCCCGGCTAATTTTTTGTATTTTTAGTAGAGACGGGGTTTCACCGTTTTAGCCGGGATGGTCTCGATCTCCTGACCTCGTGATCCGCCCGCCTCGGCCTCCCAAAGTGCTGGGATTACAGGCGTGAGCCACCGCGCCCGGCCTCTTCCATTCTTTTTGAAGAACTGCTTACCTTTCCTATTTATTTTTAAGTTTGTTTTTAGACGTATGCAATACATTTTGAGGTGAAACCTGGTGGAATTTTTTCTAATAAATTAGAAAAAAATAAATCATTTAATTGACTATTTTATTCAGGTTGATTTGTTTAATATTTGCTAAAGGCCAGTTCTTTAAGCTATGACACATAATAAATCCCAAATGGCAGTACCTCATTGTTTACTTAGCTTTTGTACTTATATTTCTCAGAGGAAGAACCACTACTGTAAATTGTAAATAGCCAATACATAATTGTATTGTATGCAAATCTGTGACTGTTTACAGTGTCATCTCTGAGAAACATAAAGTTTATTTACTATATATATATAAAGAGTTTGGAAGGTGGACTCCTCACCAATTTTTGAAAGAGTTACAGAAGGGCTGGCATTACTTCTTTAAATGTTAAGGTTCATTTTATGATGTGACATATAACCCATCATGGAGAATGTTCAATGTGTTCTTGAGAAGGATGTGTATTACGTGACTCTTGGTTGGAAGGTTCTGTAAATATCATTCAGATAAATTTGTTCAATAGTGTTGTTCAAGTTCAGAGGCACATTAGGAATTTTCTTTCCGGATTTGCTATACATTATGGTCATGAGGTATTAAGGTCTTGTGTTATTTTTGTATTGTTTTCTATTTCTTTATATCTCTTACAGTTTGCTTAATGCAGTTATATTTGTATTTGTACACATGTGTAAAAACAAAAATCATAATTGCTAAATGAGTTTTATGGCACAGTCACATTATAAGTAATATTTTTCCAAATGCTACCATTGCCACTAAACTCCTCCTGGAGTCTGACGTCTGCTTTGGGCACTGCCTTCTTCTCAGGCATCCCACACTGGAGCTTGCTATAGAGGAGGAGGGAGGGCCCCTCTCCTGGTGAAAACAAGCCCAGACCTGACCCTGCAGCTCTGGGAGAAGAGCCACAGCCCTGGGATTCCCAGGGGTTTCCATTTGGTAATCAGGACTGAACACAGAGAACTCACTATGGGGTGTGAATTAAGCTGAATTTTTCTTGTTGGTATTTTAAAAGGTAACTCATAGGGAACTAGAGTGAGTGAGAGTGAGTGGATATGAGTGAGAGAAACAGTGGATATGTTTGCCAGTTTCTGACCAGGATTTGTTTGTATTTTCAGGTGTTCAGTGTGAGGTGGAGCTGATAGAGCCCACAGAGGACCTGAGACAACCTGGGAAGTTCCTGAGACTCTCCTGTGTAGCCTCTAGATTCGCCTTCAGTAGCTTCTGAATGAGCCCAGTTCACCAGTCTGCAGGCAAGGGGCTGGAGTGAGTAATAGATATAAAAGATGATGGAAGTCAGATACACCATGCAGACTCTGTGAAGGGCAGATTCTCCATCTCCAAAGACAATGCTAAGAACTCTCTGTATCTGCAAATGAACAGTCAGAGAACTGAGGACATGGCTGTGTATGGCTGTACATAAGGTTCCAAGTGAGGAAACATCGGTGTGAGTCCAGACACAAAATTTCCTGCAAAAAGAAGAAAGGAGTCTGGGCCAAAGGGGACACTCAGCACTCACAAAACAGGTGCAGCCCCAAGGCAGGTGCAGATGGAGGGAGGGTAAGGGCTGCTTTCCTTCAGGATCTGTGGTTTCCTCTGCTTCTAATATTTCCCCTCTGAGCCTCTGTACATTTATATTTTGTGCCCACCATGAGGTCGCTGGATTAGAAAACTAATTTGAAAGAGGAAATATTCTCATATGTCCTAAAAACAGATGTAAGTATTGGAGGCATAAAAATGCATAGGAGCCGGGTGTGTCTGTAGACACTGCCACCCCCAATGCCAGACCCACAACTAGTGCTGGAGAAGGGTGGGAGTTTGATGGAGCTTCCCTGATGACCCCGTGGTCCAAGCTAAGTCCAGCAAGGCCATTGGTGCCTCGCTGAGCACAGTTGTCCATCAGGGATCTCCCATGTGTCCCAGCAGCAGCCATGCCTCAATCTCTCCACTGTGCACAGCCATTGTCTGGGAGGAGCTCCCAGGATGGGTGTCTTTGGCACACACAGTTGATGGGTGTTAGAGTGCAGTGCAGCAGCTGGCTGCCTGGTCTATTGGGCTCCTGGATATTGGAGGGATTTGAGGTGCATTCTCAGGGCCAGCACGCTTTGTCAATTTTTATATGAAAACCATGTGATTTAATTCATTTTCTCAGATGACATAGATAATTAATAACACAATCTGCAAACAATTATAATTTTCAACTTTACCCCAAGTTCATTGTTTCTGAATTCTGTGCAGGATCCAGACATGGTACTGCCCTTCTCATGAGAAACTGTTCGATCTAAACTGAAACCAGTTGTTTCTCGTATACTTTGGTTCTCCCCACATGCAGAGATCTTGATTAGAGCAAGTTTGGTACTTTCCACGCACTCACCCTCACCTCCCCAGATAAAGAGCAGAAGTTCTCCTTAGACTGAGTCTGAGGGAGGAGCTGTTCCTGTACCACTCAGGGCCTGCGGAGACCCCCAGGTGCAGCTTCACTGAGTCAGGTGTTTCACTCCCTGTGATTGCTGCTCAGGTCTAATTGTGGCTCGGAATTAGGACAGTCTTCAGGTTATCACAGGTCAATCATATTCTAAAAATCATCGTTATCACACACCATGGTAACAATTCAAGGTTCATTTTTCTAACGGCAGTTTCTCTTTTTTATTTGGTTGCAAGTTTGAGGAAAGGAACATGTGATAATACTTTTTAACCTAACCTCGAAATCTACTGAATTGTTCTAGGAGACTCACAAATTGGACAAAGTGAGCTCTTTATTCTCATAAAAATGTGTGGTTTTGGGAATTTCACTGTGTTGCCCAGAACCTGTTAACATCAACAACTATGTTTCTCAGCACACTTCTGGCTTGAGACGTCCTTGCAGACCCTCTCCCTCACCTGCACTGTCTCTGGATTCCCCATCATAACCAGTGTGTCCTGCTAGAATTGTATCTGCTTGCCCCTAGAAGATGGACAGGAGTGGATCAGGTGCATGGGTTGTGAAGGGAGCACAAATTACAACCCACTGCTCAAGAGTCCATATCCAGATCCAAGAAACAGTTCTTACAGCTGAGCTCTGTGCCCAGTGAACACACAACTACGCATTTTTAAGCAAAAGACGCAATGAAGGGCCTTCATTGTGAGCCTAGACACAACCCTCCCTGCAGGGGTGAATAGGAGCAGCAGGGGGCATTCGGGGCAGTATGGGGGCTTAGGATGATTGTTAGGGGTCAGGATGAGCAGGATCAAGGCTTCGCATCAGGGCAAGTGCAACAGGGCAGAAAAGGGGCTGTAGATGTGGGTTGTTCTCACCATCATATTTCACCACCAGACACCCTCCACTACATCTCTTCTAATGTGTCTGAGTGTTGATATGATTAGAAAATGGCATTTATGTAAATACTAATATGTACCCATATGGAGGTGCATCCAGTTGTCTTCTCCATCTTATGTGGACCTTGTCCATCAAGCACTAAGTCCCTGTATTTACTTGAGTACCTCACACATTATGGTCAAAACAGGTAGGGTCTCCTTTTGGCATGGTCTCTCCTCCTGCCTTCTCTCTTCTGTCACACAAAAACACGTGAACTGACACACACACAGAGCTTCCCAACTTTAATTATGTGATGTATTGAAGCAAATTGATTAGTGTGCAGCTTTTCTGCTTTGCCTGCTATTCATGTTATGTAAAAATAAGAACCATGTTTTTCTCAGCTTGTCACTTCTCTAAGCTAAGTAGCATCTTTGTTTATTATACCCAGAGACCAAAAGCGATCCAACTGTTATTCAGCAGCTTAACTGGTAAACAAATTGTGGAAAATTCACTTACTGGAATCATACCCACTGCTACAATCAAGTAATGCTGGATACACCCAACACCATGCTTAAAATAGCAAGTACTTGAATAAGTAAAATAAGTCAGACAAATAAAAGTGCATACATACGATTCCACTTCTATAATTTCTATAAAGTAAAAATGAACTTAAAGTTACATAAAAAGATCTGTAGTTGACTGGGGACATGGTACAAGAAGAGAAGGTATAGAAAGGAGAAACTACAGGAGAACAAAAGGAAATTTCTAGGATAATTGATTTTTTTCTCTGTTAGTAAAAGTGAGGATTATGTCAATATTTGTAAAATTGTACACTTTATGTAAAGATTCTTATTTGCTAATTTCACCTCATTAAAATATTGCAATTTTTTAAATGTCTAGTTTGGTAGAAAAGGTAGTAGAGAGAGATGAATAAAATACATAAAAATCAGAGAGTCCTGAATACACACATGAATGGACCCTGGGTCTCACTGTACTTTTAGGGAGACACTAGAATACAAAAACATAATGACAGGATTTCAGTACATGAAAGGAGCTTCTCAGACCCCAGGAGGCATGTCCAACTGCGTCTGGGAGTTAACTCAGGGAGCAGGCATGTCCTTTGGAAGGAGCCGTGACACCAAGCTCCCAGCATCCATTGTAGCCGACACCATGCCAATGCCAAGAGATCTCAACTAAAATTTTCTGTGGATGTTGAGTCTGATTATGCCACACACTCACACCAAGTGAGTATGGAAAGGATAGTTACCTGCATCCTTAAGGTGTCTGCTGAGAGCAGGGCAGGTCTCTCATTAAGGTCCAAAGTGGCTTGATAGGGCAGGGAAGGAGACTGGCTCAGGGTTGTTATCATGGTTTGGTGGGGAGCGGGGCAGAGCATCCTACTTGCAGGAAGGGTTTTGTGGGGTTTCAAGGCCAAATTGGCATCAAATGAGGGAGCTCCTGTGATTTCTAACTAGATTTACCTTGTATGCTTAAAAAAAGAGATGATGGAGGAATGAGCCTGAAGTTATCAGCAGTCAGGCCTAAACACAGAGTCTGATGACTTACTCTAAATAGCAAGTATACAAATGATGAGTAAGAAAAGAGACAAGACTCCAATATGGGTGGACAACAGCCAGGTCTGCAGAAAATGAGAAGACTGTTTATAAGCAAAGAATAATGAGTAGGATATGGAGGAGGATTCTGGTCCAATGTCTTGTGTGGAAGCTTCTCATGATTTGAGATCATCAGCTTATTCTGAAGGTCTTAGGTCACCTGTCTTCTTCAAAATATCAGAAGTGCCTGATGATATGTGAGGATGCGCAGTTTAACTTCCTCTATTTGAGTAGCTTTACAATTGTGTAAAATTCTTAATTAATTAATTTTTTTTTGAGACGGAGTCTCACTCTCTTGTGCAGGTTGGACTGCAGTGGTGTGATCATAACATAGCTCACGGTGATTTTAAATTCCTGGCTCATAGAATCCTCCCACCTCAACCTCCTGACTAGCAAGTAGCTAGGTTTCCAGGGCCCTTCATCTACACTTGGCCGGTTCTTTACATTCTTTTTTTTTTTTTTTTTAGGTGGAGTTTCCCTCTTCTTGCCCAGACCGGAGTGCAATGGCGCCATCTCAGCTCACTGCAATCTCCCCCTCCCAGGTTCAGGTGATTCTCCTACCTCAGCCTCCAGAGTAGCTGGGATCACAGGCATGTGACACCATGCCCCGCTAATTTTGTATTTTTAGTAGAGATGACGTTTCTCCATGTTGGTCAGGCTGGTCTCAAACTCCCTACCTCAGGTGATCCTTCCACCTCAGCCTCCCAAAGTGCTGGAATTACAGGCGTGAGGCACCACACCTGGCCTCTTCGTTTTTATTCATATATTCCTTCAGCAGCCACTATGTCTTCCCACTGATTTCTTCAGTTTCTGCCTTTTCCTTTTGAATAAGGCTGTTACTCCTGAGGGAAGATGGGAGGTGGGCCTGGACAGGGACTTGGTGCATTCCTCTCTCCCCTCCCAGTTCTTATTGGTTTCTCCAGTGTCTGTAGAACAGTGGTTTTGATGGCTTTACCTCTGCAGATAATTTCTCTTGCAATGTAGTGCTGATGGGGAGGTGTGTCTGGATGCACTTCACCTATAGTTGCTGTTTTGCTTTCCCAGACAGCACCATCCCAAGGGGTAGAGGGTGGAGCATTTTGTGATGTATCCCCAGTACTGAAGAAAAAGCCTTCAATAGCAGGAGGAATTCCTCAACTGCATACACTCTGAGAATTTAAACAATAACTTCTCTATCACACTCAAATTGAAACCACCCAATGAATATGTCTACTTTAATCGTGTGCTAACTTAAATGACATTTGGCAGCCTCTGTCCCAGAAAAGATTATCATCTGCTCCTGTTTATTTCCCTGCAAGTCTTTATGTCTGTTCAGATTTCAGATATATTGTTTGTCCTATAACATCAAAAATTTGATGTATATATGCTAATTTGCAGATCAGTAAGTTTAGTATTTGTTATAAGAATAGTAACATATTTTTATGGGGTGCTTACATCTCCAAGCTGAGAAGCACCTCTGTGTAATACTAAGCAACTAGAAATGGTACAAATATCAAGAAGATACATAGATAAACAGTAATGGCATGCTAATTTATGGTAATAACATCCATCATTAGAATCAATACATTGTTGATGCTCAACATGTGTGCATCATAAGTAGTTATGTGCGAGAAGCCACACAAATAAAACACATACTATGTAATTCCTGTATAATAAATTCTTGAAACTCAAAACTAAGGTATTAAATGTGAAGGACTGACTCAGAATATGGTGGAGGAAGAAAATAATTGGGAAGGAGGAATTGTAGAGGAACACAAGGAAACTTTTAAGTGTAATTTGTTTATTCATTATTTGGATGGCTTTTGGGGATGCACAGGTGAGCACGAGTGGAATAACATTTTGTTTTGTTTGTTTGTTTGTTTTTTTCTGAAGAGATGTGGTCCTACTCTGCGACCCAGGCTGGAGTGTAGTGGTGGGATCATAGTTCAATGTAGCCTCCAACTTCTGGTCTCCAACAATACTCCTGCATCTGCCATCTAAGTAGCTGGAACTACCGTTGTTTGCCAGCAGGCTTGGCTTGAGTACTTATTAAACCGCACACTTTTTGCAATATTTAATGTATAGTAATAATGTCTCAATAAGACTATTACAAATCAATGAATGAATAATTTGTTCTGTACAGATTTATGGAAAAATAGACACTAACATGATGAATGACTGACATTTATGAAAATACAGCTGCATGAAATGTGCTTCTCTTTACATTCATTAGGTAAACACAATAGTGCATACACATCACACCGTGCTTTCATTACAGGAAGAAAGATCTGAAAATGTCACTGGGGTGAACCATATTGTGCTGGGCTTGGTTCAGGAAGCAGTCAGGCCCAGTGTTGTGACCTTCAACCACAGAATCCTAAAAAATAATAAAAGAGGCTCCCCCAAAGTCCCCATCAGTTCCTGGACTCGCCATGTGTCTGGGCCGTATCAGTGCATCCGGAGCTCCCTGGTGGCTTTAGGGATTCCTTGCTTGCCATGCTGAGGTCTCGCTATAGATTATGTTGGGTTTTCTGAGGCCGTTTTGCTATTTAAGACCCACTCCCTGGCACAGAGCGATTCCCTCTAAACCTGATAGAGGTTCTGAACTACAAATAACGTTAAGTGAATCCTGGTGTGTCTGAACTCACATGATTGTTACATTAAGCTGCTGTTGCAATCTGTTTCCTCACCTGGGAAAAGAGGAGCCAGGACATAGTGAGTTGAGGCCCCAGGAAGATAACTGAATTCTCAGAGGGCACAACCAGCATCCTCCTTCCAGGGAGAGCCTAAAAGACTGGGGCCTCCCTCATCCCTTTTCACCTCTCCATACAGAGGCACCACCCACATGCAAATCTCACTTAGGCACCCAAGGGAAACCATCACACATTTCCTTAAATTCAGGGTCCTGCTCACATGGGAAATACTTTCTGAGAGTCCTGGACCTCCTGTGCAAGAACATGAAACACCTGTGGTTCTTCCTCCTGCTGGTGGCAGCTCCCAGATGTGAGTGTCTCAAGGCTGCAGACATGGAGATATGGGAGGTGCCTCTGAGCCCAGGGCTCACTGTGGGTCTCTCTGTTCACAGGGGTCCTGTCCCAGGTACAGCTGCAGGAGTCGGGCCCAGGACTGGTGAAGCCTTCGGACACCCTGTCCCTCACCTGCGCTGTCTCTGGTTACTCCATCAGCAGTAGTAACTGGTGGGGCTGGATCCGGCAGCCCCCAGGGAAGGGACTGGAGTGGATTGGGTACATCTATTATAGTGGGAGCACCTACTACAACCCGTCCCTCAAGAGTCGAGTCACCATGTCAGTAGACACGTCCAAGAACCAGTTCTCCCTGAAGCTGAGCTCTGTGACCGCCGTGGACACGGCCGTGTATTACTGTGCGAGAAACACAGTGAGGGGAGGTGAGTGTGAGCCCAGACACAAACCTCCCTGCAGGGAGGCGGAGGAGCCGGCGCAGGTGCTGCTCAGGACGAGCAGGGGGCGCGCGGGGCCCACAGAGCAGGAGGCCGGGTCAGGAGCAGGTGCAGGGAGGGCGGGGCTTCCTCATCAGCTCAGTGCTCTCCCTCCTCCCCAGCACCTCAGCTGTCCCCAGGACTCCTCTTTCTTTATTATCTGTGGTTCTACTTCCTCACATCCTTGCTGCAGGTTTTAACAGTCACTGGCACCCTTTTTTCAACAAATTCCCACAAGGCCCATTTTACCTTCTTGACAAGCAAAATATTCTAAGGCTTCTCACTATCCCTTGATTGGCGTCATCTACTGCATCGTGTCTTTCTCTTAAATTCATGTGATGAAACCCCAATCCCAGTGGCTCTGTATTGGACAGAGGGATTTTAAGAGGGCAAATAAGTTAACTGTGGCCATAAATGTGGGACCCTAATCCAGTAGGACTCTTGTCCTTATGAGAAGTGGAAGACATCAGAGGCCTCTCTCTCCACATGCACACAGAGGAGAGTCCATGTGGGGATGCGCTGCATGAGAAGGTGGCCCTTTGCAAGCCTGGAAGAGGCCTCTCAAAAAACTTACCCTTTCTGCACCCAGATCTTGGACGTCAAGACTCCAGAACAATAAGAAAATTAATATTTGTTATTTGAAATAGCCTAGTCTGTGGTATCTTCTCATGGAAAGCCAAGTAGATTCAGAGATTCAATTGTGTTAGCTCCGTCTCCTGCATGGAGTAGCAGCCCACCGAGGCTGGACACATCTCTCAAATTATTTTCATAAAGAAAAATAGATCCAAGATGAAAACCCCACCACATTTCTGCTGAGCCATTCACTTAGCAGCAGTCTCTGAGATCAGCCCTGGGGGTATGTTCTAGGTCGTGTATCTCACTTTCCACTATGAGAATCCATGTAGATAATGAGAACCAGCCAGATGGAGTCCTGATCCCTGCCCACCTTCTGCTTCCCCCCAAGTGACACACGGTCACAGAAAACCACTCCAGCATCACCCTGTGTCTTGTACTCTCTAAAATCCCACTAAAGCTGACCCTAAACTAGGAGCTATTTGGGGCTGGACTCATTCTGTTCTTAGTCTTCCATAAGGTCCAGGTGCCGAGTAGAGCCTCAGTAAAGAGTGAGCTTCAATTCCCCTAACCCACATCATTCCCTTACATCCTTGTCATGCACCTGTCCTCTGCAGGCACCCAGGGCAGGTTACACAGGAATTGCCTGAAGCTGGTCTCAGGTGCCCTGCTGAGACCACTGGTTATGCACACGTATGATTTCAGGTCATGCAGGCTCTTCTGCAGGACAGACCTGTGTCCTGTAGAGCACAGACACTTGGTGACCCAGGGCCTCCTCTAATAACTCATACATCTCATGTCAGTGTATATCCAGGTGGCCCCTCAGTGCAGCACACTAGGGTGATTACCCTCACAGGTGGCTTTTTCAGGCGGTGAACAGAAAATGGGGTGGGCACGCTGGTCATTCCCATCATCGGTGATATCCAAGTGAATTTTAAATAAATGAAACAAAACTAACAACAAAGGGGAAGGATATGTACCTGTATCTGGGAGGTAGACTGGGTCCCAGAACTGTACTGGGAGTGGGTGTGAAAGGCCCTTTTGTGTGGGAAGCCCTCCAGCATGAGTGAAAGCTGAAGGAATGATCACTGTAGGTGGAGGCTGATGGAGAAGCTGGCAGGGTACATTTCCTGAAGCTGTTCCCGGGTGCGTGATGGTTCAATGGCCCATGTACATGAAGAGGAGGGCTGGACTCATGTAGGATCAAGGAAACTACCCCATGGCAATGGAAGAAAAGAAAATGGAGATGGACACCCCTGGAGGCAGCTTATTAGCTTTGGTGGAGGAACGATGGGAATTTATTCCAATGACCCCAGCATTTTCAGCTAAATATGAGTTGCATTAACAGACAGAATTATGAAGGGAAGGGAGAAGGAGTTTATAGAGGGAAAAAGCAGAACAGAAAAAAAGAACTATGCAAGTCTATCAAATGGCAGATGACAGAGTGGAGCTGATGCAGCTACTTCATTCTTCCCGGAACCTACCAGAGACCTTGGCATTCCTGTAAGGCAGGTCTAGTGGTGATGCACTTGTCCACTTTTTGCTTTTTGGAGAAACGTTTGAAACATCCTACATTACTGAAGAAAAGCTTTAATTAGTGTAATATTTTTACTTGACAGTTTTATTGGTTTTGTTTTATTTTCAGCAACTTGAATAGAATCATGCACATCATGATATTTGGGTGAACAACAGGCCACATACACGATAATGATCTCATTAAATTATAATACTGTATTTTCACTGCATTTCTTCCATACTTAGATATGTTCATATATATACATACCTACCATGGTGATTCAACTGCCCACAGTATTCACTACACTTACATGATGTACAGATTTGTTATCTAGGAGCACTATGCTATCCCACACAGCCTGGGTGTAGCAGGGTATTTCACGTAGGTTCACGTAAACACACTCTATGATCCTCGCATGATGACAAATTGCCTAAGGACACATTGCTCAGATGTATCCCTACTGTTAAGCTACACATCATTGTATCTCATCTCTCTCCATTTTTGGTCTCTGATAAAATTCTCGTGTTGTTTTTGCATTCTTCTCTGAGCTCATTGAACACATTTATAAGGTTTCCTTTGAATTTTCTGCCAGGTAATCAATATACCTCCTTTTAATTTGTGTCAGTTTCTAGTGCTTTGCTTTGTTACAGAATTTGGACTGCTTTTTTTCTCTTTCATTATTATTATCACTTTGTACATTCTCTGTTGCTTTCTGCTCATTAGAAGGAAAAGCCATGGTAACCACTCTTCACAGAATATGCTCAGGGCAAATGCCATCACCTGTTAGCCCAGTCCATGATAGTGGTGTCTCTTAAAATTTCATACTGGTCCAAACTTTTTGTTGTTGTTGTTAGTGGCACTCAGACCTATAGAGGATTTTAAGTTTTCCCCTACTCTAAATTAGGTGGCATCAAAATTCATCCTGCAGGCAGTCTCTGATAAAGTGGAGAAATTGGACAAAGTTTTAGCATGTATATGGTTCATAAAAATAATATGAGTTTAAGGTTTTCTCAGCCAGTTGCTACATATTGATATTTTATAATCATTTCTTTGAATGTCTCTGGAGTTTATCTTTTGAAAATTTAGATCAGAATATATACCAGGTTTGAGGCTTCTTGTCTGGCTTAACGATCTCCTATAGGTCAGCGTGTGAAAAGGCACAGAGTCTATCTGAAGAGGAGAACTCAGGGAAGCCCCAAAACAACAGAGGAGACAAAACTGAGGACTTTGAGGAATCTAAAGCTTCTGGGACCTGCAGCCTCCAGACATGCTCAGCACCCTCTTGTTATCCACGGACTAATTTCTTTCTCTTTTCTGAGTGGTATTTTCTAGGGTTCCCGTCCTCCACTTTGACACTTTGGTATGTCCATGTGTGTCCATTGTGTTTCAGCCAGGGACACAGAACCAGGAAAACATCATGGCTTTTCTAGAGGGAGCTGACCTGGGTAATCAACAGTTGGAGTAGAAAGTGCCTTTGTCCATGTGTCACAGGCCTAAGGGCCATGGGCAGGAGGTCAGGAAGAGAGGATGACCAGACGGCTGGGGAAACCAGGATGAACAAAGCCACTCTCCTTCCTGGTGAGAAGGGGCATGTGGAAGCCTGGTGTCCCTGTAGGGCTGAACCACACTCACCTGCCCACTGCTACCTGCCAACGAGGTGACCCACAGAGCAGCAGCAGCTCCTGAGTCACTCACAGAGGCTGCCTCCTCCTCCAAACCCTCCAGTGTATGTGCTTCCATAAGTGTGAGCCCCAGCAGATCCCAAAGTTTTCAATGGGTTCATCTAGCTAGTGTCTGTCCTCAGCCCCATCCCCAGGCTCCTGCCCTGGTTGGTGTCCACAGTGTCCCAGCAGCGGTGACAGTGACAGCCAGGGCCTGCACTTTCCAGAGCAGCAAGTTTGGAAGAATCAAGTCCCAGAACCAGCCTGGATTTGGGGCAAACACACAAATTTCACTCTGAGGGGAAGTGCTGGAAAGTAGCCTTGAGTCTTCCTCAGCTCACCTGTGGCTGATCCTCTGCATCCCATCAGCGATACATGAGCCCTCCCCAACCCCAGCGTGGAGCTGTTTCAATCGCAGCAGGATGGGAATGTGTCTTCTTTCTGGGGACTTTTTAAGCACAGCTCTTATGTTCCTGAGATTTGAGGTTTATAAAGGTGTGTCAGTCACCCACAGAGTGGACCTGCACAAGTAAGACAAGGACAGGATCCCCAGGAGAGGCACCTCATATGAGACGGGACAGGCAGGTCCCATCACAGACACTGGTCCTCAGAAACCCTGACCAGCTACTCACCTTCCCAGGTCACCTGTGTCTGATCAGTTCCTGTGTTTGCTCCTGAAAAGATCCCCATCAAGGGTCCCCAGGTCCTGCCCCCTTCCTTGATGTGCCTCTGGGAGTGGGGCTGGCTGGGCTGTGGGTCTGCTGTGACTTTCCCCACAGGTCAGCGGCTCAGTGCAGGCTGCGCCAACTCGGTGGGGCTGGGCTGTGGCCGACCCTCCCAGGGGGAGCCTGGATGCTTCTCGGGGGCATCTGCAGGATCCCAGGTTCTGGGAGAACAGGGAAGCCACAGTGTGTGCAGGGCCCCATCTCCAGGTGTAAAGTGTTTGCTGTCACTCTGTTGACAAGGGCATATCCCCAGGCCTAGGGGCACTGTGGGTGCACAACCAATGTGGTAGACACAGAGAGTAAGGCACATTTCCCTCCCATTACTGTGGGGAATCTAGGCACTGTGTGTGTGTGTGTGTGTGTGTGTGTGTGTGTGTGTGTGTATTAGGAGTTTTGCAGTGGGCTCTGAGCCCCGTGATTTTGTAGGTTTAGAAATTATCTGATGAGATGTTCATCCACAGGAACCGACAAGAGATTAGGTGTTCTCCCAAAGCCCCTGGGAGCTCCTGGACTCATTGTGAGTGTGGACTGATCCATTGCTTCCGGAGCTCCACAGAAGGGGCTCCCTGGTGGTTTCATAGAATCCTTGCTTGGGGTCTTTCTGCAGAGTTCACTGGCTTTCCTACGGCCAGTTTAGTATTGTAAGAGATGGTGTCAGCAGCACATGGTATCACATGTCACTAAATGAGCATTCTGAGCCAGGACACAGCATCTTCATACTGGGGGGAGGGAAATGCTTTGGGAGCCCAGACAGGAGCCTCTCTGCAGTGCAAGGGCTGGGCTGCAGGGGGCGCTCAAGGCCCACCCATCACAGGCTCCACCCCCAGAGCAGGTGCACCGGAGGCTGGGGAGGGATTCCTCTCAAGATCTGTGTCATTCTTCTAAAAAAAATCTAAAATGAGTATTTGACAAAGACTGCTGAACATTCTATAAATATCCTATTCAATTGTGAGCATTTATCAAATTTGATGTTGTAATGAGAACCACTTTTATACTAGATATTTCTAACCCTGCTAGATATCTTAATAGTATGCAGCTGGAGGTTAAGCAAGCTTTTCTTTTATATAAATAAGTGCAACTTTGGAGAAACACACTCATCCCCCGAATAAGACATTCATGTATTAAAGCCTAGAAATACTTTAAATTACCTCTGAGCCATTCAAGTGTGTGTTCACAGTGAAGTCCTGTTCTAGGGAAAATTGTTCTCCAGGGGGAGAAGCTTTGTCAACATAGAGCTTAGGGATGTATCAGGAGGCACATGACCTCTAAGGGGATTATAGCTTGAACCCTTAGCATCCTCCTGTTGGTAATACATGTGTCACTCTCCAATCTTTCTCATGCAGTATCAGGTATGAAATAGGATCGCTCATGAATATGCAAATAACTGAGGTAAATATAGATATCTTTGTGCCTTGAGAGCATCATCCAACAACCACAACTCTCCTCAGAAGAAGCCCCTAGACCACAGCACCTCAACATGTACTGGACCTGGAGGATCCTCTTCTTGGTGGCAGCAGCAACAGGTAAGGGACCTCCCAGTCACCGGGCTGAGAGAGAAACCAGGCCAGTCAAGTGAGACTTCACGCACTCCTGTCTCCTCTCCACAGGTGTCCACTCACAGGTGCAGCTGGTGCAGTCTGGGCCTGAGGTGAAGAAGCCTGGAGCCTCATTGAAGGTTTCCTGCAAGGCTTCTGGATACACCTTCACAAGCTATGCTATCAGCTGGGTATGACAGGCCCATGGACAAGGGCTTGAGGAAATGGGATGGATCAACACCAACACTGGGAACCTAACGTATGCCCAGGGCTTCACAGGACGGTTTGTCTTCTCCATGGACACCTCCGTCAGCATGGCATATCTTCATATCAGCAGCCTAAAGGCTGAGGACACGTGCAAGAGGCACAGTGTGGAAACCCACATCCTGAGAGAACCAGAAATCCTGAGGGAGGAGGCAGCTGTGCTGAGCTGAGGCAGTGACAGGGACAACGTGGCTGCACCCTTTGTTGACATAGGGTTATACACATACATATATATGCACCCAACACTGGAGCACCCAGGTATATCAAGCAAATACAATTAGAGATAAACAGAGAGATAGACCCAATACCATAATAGCTGGAGACTTTAACACCCCACTTTCAGCATTGGACAGATCTTCCAGACAGAAAATTAACAATGAAATCTTAGACTAAATCTGCATGACAGACCAAGTGGACATAATGGATATTGATGGAACACTTCATCCAATGGCTGCAGAGTACACAATCTTTTCCTAAGCATATGGATCATTCTCAGGGATAGACCACATAGTAGACCAGAAAATTTGTCATTTTTAATTAAAAAGATATCATGTACCTTCTCTGATAGTAATGAAAGAAAACTAAAATAATAAGAGGAATTTTGAAAACACATGGAAATTAAACAGTATCCTCCTTAATTAAACAATGTGCTTCCAAACTGAACTATATGCTCTAAAATGGGTTAATAAAGAAACAAACAAGAAAATTTTACAATTTATTGAAAGAAATGATAATGAAAACACAGCATATGAACACCTATGAAATACAGTGAACATAGTACTAAGAGGAAAGTTCACAGCTATAAGCACCTATGTTAAAAAAGTAGACAATTATAACATAAACATCTTAGGAATATCTCTCAAAAAAAACTAGAAAAGCAAGAGCAAATCAAATCCAAACATAGTAAAATAAAAAAGTTAAGATCAGAACGTTAATAAATAAAATTGAAATAAATAAAACAATACCAAAGATCGATCAAATGAAAAGTTGTTTTTTAAAAAGATAAAAGACATCTATAAACCTTTAACCAGACCAAGAAAAAAAACAAAGAAGACCAAAGTAAATAAAATCAGAAAGAAAACTGGAAATATTACAACCAATAGTGCAGAAAATCAAAGGATCATTAGAGGCTACTAGGAGCAACTAAATGCCAATAAATCGAAATATCTGGAAGAAAAGGATAAATTTAGAGACACATACAACCTACCAAGATTGAGCCAGGAAGAAATTGAACAGATCAGTAACAAGTAGTGAGAGTGAAGCCATAATAAAAGGTCTCCCAGCAAAGAAAAAACCCGGGACTTGATGACTTCATCACTCAATTATGACAAACATTTAAAGAAGAGATAATACCTAATCTCACTCAAAATATTCCAAAAATAGATAAAAAGTAGATAAGGAAGGGAAGAATTCTTCCAAACTTACTGTACAAGGCCAATGTTACCCTTATATGAAAACCAGATAAAGCCATACCAAAAAAAAAAGAAAACTACAGTTCAATATCACTAATGAATATGGATGCAAAACTCCTCAAGGAATTCTTAGCAAACCAAATTCAATAACATATCAAAAGAGCATTCATCATGACCAAGTGTGGCTTATCCCAGAGATGCAAGGATGGTTCAACCTATGCAAATCAATCAATGTGACACATCGTATCAACAGAATGAAGGGCAGAAGACGTAAGATCAGGCCTTACCTTGTTCTCCTCACTCAAAGTCTACCATTAGTTCTTTGGTCCTCTTGACCAGTCCTGCTGTACTTGGTCTCCCGTGATTCTGTTCCCAGGTCCTGAAACACTGGGCTTCTGCACACCTGGAGTCTCTCTCTTTGAACATGGAGACCCTGTATCCTCAGAGAGGGATGATGCCTCATTGTGGCTCCCATGCCCCATGCAAACAATTCTTCCAACACAGTCATGATTTTTCCTGTTGGAAATTGAAAGGGGATGTGGGAATTGATGTGTGTGTGTGTGTGTGTGTGTCCTCAGGCCTGTTGGGCCTGTTGAGAACACAGCAGGGCTCTATGTACAACAGGAAAGCAATGTTTTCTCTATACCATCTATTTTCTTATAAAGTGTTCATAGGTAATCAAAAGGAAATGAATCACAGTTTATAAGATGTTGTGGACTGGACTGATGTTGTCACTCAAGGCTACTATGGGGGCTCCAGGAAAAGAAACCTAGAAAAGGATAAGACTGTGAGCAAAGAAGCAAAACCTGGGAAGCAGCAGGGAGAGGGTGAGCAGGGGTGACTCAACTGGGGAGGGATAACACCACTTACCACAGAGGGTGAAAACTCCGTGCTCAGCAAAGAGGAGAACTTACTCAGCATTTCCCCTAATCCTCCCTCCAGAAGCGCGACTGCCAGGAAAGTTCACAATGTATCATCTCCAGCTGGGAACCCAAAAGAAACAGGAGATTTTAGGGCGTAGGTCCTGGGCACAAGGTGTTTCCCTGGTTCCTACCCCTTCCCTCTCTGTCCAGCAAAACTGCTTGTTTCTATCACTTGCCTTCCTGTCCTTGGGGTAAGAATGGATGCTTTGACACTCAGCAGAGGGATGCTCTTTCAGAGGAGGAATGAGTTTGTGTTATCTGATGTCTGAGCAGGACACTCACCTCTGGGAAGAGGCTCCAAGACAGAAGGTCGCCGTGGTTCCTGCCCCTTATATGTGAGGGGCTCTTGACACATGCACACTTTTCCTCAAACTCTGTTTATACCCCAGCAACAATGCTGGGTGTTGTCAGCCTCTCTCCTCCCCAGATACTGCTCTATCATCAGCTTGAGCACAGTTTCCCCATGAAAGGCATTATTCTCTCTCTCAAGAAGATCAACTTTTTACATGTCTTCGATGGATGACAGTTTTTCTGTGTGAGAATCTAGAAATAAGAAATGGGGTAATGGGGACAAGTGAGCTCTCTGTGTGACTCACTAGGAAGTCCACTGTTATTCCAGGTGTCCTGTCCCAGGTGCAGCTGCAGGAGTCAGGTCCAGGACCCATGAGGCCCTCAGACACTGCCCTCTGCCTGTGCTGTGTCTGGATTCTTTTTTTTACCATGGATATTATTTGAGATGAATCCACCATCCCGTGGGCAACAGGCTGGAATGGCTGGGGCACAGTTACTAGACTGGATCATCAAGGAATACACATCATGCACCCTCCACCCAGGTCCATGTCCCCATCAACAGTGACTCAACCAAGAGCCAGTTCTCTGTGAAGCTCAGCTCCATGACCACCTAGGACACGGCTGAGTATTACTGTGAAAGACTCAGTGAGGAGGTGTCCTTATGAGCCCTGACACAAACCTGTCAGGGCACTTAGGACCTCCAGGAAGACTCAAGACCACCAAGGGGACTCACGACCACTGGGGAAGGGCAGGTTGCAGTAAGCACAGGGCCAGCCCCAGAGCAGGTGCAGGTGGAGATGAGAGGCTGGTTTACTGCCAGGGTCTGGGGCTGCTTCTCCATTTAGATGTTTCCTTCAGAGACCCTCCCTTATTTCATGATGCTCTGCTTAGCTGTAAGTCTCTGAAATATCACAGTTTTGTTGTACCAGGAGGAAACCTTCTCTCAGGTGCTAAATGTAGAACAATCTCTCTGCCAGTGGTTGCCAGGGTCACAGCCCTGTGGAAGCTGAAGGGTACCCAGTGAGTCTTCTCCAGTCACATTCAGGACAGGAACCTTAGTGGGGTTCCCTGAGGAGAACAGTCTTTAGGAATTCTAACCTCAGCCAAGAGAGGCTGGGCCAGGGTCAGTGTCAGGTAGAACCTCACAGGATTTACGTCTGACCCTTCTCCTGACACTAAAGCATGCAAATCAGTATCAGCACTGATCTGGGGCCCCTTTTGCTCCTAGCCCATTCTATTTCTTGTTAGTTGTATTTGTTGTTGATTTTCCTTTTGCTGTTCCTGATCCCTGTAAAGTGGAGATGTGGTTCCTGCTGTAAAAATTCCAGGGCTCAAGCCCTTTCCCTGCAGCTCAGGTGGGGCTCAGACTGTGGCTCCTGCAACCACGTGGGAGAGGCTGATGGGACTATCTTCTCTCCCGTTGCTCAGAACCCTCCAGTGTGTTGTGTGGAGACTCACCTGGGAATGCAAGTGGCCAATAGTTGTGAAAGGTATGAGCTTGTTTGGTCAAAGTGGAATGTGGATGTGGAATTTATCCTGTGTTGTGCAAACTAACACAGGTTCACCTTCCTCACCTGTAGTGTTAGAAAGAGTGTGAAAGTTGTAAGAATCAAAACAGAGCCACTTGTGTTAACACCCTGACAAATGGACCTAGGAATGAACATGAAGGAGGGTTCTTAGGCCCATATTCCTGATAACAAAAACTATCATAAATAGACTCTGCTTAGCCACCATCTTGGATAGAAGCCCACCACAACCTTATTAAAAATTACACTTGCAAGAACATCAGCTCAGAAACTGGCTGTTCAACCTTACACTGATGCCACCATTGCTATTGATTCTACAACTATATGATAATTATCTCAAAACAACTTTTGTAACCCACCTCATTTTCACTTCATAAACCTGTGGATTGACATGTTGGAGTTACTGCTGCATTTGTAGATAATGATAAATAATAAGGCCTTTTAACAATGTTTGAAGCTGCTATTCTCTGATGTCTCTTCCAAAATAAAGAATTTCCAAGTGGATGACAATGAAAAAATTGTTAGAAATATTTGGTGGTAAGGCATCTTTAACATCCTGTTGAATGTTTCTGCATAGCACATCAATCCCTTAAAATACTTTGCTATATCTGCATTTAATGAATGAGTCTAATATTGAGGTGCAATTGAAAATACCTGGGCCTTTGATGAATCAGCTCATAGGGTGATAATGTCTGGGTCCTTGAGAAAGCAGACCCTGTGTTGTAAGTTTTAGTAGAAGTACCTTTTGCAAAGAAAGTTCATGTGTTTCTGAACATTATGCTACTTTTAACTTAAGAATGCAATATATGATTTATTTTTACTTCAAACTGGGTATATACCCAGTAATGGGATCGCTGGGTCAAATGGTATTTCTAGTTGTAGCTCCTTGAGGAATCACCACAATGTCTTCCACAATGGTTGAACTAATTTTCACTCCCACCAACAGTATAAAAATGTTCCTATTTCTCCACATCCTCTCTAGCAGCTGTTGTTTCCTGACTTGTTAATGATCACCATTCTAACTGGAATGAGATGGTATCTCATCGTGGTTTTGATTTGCATTTCTCTAATGACTAGTGATGCTGAACATTTTTTCATTTGTCTGTTGGCTGCATAAATATCTTGTTTTGAGAAGTGTCTGTTCATATCCTTTGCCCACTTTCTGATGGGGCTGTTTGTTTTTTCCTTGTAAATTTGTTTAAGTTCTTTGTAGATTCTGGATATTAGCCCTTTGTCAGATGGGTAGAATGCAAAAATTTTCTCCGATTCTGTAGGTTGACTGTTCACTCTGCTGATAGTTTCTTTTGCTGTGCAGAAGCTCCTTAGTTTACTTAGATCCCATTTGTCTATTTTAGATTTTGTTGTGATTCATACTTGGTTAATTTTTAATTGCATTGTTTTCTTCTGATTAGTTGTAAGTATACCTGCATATTGATCAAAAAAGCCGTTTAACAAATCAAAAGGAAACATTTAACAAATACGTGACTTGGAAGTATTTTCTCCAAGTCTGTTGTTGTCTTTTACTCCCTTGTCAGTGTGTATTGCAGAAAAATATGTATGTGTGTGTGTGTGTGTTTACAAATTAAAGAAACAGGTATAATTTCATTTATCCATAGATCACGTCTTTGGCATTACATCTGAAATCTCATCATAAAATATACTAATAGTGATTTTTTTTTCCATGTCTCTAATCTCAGGCCACAATCTACTCATGAGTGTTTAAACATCACCTACTTGATTAGAGGACTATCACCCTAAGATATTTGGAATATTTCTGGAAGGAGATGTGTTCTTTTTCCCATTATTTCTCTATTTAGTCATTTATTAATATCCGCATTGGTTTATGAATGTCTATTTCATACTCTGAAGTAAATCCATGCTATATTATTCATTTTATTGTTCAAATCACCACAGCTTTATTATGTGCTTGGAACTCATTTAGTTTGGATGCTGCATCCTTACAGCACACCTCATCATTTTGTTTTTGAACACTTTCCTGTTTCCTGGTATTACAATACATTCTAAGCCCATTTTCTATATTAACTTTTTCATACATAGAATCAGACATTTTTCTAAAGATTGCTTCTTTCTGATGTTAAAATATAGTATTAAAATAAAATTTGTGATACTGGGTATATGTGTTGTTAATGTGGTATAAGTACTTTTAGGACCTCTCAACCAACTGGCCTAGTAAATGTGCATGTTTATATGAACTCATGTTTAAGGACACATTGAAACTATTTATGTATCTTATATTCTGTAACTTTATTACATTAAAAATGAGAATACACTGGTCTCCTCACCCAACTATGTTACCACCATATCGACCTTTCTAGGCTTCCTTGACTGTCCATAATCACCCACTGCAAAGTGAGGAACCCCATCCCATCATATGCCATTGTATTACTTAGCTGCACAATTTCAGGACACATGCATTGCAGCATCAGAAATGTAAAGCTGTACCCTTCTTGGAACCATTTTTATCTACTAGAATAGAGTGCTTATGTGCAGTTTCTTTACACTTTAAACTTATAGAATTTCCTCATTTTCAAAGTTCCTTAGATCAGCAACTTCGTTTTCCACTTTCTTCATGAAGTCATTTCAATTACACTGTATAATTTCTTTATTTGAATTCTGTAAAAGCCAAAACTACAGTCAAGTAAACATAGAGAGGATATTCCAGGAATTTACAGAGTGGGTATCAAATAAGTTAAAAAGGCAATGTTTAAGAAGAGTAAAACTATTTTTAGTGATATGCAATGGTTGAGACATGACACAATTAATTTGTCTAAGCTCATAATTTTGTGATGAAAAATATAAACCTAAATATATACAATTTAAAATGATGTTTAGCAGTACATTATCCCTAGGATCAAATGCAGACTGTATAAAATTATCTAATAACTTATTTGGTGAGGATGCCATGAGACACATGCAACAAAGAATGAACTAATTTTCCTTATTTGCATATAAGATGTTGACATTCACTAAAGATCTTTAATTTAAAAAAAAATCAATTTTCTATGTGACCCAGGTTTTTTCTTCCAGACAAGCAAATAACCCACAGGATTATTTTCTTTCCTTGATTGAGAAAGATTTTCCCCAAACTTCAGCTCAGTTCAGGCATATACTGTCCCTAAATGGGCATTTACCCTCAGATGAGTCCACACACCTGTCAACACGTGGAGTCTTCTGTCAGACAAACACACCTTTACTGATGTGGATTCTTCCCTCAGACAAAAACACATGTCCCCACATGGACACTTTCCTCAGACTACCATGTATGTCCTTACATTTACGCTTTCCTCAGAAAACAGACTTTTCCTCATGTGGACTCTTGTCTCAGACAAGCAAATATGTCTCCATGTGAACTCTTCACTCAGATAAGTACACATATGTCCACATTTACTGTTTCCTTACACAGGCACATATATTCAATGTTGAATTGTTTTGTGGCAAAATGATCTCAAGATAATGGTAATTATAAATCCCCTCCCTAATAAAGTGTAGATCTGTATTTTTTTTGTTGTAACCTAACTTTGCCTTATTGTCAAAAACAGTAATTTGCAGCTCTAAATGCACCAGTTAGAGACAGGTGTCCATTTTCTCTGGAAATGTATTTTTATTTTCTTACTGGACATATTTGTTGATAATGTTGCTACTATGAAGATACCTGAACAGTATCCACATTAAAGAATAAAAAAGAGTAATGGGCAGAATAACCCTGTGCATCCAGACCCAGAAATCCTTTGACCCTGCCCTCCCGAAATGTAGACACAGAGGATGGATGAGCAGTGCTGAGCAGTGTACCCATGACCACAAACATGAAGACATGGAAATGTGTCCCCACTCCTCCTCATGAAAGGCAGCTCATGCCCTCTTCCTTCAGGCCCTGGTATGGAGCCACCCCATGTCTCTGCCCTTCCTTAGTGTCCACACCATGGGGTCTGCACTGATCTGGATTCCCTTCTCATCCCCCTCAATATTAGTGTGCCTTGTGAATCAGGTCCAGCTGTGGCTGTTCTCAGTCTGTTTCCTCTGTATTCACAGAAGTCCTGTGTGATGTTTACTGATGGAGTCAGAAGGAGAAAAATTTAACAGCCCAGCAGTTCACTGAGACTGTCCTGCAAAGCCTCTGGTTTCGGGTTTACTGGGTGCAGCATGAGCTTGGTCCAGCACACTTCACAACAGGAATTGGTGTGGGTAGCAACAGTGAGAGATCATATGGGAGTTCTAAGGGTTACTCTCCATGAGTACAGATAAATCAACATTCCCAAGTGACACCCTTTCAAGTGCAGTCTACCTTACAAGGACCAACCTGAAAGCCAAGGGCAAGGCCGTATATTACAGTGAGGGACACAGGGGAGGGAAGATCTGTCTGAGCCCAGACACAAAAATCTCTGCAGAGAGACAGGAGGGAACTGCGTGGTAGATGCTGCTCAGAACCACCATGGGGTGGCCAGGAAACAAGGGGTGCTTAGGACCTCTAGGGAGCGCTCAGGACGCCAGGGGGGTGCTCAGAACCACTAGGGGACGCTCAGGACACTAGGTGGCGCTCAAGACAACACTACTGCACTCATGTCACCACGGGGTACTCAGAACCACCAGGGGGCGCTCAGAACCACCAGGGGGCGCTCAGAACCACCAGGTGGCGCTCAGCACCACCAGGGGGCGCTCAGGACACCAGGGGGCGCTCAGAAACACTCGGGGACGCTCAGGACAAGAGGGGGTACTCAGAACCAACAGGGGGCGCTCAGGACCACCAATGGGTGCTCAGAACCACAAGGGGGCGCTCAGGACATAGGTGGTGCTAAAGACAACAATTCTGGGCTCAGGTCACCAGGGGGCGCTCAGAACCACCAGGGGACGCTCAGGACATGCAGGTTCTCTTAGGAGGCAGCTGCACATCAGGAGCTTCAGAGGCTGTGATTTCCTTTCAGACCCTGGAAATTCCTGACCTGGTCAAGCAAAAGTCTTCCCCAGGATGTCTGATTTTTCCTTTTAATTCCATGATTTCTTTTACCTACAAAACACTAACTTAGAACAGGGATGTAATGCAACTTTTATTGCTGCGTATTTTCTGAGTAATACTAGCAATGATCTCTCGGGACAATTATTAAAATAGGTTATTTATATATTTTAATTATTAAAAATAATACTATTATTAAAATAGTAAAATTTTTTAAATCACACTTGTAATCCCAGCACTTGGGGAGACTGAGGCAGACAGATTACTTGAGCTCAGGAGTTTTAGAACAGCCTGGCAACATGGTGAGATGCTTTCTATACATAAAAGAAGAAATAGCTGAGATTGGTGCAACCAGCTACTTAAAAGGCTGAGGAGGGAGGATTCCTTAAGCCTGGGAGGTTGAGGCTGCAGTGAGCTATGATTGTGCCTCCACACACCAGCCTTGGTGACAGAGTGAGACCCTGTCTTAGAAAAAAAAATGCATATCCTCAATACAGACTATTTCCATGAATAGAGTTTTGTGTTTTTGTGCTGTAATAGTCAAACAATTGTATATGTTTTCTAACTTTAACTCAGCATATGCATGGTGTTTTGTTTCTTTTTCTTTCATCTGCTGTTTGTGGAAAATAAACAGCACTTTAAAGGCTCTGTTTCTCCACTTTGTTTGGCTTCCAGTGTCCTGTTTTTCAGACTGTTTCTCCACCTTCCCTTCTTCTTTGAAAGCCATTTATCTTCCTCAGTCTCCATGCAGAAAAAGAAAGTCCCTTTACTTTCTGTCTTCCAAGTCTGGTGAATCAGTTCCCTTCTTTTCATAATCACTGAAGCCAACCAAGTTTAGAAGTATAACAGTTCTCCTTAGAATACGCTCATCTACCTGCACTCTCTGCCCTCCTCATCCTTTTCTAGGTCCCTCCAGACATCACCCTCATCCCATACCCTCCCTTCCTTAAGTACCACAGAGTGGGCTCTTCACCTCCTGCTGCCCTCTATGTGCTCAGCCCTGGGGCTCACTAGTCCTTTGATTATGAAGTCCAAATCCCTATGTGCTTGCACACTCTCACGCCACCCTCTAGGAAGCTGCCATTGTGAGAGAGTCCTGAAAAGCATGGGCTGGGTTTAGTTTCATAATGCATACTATGGTCAATTAGTTATTCTATTTGAACATTCTATTTAATTAATAGATAGAGTTAATTAAATAGAGTTATTCTATTTAATTCTATTAAACTATTAATAAATTAGTTATTCAATTTATTAATAACAGGCCAATATTTAAAATAAATACCATTGCACGTTTAAGTGACATATTTGACAATAATTGCATTTACATACAGTTTTACCAAAACATGTATCGAAGTGTATTTGTTTTTTTAAATATTGGAATAGGCAGACATACACATAGGAAAACATTATTTTGTACTACAATCTCAAACTGCAAACACAATTTAAATGCCATTAAATAATTAGAATAATATGAAACAAATGGGCATGGTGTTTTGGTGTTTAAATATACATTCATTTCACCTGATCATACTTATGTGTCTTTGCTGGGCTGCTGTGCATGTATGTGTATTTGTATGACCATGAAGCTTTCAGATACATCATTAAATTACATAAAGTGTTACCATGCACTTCCCTCTTTTAGGGGACAAAGTAAATCTTTCAGGGCAATCGCAGGGAAAATGTGTGGTTGGATCTTCCACACAGAGTCCCTACCATGACATTGCCAAGTAGAGCTATGGAAGGGGGCTACCAACCTCCAGACCCCAGAATGGTAGATCCACAGGCAGCTTGCAGCTCGAGTCTGGAAAAGCCACAGGCACCCAGCTCCAACCCATGAGAGCAGCCTTATGGGCTGCATTAGGGAAGTCACAAAGGTAGGGCTGCCCAAGGCCTTGGGCACCCACCCTTGCACCAGGTCACAAGACATGGAGTCAATGATTATTTTAGAGCCTTAAGATTGAAGGACTGTCCGACTAGGTTTTGGCCTTCCATAAAAATCTTTACCCAATTTTTGGGCCATTTTCTCTTTTTAGCATAGGACTCCTCACCCAATTTCTGACCCATCATTGTACTTTGGATGTAAATAACTTATTTTTGATTTTTCAGTCTCATAGGTGAAAGGAACTTTTCCTTGAGTCTGAACTTTGGATTTTGAATTAATGCCAAAACAAGTTCAGATTGTCAGGGACCACTGGGGAGGGATTATTGTATATTGCAATGTAAGAAAGACATAAGGGGCAGAATGATGTGGTCTGGATGTGTGTTTTCTCCAAATCTTATGTTGAACTGTGAACCCCAGTGTTGGAGGTGAAGTCTGCTGGGAGGCATGGCATTAGGGGCATATCCCTCATGAGTTACTTCGTGTCATCCCCTTGGTGATGAATGAGTTATCAGTTCACATGACAGCTGATTGAAAGAGCCTGGTACCACTCCCTTCTCTTATCTTCCCCCCTATTGTCATGTGACACTCTTGCTCCCCTTCATCTTCTGCCTTGACTGTAAGCTTTCTGAGGCACTCAGCAGAAACAGATGTCAGCACCACACTTGCTGTACAGCCTGCACAACTGTGAGCCATATAAAACCTATGTCCTTTATAAATTATCCAGCCTCAGGTATTTCTTTACAATTCAATAATGGACGAACAGAAGAAGTATTTAATTGTGCAGCAAATTAGGGGTGTGGAATCATTAAAATGGACTTAACGCCTGTAGAGGTAAAGACACAAGAGTCTCTCTCTCTCTCTCTCTCTCTCTCTCTCTCCTTGAACCCTTCTCTGTCTTTACATACACACACACACACACACACACACACACACACGCTCCACGTGAAGATGTCATGTGACCAAATAGCAATATGGTGGCTGCTATGAGCCAACAGTAGAAGCCTCAAAATAAAACCTATCTTGCCAGCATGTTTATCTTTGAATTTCCAGAATTGAGGAACTGAGATAAAATTAAGGTTGTGTAAGTTACCAAGTATGATTGTTTTTAATGTTTGAACTGACTAAAGAGAATTTGGGATGAAGAAGTGGGGTTCTGATGTTACAATTATTTCAACACTGTGGAAAGTGCCTTGGAATTGGGTTATGTGTAAAAGGCTGGATAGTTTTGACATGCATAAAGAAATTTATATATTAAGTGTCATTCTGATAGATTAAAATGAGTAGAGTGCTATTGGAAACTGGATAAATGGTGATCTTTGTTATAAAGTGACAAAAAAAACTTGTCTAGACTATGTTGTGATATTTAGTAAAAGAGAACTTTGAGCAGCAAAATTGAATATTTAGCTGAGAACACTTCTAAGTAAAATGTTGAAAGTGTAGTTTGGTTTCTCCTGGGCATTTATAATAAGAAATAGATGAATTGAAAATGAAATTATAAGGGAGAAAATATCCAAAACTTAAAGGCTTGGAAAATTCTCAATCTATCTGTGTTGCAAAAATCAGAAAGTGTGTTCTGAAGAGAACAGTGAGTATGAGGCTGTAATATCACTTGATAAAGAATTTATGGTATTAAAAGAGAATAAATGCAGGTTTTAAAGAACAAGGATGGAGATGAGACAAAATGGACGAATACTGTCAGATTCTTCAGATTTAAGAGGATGGAGCTACTTGGTTGCAAATGTGCACCATTCTTCCAGAACAAAGAAAAATAAACCTTGAATTTATTTAGAAGTAATCATGACCACTACCTTGGTTTCAACAGACCAGACCATCCATGCTTAAAACCTTGAGGAAAAGACCTCCTACCACTGCCTGGAACTTAGGAACTCCCAGTGAGCCTTGTGTGTAGGGCTGCATGGGGTCTTTGGGATGGGACCTTAACCCAGCAGTTACCCATTGGTGCCTCTACTTAAAGCATTGGAATTAATTCTGCTGCTGCAATGAGCTGGGAAAGAAGAAGCTTGGCCCAGAGAAGATTCCACTTGAGCCTTAAGGTCTATGGTAATTTGTTTTGTTATGTGTTGTACTTGCTGGGGACACATCACCCCTCCTTTCTTTTCTATTTTTCTCTTTGGGGGAGAAAATGTCTATTTTATGCCTAACTCACCACTGTATTTTGAAATCAAATAACTTGTCCAGCGCTATGGACTGAATGTGTATGCAACTCCAAAATTAATATTGTGGAACCCTAATCCCCAGTGTGGTGTAATTGGGGTGTGGGCCATTTAAGGGGTGATCAGGTGAAAAGGTTGAAGCCGTCATAAATGAGATTAGTGCTCTAATAAAAAGTCACGGGAGAGCTTTTCTCTCTTGCTTCCCTGTCATGAGATGATACGATAAAATTACGGCCATCTGCAATTCAGGAAGGAAACCTTTACATACACATGATTGGCTGTCTTGGGCTTCCCAGCATTCGGCACTGCACAGAATAAATATGTCTTGTTAAAGTCATGCACTTTATGACACTTTGTTAAAGCAGCCCCAATAAAATAAGATATCTGGTTTTACTGGCTCAGAGTTGGAGAGAAATTTGTTTCAGAAATAATTCTACCTCAAATCTTACTCATGTATGGTTTAGTTAATATTTAAATTATGTTTTAAACTTGTTTAGAGTTGATGATGAAATGAGTTAAGAGTTTGGGGACTGTTATAATCAAATGAATGAACTGCGAATGTGTAAATGCCATGCATTTGGGGGATGGTCTTTTCTATTCTGGGTCTTTCATGCCTACGTGTGAATTGAAGGATTGCTTTTCTTATTTCTGTGAAGAAGGCCATTATTATTTTGATAGATAATTTATCTAATCTGTAAATAACTTTGGGTAGTATGAAAATTTCAATACTATTAATTCTTCCAATCCATAAATGTGGAGTATCTGGGATATATGTCCTATTTATGTGTGTCCATTTCATTTTCTATTACCAATAATTTATAGTTATCCTCTAGAAATCTTTCTCTTATTTGGTAACATTTATTCCTAGGTATATTTTGCAGCTATTGTAAAAGGAAAGGCTTCATGGATTTCATTCTCAGATGTTTTGCTGTCAACATATAGAAATGCCACCAATTATTGTATGTAGATGATGAATCTTACAACTTTACTTAATTTGCTTATGAATTCTAATAGTTTGTGAGAAGGCTTTAGTTTTCTTTTTTTAATATAAGATCTTTTTGTCTGCTCACAGGAAATCTGACTTCCACAATTCCAAATTTGAGGTCATTTCCTTTTACTGTTAACTAAATACTCTGGCTAGCATTTCAGTACTATTCTGAATAAAAGTGATAAAAATGGTTATTTTTGTCTTCTTCCACTTCTTAGATGAAAATTTCCCGGTTTTTCCATGCTTCGTGTGATGAAAGCTGTGTTTTTCTCATATATGCGCTTTATTTTTTGAGATATCCTTCTTGTATACCTAGTTTTTGATAATTTCTATCAGAAATGAATGTTGAATTTTATTCTATGATTTTCTAAAATATCTTGACTACACAATAACACAGTAATATGCAGGTCAATACATATCAACTGAATTTCACTTAATATCATCCCAACTTCTAATATTTATTTTTTAGTATTAGAACATGCCTGTTTCCATATTATATTTGCTCACAGGTATTGGTACATATTTTAGCTAATTTGTCATTATTTTACTCTAAGAAATAACTCAAAAAATCATTTTTATTATGAATTGAAAGGTAACATCGGCAAAATTAGCCCAATCTTAATCTTTCCCAGACTTTGAAACATTATTGAAGACAATGAGAGGGGAAAGTCAGCTTTAGTTGAGCTTCTAAGAGGTAAGTGAGGTAAAAACCCAGGGCTTATTGGCTACGACTTTGAATGTTACTGTCTTCTTTTCCATAAGCCACATCCAGACCATTTTCTAAATCTAAGAAAACTAATTTTATCTCACTGCTTCTTAGTCTTGTTTCCTGCAGCTGACAACCAAAACTGTCAGCGATAGAGCCCAGTGTAAATCACCAGCCTTTAATTATTGCAGAACTATGATTTTACAACAACATTGTGAGTTACATAATGATCCTACTTTATGGCCGCGGTGCAAATGCTTAACTTCCACTAAATCACAGAGCTCAGAATGGCTAGCATGGAGGTGTATATGTATATGTGCATTGTTCTAGAAATTTCCAATTACTGTATATTATTGTTTGCAGTAATTAGGTCAATCTGAACTGACAAAAGTCTCCATGGCCTTATAAGCACAGAGACCACCTCCACGGCAGGTGGAAATCAAGGCTGGGAACAGTCTACCAGCTGCTCCCCTGGGATTCCTCCAATTACCCTGTTTAAAGCCTCTGCTCACTCATGCGCTGGAAGAGGGATGTCAGAGATGCAGTCTACTCTTCCTAAAGGGCTGACAGGGCATAAAGACAAGACTGATTATCCATGGAACATTCCTATAGGAATGCACCTATGTGCAGACACACAAATAAGCTGTGTGTCTTGCAGTGTGTAAATGGCTGAGATGCCATTTACACTTCTTTACACAATACATTTTTAAATGTTTTGTTGATGTATTCTCTATCATTCAAAAAAATCATCACTTTCCCCCTAAACAAAGAGGATTTTTATCAGAACACTTATGGGAAGCCCCTTGCTCTCCCAGATTCCCACCCTCATTTCTCCTGAAGGAAGAAAGAAAACCATCTCTATTGATTTCCACTCTCATCCTCTAGGACTAAAACCAGAAAGCTGCATGCTCCCTGGGTGAGCCTTAGAGAAGACCCTGTCTGTAGGAGCAGGAATCTCAGAGCCTTGGCTGAGAGGCATGGTCCTGAAATGAGATGGAGTCCCCCATGGAGATCCCACGTGGACGCCCACACCTGAGGGCTCACTGCTCCTCACCACAGATGCACTCCCCTACTGAGTCCTGAGACCTGAGTGCACCCCATAGAGTAGGACTCAGATGAGGGAATGCAAATCTCCACCAGCTCCACCCTCCTCTGGGTTCAAAAGCTGAGCACGGGGCCTCGCTCAGTGACTCCTGTGCCCCACCATGGACACACTTTGCTACACACTCCTGCTGCTGACCACCCCTTCCTGTGAGTGCTGTGGTCAGGGACTTCCTCAGAAGTGAAACATCAGTTGTCTCCTTTGTGGGCTTCATCTTCTTATGTCTTCTCCACAGGGGTCTTGTCCCAGGTCACCTTGAAGGAGTCTGGTCCTGTGCTGGTGAAACCCACAGAGACCCTCACGCTGACCTGCACCGTCTCTGGGTTCTCACTCAGCAATGCTAGAATGGGTGTGAGCTGGATCCGTCAGCCCCCAGGGAAGGCCCTGGAGTGGCTTGCACACATTTTTTCGAATGACGAAAAATCCTACAGCACATCTCTGAAGAGCAGGCTCACCATCTCCAAGGACACCTCCAAAAGCCAGGTGGTCCTTACCATGACCAACATGGACCCTGTGGACACAGCCACATATTACTGTGCACGGATACCACAGAGACACAGCCCAGGATGCCTCCTGTACAAGAACCTAGCTGCATCTCAGTGGTGCTCCCTCCCTACCTCTGCAGAACAGGAAAGTGTGACTGAGATGCCATTTCCTGCCAGGGCTTGTGTTTCCTATACCAACCAGACTCAGAGCCCTGTCTGTTTTCCTATTCTGTACTATTAAATGGCATGTTCCCTGTTAGTGATTCACGCAAGCAGAGGCTGTATCCTGTTTGACAAAGATTGAGCATGAAAGATTCCCATTACCTGGGCCACATGCATCACTGATATGTGGCCACTTATTTCTTGAGCTCATATCCTTCCAAGGGGCTGAATACAAATATCTATAACATAGGCCATCTTAAACTGCAGGAAGTAATGTTGGAGAAGAATGTGGAGATAAAAGAGCAGGATGATTAATTAAAATCCAGATACCATCTTTTTTTGCAGAGAAAAATTTACACTAATAAAGTAATTTTATGAAACAACAAGAAAGATGGAATGTGTCCTCATCATGGAGTGTCTCACTTGCAGTGCACAAATAAATTTCTAAAAATTTTATAGGGAAGGTGTGATAGATGAGGCTGATTTCCACACAGGGAGTGATTAAATACCCAGGTAAGTATAAAATCCAACACTTGGAAAGGAAAATGCCTCAGCTTGACATCAGAAACCCAGCTCAGTAAGTCTGAGGAGCAATGCGGAAAAGAAATGAAAAATTCGGGCCGGGCGCGGTGGCTCACGCCTGTAATCCCAGCACTTTGGGAGGCCGAGGCGGGCGGATCACGAGGTCAGGAGATCGAGACCATCCTGGCTAACACGGTGAAACCCCGTCTCTACTAAAAATACAAAAAATTAGCCGGGCGTGGTAGCGGGCGCCTGTAGTCCCAGCTACTCGGGAGGCTGAGGCAGGAGAATGGCGTGAACCCGGGAGGCGGAGCTTGCAGTGAGCCGAGATCGCGCCACTGCACTCCAGCCTGGGCGACAGAGCGAGACTCCGTCTCAAAAAAAAAAAAAAAAAAAAAAAAAAAAAAAAAAAAAAAAAAGAAATGAAAAATTCGACAACACTTTTCTTATGAAATCCCTAGCTCATGTTTGAACACGAAAACAGAATTGTCCACAATTTTAGGACAGCCATCGCATGACAACAAACCACTACAATGATAGGAGCATCACTGAGTCAACGGAGTTCAAGCAGTGAGCAGATCAGTACTGAGGCCCCAGGAGAACCAAGGCTCTTTGGTACATTTTACAGAACCCAGAACCGAGCCACATAATCTATGGCCAAGTGATCTTTGACAAAGTTAACAAAAATTAACCAACGTATACACCAGGGAAAGGACACCCCATTCAATAAAGGGTGCTGGGGATATTGGATAGCTATATGCACGCGAATGAAACTGGACCCCCACCCTCAACATGTAAATAATTAACACAAAATAGATTAAAGGTTTAAATGTAAGTCTTCAAACTGTAAATGTATTCAAATAAAACACCAGGACAACTCTTCTGGACAAAAAGCAAACAATAGACAAATGGGACTTAATGAATCTAACAAGTTTCTTCACAGCAACAGAGTGAACAGACAAAGTGCAGAATGATAGAAAATATTTGCACACTGTGCATCTGACAGAGTACTAATATACAGAATTAACAAGAAACTCAAACCACAACAACAAAAGAAAACAAGAACCAAATAACCCCATTAAAATGAGCAAAGAACATGAGTAGACATTTTTGCAAATAACACATAAAAATGGACAATAGATATATAAAAATGCTCAGCATTACTAATAATCAGGGAAATGCAAATTAAAACTAGTGAGATATACCATTCACAATGGCTGTTATTAAAAAGTCAAAAATAACAGATGTTGGAGAGGATGAAATGTAAAGGGAACTCTTAGACACTGTTGATGAGAATGTGGACGAGTACGACCTCTATAGAGAACAGTATGGATTCAGTATGATATTGACTGTGCATTTGTCATAAACAGCTCTTATTATTTTGAGATACATTCCATCAATACATAGTTTAATGAGAGTTTTTAGTATTAAGGGGTGTTGAATTTTATTGAAGGCCTTTGCTGCATCTATTGAGATAATCATGTGTTTTTTTTCCATTGGTTCTGTTTATGTGATGGATTATGTTTATTGATTTGCATATGTTGAACCAGCCTTGCATCCCAGGTATGAAGCCAACTTGATCATGGTGGATTTGAAAACCGGCACAAGACAAGGATGTCCTGTCTCATCACTCCCATTCAACATAGTATTGGAAGTTCTGGCCAAGGAAATCAGGCAAGAGAAATAAATAAAGGGTATTCAAATAGAAAAAGAGGAAGTCAAACTGTCTCTGTTTGCAGATGACATGATTATATATTTAGAAAACCCCATCATCTCAGCCCCAAATCTCCTTAAGCTGATAAGCAACTTCAGCAAAGTCTAAGGATACAAAATCAATGTGGAAAAATCACAAACATTCCTATATACCAATAATAGAAAAACAGAGAGCCAAATCATGAGTGAACTCTCATTCACAATTGCTACAAAGAGAATAAAATACCTAGGAATACAACTTACAAAGGATGTGAAGGACCTCTTCAAGAGAACTGCAAACCACTGCCCAAGGAAATAAGAGAGGGCACAAACAAATGGAAAAACATTCCATGTTCATGGATAGGAAGAATCAATATCGTGAAAATGGCCATACTGCCCAAAGTAATTTATAGATTCAATGCTATCCACATCAAGCTACCATTGACTTTCTTCACAGAATTAGAAAAAAACTACTTTAAATTTCATATGGAACCAAAAAAGAGCCCATATAGCCTAGACAATCCTAAGGAAAAAGAACAAAGCTGGAGGCATCACGCTACCTGACTTCAAACTATACTACAAGGCTACAGTAACCAAAACAGCATGGTACTGGTACCAAAACAGAGATACAGACCAATGGAACACAACAGAGGTCCCAGAAATAATGCCACACATCTACACCCATCTGACCTTTGAAAAACCTGACAGAAACAAGCAATGTGGAAAATGATCCCCTATTTAATAAATGGTGTTGAGAAAACTAGCTAGCCATATTCAGAAAACTGAAACTGGATCCCTTCCTTACACCTTATACAAAAATTAACTCATGATGGATTAAAGACTTAAACATGAGACCTAAAACCATAAAAACCCAAGAAGAAAACCTAGGCAATACCATTCAGTACATAGGCATGGGCAAGGCCTTAATGACTAAAACACCGAAAGCAATGGCAACAAAAGTCAAAATTGACAAATGGGATCTAAGTAAACTAAAGAGCTTCTGCACAGCAAAAGAAACTATCATCAGAGTGAATGGGCAGCCTACAGAATGGGAGAAATTGTTTGCAATCTATCCATCTGACAAAGGGCCAATATCTAGAATCTGCAAGGAACTTAAACAAGCTTACAATAAAAAAAAAACAACCCCATCAAAAATTGGCGGAAGGTTATGAACATACACTTCTCAAAAGAAGATATTTATTCAGCCAACAAACATAAAATAAAGTTCAACAGCATTGGTCGTTCGAGAAATGCAAATCAAAACCACAAAGAGATACCACCTCACACCAGTTAGAATGGCGATGATTAAAAAGTCAGGAAACAAAAGCTGCTGGAGAGGATGTAAAGAAATAGGAACGTTTTTACACTGTGGTCGGTAGTGTAAATTACTTCAACCATTGTGGAAGACAGTGTGGTGATTCTTCAAGGATATAGAACTAGAAATGCCATTTGTCCCAGCAATCCCATTATTTGGTATATACCCAAAGGATTATAAATCATTCTGCTATAAAGACACATGCACACATATTTTTATTGCAGCACTGTTGACAATAACAAAGACTTGGAACCAACCCAAATGCCCATCAAAGATAGACTGGATAAAGAAAATGTGGCACATATACACCATGGAATACTATGCAGCCATAAAAAGGATGAGTTCATGTGCTTTGCATGGACATGGGTGAAGCTGGAAACCATCATTCTCAGCAAACTATCACAAGAACATAAAACCAAACACCGCATGTTCTCACTCATAAGTGGGAGTTGAACAATGAGAACACAAGGACACAGGGAGGGGAACAAACATCACACAACAGAGCCTGTCGGGGAGTGGGGGGCTGGAGGGGATAGCATTAGGAGAAATACCTATTGTAGATGATGGGTTGGTGGGTGCAGCAAACCACTATGGCCTATGTATACCTATGTGACAAACCTGCACATTCTGCACATGTGTCCCAGAACTTAAAGTATAGTTAAAAAAAAAGAGAGAGAGAGAGAAAGGAAACAGTATGGAGACTTTCCAAAAAATGAGAAACAGTACTGGCCTTTATTCTACCAATCCCACTACTGGGTAGCTACCCAAAGAGAAAGAAATCATATTTCAAAAAGATACCCACACTTCTATGTGTACCACAAATCTATTCCCAATAGCACATATGACAACCTGAGTGTCCACCAACAGATGATTTTATAAAAGAATATAGCATATATGCACAATTTAATACTAGTCAGCCACAATAAGGAATGAAACTGTGTCTTTTGCAGCAAGATGCCTAGAACTGGGGGACATTATAATTAGTGAACTAACTCACAAACAGAAAGCCACATATCACACATTATTACTTATAAGTGGGAGGAAAACAGTGTGTACACAAGGATATGGAGAGAGGGATTATGGACATTGGAGACTTAGCAGAATGGGAGGGTAGGAGTTGGGAGCATGATGAAAAATCACCTAATGGGTACAATGTACGTTACTTGGGTGTTGGGTACACTAAAGCCAATACCACTGTGTAATATTTCCATGTAACACAGTTGCACCCATAGCCCTTAAATTTATACAAATAAAGATAAAAACAATTACAATTTAAAATATAAAATTATTAATAGTTGACCAAAGATCTTGAAAATTAAAATTTAAATCATGATCAATAAATGAAATTAATATCAGTTGAACTTCATTTAACTTAAAATCCTTTTGTACTCAAGTGATTTTAAGAAAATGAATGTCAAGTTTTAGATGAGGAGATTTGCAAATCATATCACCACCTATGTAATTATAGTAAGAACCCTCAAAACTCAACAGTGAATAAAAGAAGAGGCAACCCATGGATAAAATAGGCAAAGGTTTGTGCAGGCATTTCATTAAAGAAGATGTACAGATTACACATAGGCATATAAACAGGATCTCAACAGGATTTTTCATCACAGAAATTCAAATCAAGACCACAATAAGATACCCAAACACCCTTTTTAGAATGGCTGAAATTAAGAAGAAAGATGGATCATACCGATGCTGGTGAGCATACCAGGTTTCTAGAGTCTAAAACATTGCTAATGGGAATGCAAAATGAAACAGCTACACAGGAAAATAATTCTTAGTTTCTTGTAAAATTATATATGCCCTTAACACATTACCTAAAAATCCCCCTCCTGTAATACAGTAATACATGGCTGTGTATTACTGTGAAAGAGGCATAGTGTGAAAACCCACATCTTGAAACCCTGAGGGAGAAGGCAGCTATGCTGTGGCTGAGGAGATTACAGGGATTATTTGATTAAAGACTTTTTTAGAAAGTGAGGTTAAATCAGCCGGGCGTGGTGGTTCACACCTGCAATCCCATCACTTTGGGAGGCCGAGGTGGGTGGATCACGAAGTCAGGAATTTGAGACCAGTCTGGCCAACATGGTTAAACTCCATCTCTACTAAAAGTGCAAAAAATTAGCCGGGTGTGGCGGTGTACACCTGTAATCCCAGCTACTCTGGGCGCTGAGACAGGAGAATCTCATGAATCGGGGAGGCTGAGGTTGCAGTGAGCCGAAATCGACCCACTGCACCCCAGCTTGGGTGACAGTGCAAGACTCCGTCTCAAAAAAACAACAACAACAACAAAAAGAAAGCGAGGTTAAGTCATTGAAAAATAGGAAAATATAAATGTGTATGCACTCTAATTATTTGGGAAATTTTCCATACAACTTGTATTCTGTAAACAAAATTCAGGGAGTGGAAAACAAATCAAATTAATAAAACTGATATAAGAATTCCTCTGAAGATATTAGTGTGAGCACTAACACACACTTTTGAATGGGTGTTGTAAATATTTTGGAACACACCTCTTAGGTCACATTTTAATTCTACATTTATGTAAATTATATAAAATATCGAAATTTTTTAATGTCTCCATTTTGTGCAGTTATAATTTTGGTTTCATGCCAGCAATGCATGATAGATTCCGTTCTTCCACATCCTCGTTGCCATTTGGCACTATAAGCATTGTGTATTTTAACCATTCTAATCTATTGGTGGTGATAGCTCATTGTTGTTTAAATGCACATGTCTCTAAAATTTTATATTTAATTATTTTATATAATTGTGATGAAGTGTTTGTTATGGTATTTGGCTCATTTTTGATAGCATTGTTTATTTTTGATCAGTTGTAAGTTTCTTTACATACCCATTATATAAGTCACTTAAAAAAGTACTTAGCTGGTCATGAACCCCAGGATGAGATGCAGACTGTATAGAAATCTCTAGCAATGTTACTCAGTGTGGGCAGGGATGGCATGAGATACGGGGAATAAAGAATAAAGTAACTTTCTCCATTTGGATATAAGATGTGTCCATTCACTAGAGAGTTTTCTTTCAGAAGGTTCCCATGTGAGCCAGTTTCCTTCCTGACAAGGAAATCACCCAGAGGATTCTCATAATCTCTTAAGTGAGAAAAGTTTTCCTCAAACTCCAGCTCAGTCTAGCTCACACTGTCTCTAAATGGGCAATTACTTTCAGACATGTACACACATCTGTCCCAACGTGGACTCCTCCCTCAGACAAGCACACACATTGCAATGTGGACTCTCCCCTCAGAAAACCACACATGCCCCACAATGACTCCTTCTTCACATAAGCATATATGCCTGATGCTGAACTGCTGTGTAGCAAAATTAGCTCAGAATACAAGCACTTATGGACTCTAGCCATAACAATGTGTAGATCTGCATTTTATTTTAAATTCTAAATGAACATTTTGCCTTCTTGTTAAGAACAGTGGTTTACAGCTCTACATGTAGAGACTACAGGCAGATATATGTTTCCTCTGGGAAAAGTTTATTTTCATGTATTTACTGGGTTATTTTGTTGATAAACATTCATCTATAAAGACACCTGAAAAGTGCCCTCATTAGAGAAAAAGAAAGTGTAGTTTGCAGATTAACTCTGAGCATCCAATCCCAGGAATCCTTTGATCTGCCCTCCCTGAAATCCACAGGCAGAGGGGGGATGATCGCTGATAAGTAGCAAACACATGTCCACAGGAAGGGAGACATGGAAATGTGGTCACTCCCACACTCAAGAGGAGCAGCTCATCCCCTGTCCGTAGTGGTCCTGGTGAGGAACCACCCCACACCTGTGCCTTCCTCAGTATCCACACCATGGGGTCTGTGCTGATCTGGGCTTCCCTTCTCATCACTCTCAATATTAGTGTCCTTGCGGATCAGGCTCAGCTGTGGCTGCTCCAGATGAGGCTGTTCTCAGTCTGTTCCCTCTGTGTTTGCAGAAGTCCTGTGTGAAGTTCACCGGGGGAGACAGAGGAAATAACGGTGCAGCCGGGGGCTATCTGAGTCTCTCCTGCAAAGACTCTGGATTCACCTTCACTGATTGCAGCATAAGCTTGGTCCAGCAAGCTCCAGGACCAGGGTTGATGTGGGCAGCAACAGGGAGAAATTGAAGAGGAAGCTCTCAGTGGTGCCCTCCATGAATACAAAGAATCTTCACAGTCCCCAGGACACCCTTACGTGCATGGTCTCACTGATATCTTTACTTCCTTTATCACTTTTGTTATGTAAATCACAATGAATAGTGTATTCCTCATCTATTATACATTTGTTAAGTCTTTTTTGGTGTCTTTAAAAAAACTGATAACTTTATAGTATGTAATATCCTTAAGTCCTGAAAGTGTTTTTTGATGTCTACCTTGTCTTAAATTTATACAGCTACTATAGCTTTTCTTGGTTCATGTTTTCTCATATTTATCTTTTCTATTTGTGAATATGTAGAGAAACTTTCTTGTACATAGCTAATAGTTGTGTATTGCTTTTTTATTTTGGCAGTCCTTAAATATTCTAATTTTTTATGATACTTTAAGTTTTAGGGTACATGTGCACAACATGCAGGTTTAAACAAACAACCTCATCAAAAAGTGGGCAAAGGATATGAACAGACACTTCTCAAAAGAAGACATTTATGCAGCCAAAAAACACATGAAGAAATGCTCATCATCATTGGCCATCAGAGAAATGCAAATCAAAACCACAATGAGATATCATCTCACAACAGTTAGAATGACGATCATTAAAAAGTCAGGAAACAACAGGTGCTGGAGAGGATGTGGAGAAATAAGAACACTTTTACACTGTTGGTGGGACTGTAAACTAGTTCAACCATTGCGGAAGTCAGTGTGGCGATTCCTCAGGTATCTAGAACTAGAAATACCATTTGACCCAGCCATCCCATTACTGGGTATATACCCAAAGGATTATAAATCATGCTGCTATAAAGACACATGCACACGTATGTTTATAGCAGCACTATTCACAATAGCAAAGACTTGGAACCAACCTAAATGTCCAGCAACGATAGACTGGATTAAGAAAATTTGGCACATATACACCATGGAATACTATGCAGCTATAAAAAATGATGAGTTCCTGTCCTTTGTAGGGACATGGATGAAACTATCTATTGCTTTTTTAAATCAACTATAATAAATTCTATTTTTTTTTTTGAGAAGGAGTCTCGCTCTGTCGCCCAGGCTGGAGTGCAGTGGTGCGATCAGGGCTCACTGCAAGCTCTGCCTCCTGGGTTTATGCCATTCTGCTGCCTCAGCCTCCCGAGTAGCTGGGACTGCAGGCACCCACCACCACGCCTGGCTAGTTTTTTGTATTTTTAGTAGAGATGGGGTTTCACCGTGTTAGCGAGGATGCTCTCAATCTCCTGACCTTGTGATCCACCTGTCTCAGCCTCCCAAAGTGCTGGGATTACAGGCATGAGCAATAAATTCTATTTTTAAACCAACAATATTTTTTTCTGTTAATTTTTGTTTAAATTAACATTTTATAATGATGCTTATTTCTCTATTAACATGGTATTTAATTACCTTTTTATAAATATTGTATAGTTACCATAAGATTTACAATAAAAATTGTATGTAATTAGATTCTAATGTAAATCCTGTGATGGCCTTGATATGAAGAACACAGATAGTGTAACTGTGTGCTTTGAATTCCTCCTTCTCGCCACTCTTTCTTGTTTATTCTGTTTGCACTTACATATGCTGTAAAATAGAATATGTAATTTTTTATTACTTTATACAGTTATATCTTATAGCAATTACAAATGTTAAAGAGTACAATTCATCTAGATTTTTCCATTTTTACAATCTTTATTTCTTTGTAGAGATTTCTATTTTGAGTGCATATCACATGGCTACTCGCAGAGAATCTTTGTAAAATGTGCCCTGAAACATGAATGTGCTGACAACACATATTCTCCAGATCTTTTTTTCTGACAGAATTTTATTTGCCATTCACCTTTAATGAAATTTTAATGCATGTAGAATTTCAGTTTGCATTTCACCTGTAATTTATTTTCTTGTAATTATTATTAGTTTTTCCTGGAGATGATCACACATTACATTCTGCTGGGCCTTTATTAACCATGTTTCTGCGAACCTAGTCAGGCTTGGGTTTCAAGTGTATGGTTGCCGTGGCTATCAGAGTTGAAATCAGCTTCTCCTGTTCACAAAAACTTCAGGTTCCTCTGGTGATACCTGCGTTTGTGTCCCTGTTTGGCTTTGGATCTTCACATTTCATTCTCCCCAAAGAAAGGCTGTCTCTTTCAGCTGTGGCAGGTGCATCCTGCTGACACATTTACTTGGTGACTGTTTGTGGGATGAAGGGGCTTGGACACAGGGGCACGTTTTCCAACCTTCTGGCTGAGCCTCCTTCTTAGCTATGGGTGGTGAGACTGGCTCTGATGCATGATCTTCCAAGTGTTCCTGTTCCTTCCCTTCCTCAGTGTCACAGTGTCTCTTCCCAGTCATGCTGTTTTTTCATCAGTGTCCTCAGCTTCTGACCCACTGTCCTTACCCCACAGATTCTGGATTTCATTCCTCAGGAAACAGACGGGAGGTGATTCTGGGTAGAGTTTCCCTGATGTCCTCTGTTTCCTTGTGTTCTAGTTGATTCTACCAGTGCCCACAGGACACAAGATTTAATAAATGTCTCCTGCATATAATGAAGGGGGATTCAGCATTGAACGGAGCTACTGTTCTTCCTCCCCAGTCAACACCACAGGACAGCAGGTGGGTGAGTTGTCTGGGGATTTCCCCAATTCTGTAGGAAAAGCCTGCAAGTGCCAGGAGTTTCACACTCTCACACCATTAGCACACACATCTTCAAGCAACTCATTAAACATTTCCAGGTTAGCTTTTTCCTATCTTCAATACCATGCCATGAGTGGCACCTGCCCCAGGTACTCTAATAAACGCACCCTAGTTCTCTCTGCGGGCCCCTATTTTCTCATATTTCAGGGATTTTTTTCTCTGTGACATCAACTCAGATATGGTGAGGGGTTTATTTTTTGTAATTCTTCATGTTTTTTGTTAACGAGGTCAGAATAATATCATTTTCTCAATTTTTACATTCTAACGCTTAGTATCTGATTTCTAAATAAAATTCAGAAACTAAGACAACAAATGAAGTATCCATTATTTGGTGCATTGTTAAACAATTTGAGAAATATTCATGTACTGAAATAGAATGAACCACTGAAATCAAGGCATGCCTCATTCACATAAGAACATGAGGGCATTATCAAATAATTTTGCTGAGTGGAGGAAGCTAAAGAATTCACCATCAATTTCATGTGATTTCATTTGTATAAATCACAGAAGATGCAATATTCTAAATTAACATAGAGAAGATCTGAATTTCTCTGAAAATAGGGTGGGCAGAGTAACAACGTGGTGAAATAAAATTATAGACAAGTTAGATAAAAAAAATTAGAGGTTAACTTAATTGCTAAAACATGATTGAAGTGCTGATTCAATGACTGCACACATATATCAACATTTTCCAAATGCTGCACTATCAATTTGATTTCATTATTGATTGTTTTTTTAATAAAGCAGTAACAAAAATGAATATATTGGCTGAGAAAGAGCAAGAAATGGATAAATACCGACACTTGAATAATCAAGGACTCCTGAAAATACACACATGTGAACACTGATTGTAGATTTCAGGTAAACACTAGAAAAGGCAAAATTACACAAAGTTGTTATGACAGGAGGGACATCCTGAAAACCTCTCTAGGCATGTCCCACACCACCCTGGAGCTGTCTCAGGGGAGCAGTCTCCTCCAGTGTTTAGAGGCACAGGCACGCATAATAGGGCTAACTCTGGCCAGATGTGTGATATTGGACACATTGCACAACTGCTCTGTTCTGTATGTAATTTATCTTCTCTACAAATGTAACATTGACAGTTGCATTAAATATATTCTGCAAATATGTAAAAGTTAAATAAGCTGATGTCTGCTAAATGATTACCAAGGCACAATCACATAATCTGAAGTTATATTTTCCAGAGTGATAGGATTACCTCCAGAGTTTTCCAGGACACTCTCATCTGCTCCGGGCACTGCCTTCTCCTCAGCCGTCCCACCCCTGAGCTTGCTATATAGTAGGAGACATGGAAATAGGGCCCACTCTCTGCTGATAAAAACCAGCCCAGCCCCGACCCTGCAGCTCTGGGAGAGGAGCCCAGCCCCCGAATTCCCAGGTGTTTTCATCTGGTGATCAGCACCGAACACAGAGGACTCACCATGGAGTTTGTGCTGAGCTGGGTTTTCCTTGTTGCTATTTTAAAACGTGATCTATAGAGAACTAGAGATATTGAGTATGAATGGATATGAGTGAGAAACAGTGGATACGTGTGGCAGTTTCTGACCGGGGTGTCTCTGTGTTTGCAGGTATCCAGTGTGAGATGCAGCTGGTGGAGTCTGGGGGAGGCTTGGCAAAGCCTGCGTGGTCCCCGAGACTCTCCTGTGCAGCCTCTCAATTCACCTTCAGTAGCTACTACATGAACTGTGTCCGCCAGGCTCCAGGGAATGGGCTGGAGTTGGTTGGACAAGTTAATCCTAATGGGGGTAGCACATACCTCATAGACTCCGGTAAGGACCGATTCAATACCTCCAGAGATAACGCCAAGAACACACTTCATCTGCAAATGAACAGCCTGAAAACCGAGGACACGGCCCTGTATTAGTGTACCAGAGACACAGTGAGGGGAGGTCAGTGTGAGCCCAGACACAAACCTCCCTGCAGGGCCATGCGGGTGGTTTCCTTTCTCAGCTGCAGGAGGCGGGCTTATTGTTGCAGGACTCTGGAGACTTATTAGGTTGTGATATTTTACTATGGTTATTTATCATGAACTTTTTTATTGGGAATTGTGTTTTATTAATTTTTATTTTATATGTAAGGTTATTTTTTTAAAATACATACCTTCAAGAAATAATTCTTCCTAATAATTTGCACTTGTTCTTTTTAGAGTTTTGTTAACATCTGTTGATATCAGCTACTACATAGCTATAGGGACATTAATTTACATCTATAGACATATGTGTAAATACACAAACTTATACATATATGTGGTCTTTTATATTTAATGTTATAATAAAATTATTATAACAATTATAAAATACATCCTAAAGAATGAAACATATATAGTAATCCATATTCCTTTCAATCATTGCCTATAGTTTACATAAATTGATGTCTATTTGTAACCTTAAACATAGTGTATTGGTCATTTTCAAACATCCAAGAACAAATTTCAAATGTCCTTGTCACACACACAAAAATAAAAATTTGAGGATTTGAGGTGATATATATGTCAATCAGCTCGATTCAATTATTCCATATTGCATTCATAAATCATAACATAGCTTTATTCACTATAAATACATACAACCAAAATTTCTCAATTTTCAATGAAATTTTAATTATACATATTTTATCTGTCCTAGGTCATGAATGTTTTTCTCCCTGTCCGGATGTGATTAAGATTGTCCTGAGAAACAAATTCAGCCTCCTGCCTCCTGAAGGCTTCAGGAAGCAGCTCCTAGATGGGGTGAAGCAGGCAACCCGTGTGTGTCCACAGGACCCGGAGCCTCTCTCTCCTTGGATTAGGCCCCCTCCTCAGGATTACAGGGCTCTTCAGTTTTCTCAACATGCTGTTATACCAGAGAAGCACAAAACACTTAATTTCATTATATTTTTCTTCAATTTTTCAAAACAACACAAAGGTAATAATTTTAACAATAAACATATTACAACCTACTATACATGAGACCCTTCCTGTGCTTCGAGGTTTCTTCTCAGGACTTTGTATGTATTACATGTTTTCAGTTTTTTCCTGAGATGGAATGTTGACGTCTCCTTATTACAGATTATTCTTTTAATTTGTCTCTTAGAATAATTTTTTCCAGAGCTCCTGCCCGCCCGCGCCTGGCGGAATGGAGCGGCGCCAGGGCTGAGCCAGGCGCGCAGGGGCCGCCGCACGTGCCGCGCGGGGAGCGGATGCCCAGCGGGCGGAGAGCCAGCGCCAGAGGCCGGGTCGGAGCGGCCGCTGGAGCAGCGTCAGAATGGGAGAACAGCCCATCTTCACCCCCCGAGCGCGGGTCTTCCAGATTGACCCCAACACCAAGAAGAACTGGATGCCTGCGAGCAACAGGCGGTCACCATTTCCTGTTTCTATGATGTCACAAGGAACAGCTATGGGATCATCAGTGTGGACAGCGCCAAGGTGACCATAAACAACACAATTACACAGAATATGACCTTCACCAACACGTCACAGACGTCTGGGCAGTGGGCCGACAGCAGAGCCAACACGGTGTTTGGTTTGGGGTTTTCCTCTGAGCAGCAGCTGACAAAGTTTGCAGAGAAATTCCAGGAGGTGGAAGAAGCGGCCAAGACAGCCAAAGACAAGACCCAGGAGAACATGGAGCCCTCGAGTAATCATCCTGAGAATCAGGGCGTGGAGCCCCATCTTCTACTCCGGCATCCAGTGTCAACGGGACGGACGATGAAAGGCCTCTCAGGCCGCTGCAGCCGACACGCACCTGCAGTCTGGGAACCACAAGCTGAAGGCGGCCTCGACGCAGAGCTGCCCACGGGAAGAGGTGGGAGATGGAGCTGCAGACCCGGCGGGAGACCGACTTCCGGCTGCCCACGGCGCTGCAGGAGTCGACGGCCAGTGCGGAGCAGAGGAAGAGGCCGTGAGTCAGAGTGCGACTGTGTCTCTGAGAAGATGGAGGCGGCAGAGAGAGGATCAAAACCTGGAAGATAAAGTGCGTTCCCTAAAGATAGGCCCTGAGGAGAGCAAATCCCGACAGCGCCACCTGGAGGCGCTTCCTGGTGGCGCTGGACCGGAAGATCCAGGCCTGCATAACTTCCGCCCAGGCCTCCCAGGCTGGGCACCAACAACTAGGGCTGGCAGAGGCCCGGGATCCCCACCGTGAGTCCTAAGTATGTGTGCGAGACCAGATGGCGCTAGGACGTTCCCTGTGTGCGTTGCTTCTGTAAATGCAGGCGCCGTGTGTCGTGTTTCCAAACCAGTTGTGCCATCCACTCACTCCTTTCCAGAATAGAAATCTCTCGCTTCTCTGGCCTTGTGAGGTTGTGGACAACTGGAAGATTCTGACTGAGGAAACCAGAACCAGGTCTACCTTCAACATTTACGCAGTCAGGCCAGGGATGTTTATATCGTTCATAAGGGTTGTTGGAACCATATGAACTGAAAAAAAGCATTTTCTCATCCAAATATTGATATTCTTTACACCAGGCCATCGGGCTCCTTTTATCCGATAGCATTCAGAGTATTTGAAGGTCCTCCAGGTGCCAGCCTTGGGGGCACAGGGAGAACAACATTCCTCTCCGAAAACATGGGGAAGCTTTAAAATAACTGTTTAGTGGAGACTTACCCAGAGATGGAAAACAGGTTTCTGGTGAGTACATTTTCTGGTTTGGGAATCACCTGCATCCCCGATCCTGCCCCGTGCCCCCCAGTTTGTATGGTTGTGACAATGTTCCATTTCTTTGTTTTAATTTCTGAGCAGTTGACTGTGGTGCGGGAACAGCACACAGTGAGGGTGCCTAGCACAATGCCTGGCGCAAAGTAGGTGCTTTATAAATATTTGTTCAATTAAAAAAAGAGGGAGGCTGAGGCAGGAGAATCACTTGAAGCTGGGAGGTGGAGGTTGTGGTGAGCCGAGATGGCGCCACTTCACTCCAGCCTGGCAACAGAGCAAGACTCCATTTCAAAAAAATAAAATAAAATAAATAAAATAAATAAATAAAATAAAAAATATTTTTTCCAAGCCCCACTCAAAACCATGGTATTGTTAGAGGTGTAATAGTTGGACCAACATTGAAAATACATTCCATTTAGTTCATGGGCGTGCAAATATCCTTTTTTCTTTAAAAATTGTTCTCAGTTGTAATATTACAAAAAATATTGGTAATTTATACCAATGACACAGGTTAAAATGTTGTATAAATAATTTAATGACGTTTGATTGGAAAAAATACATGTGCCACATGTCGACAATTTTTTCCTTCTCTATGAAATATATACTCATTAATAAGTTTCAGATGTTACAGTTATCTTTTTGATTTCTGGGATTTAATTTTAGTAGGTATACTTGAATGCATTTTATTAATTCCTATAATGATGTTGATATTTCATGTAGGATTTTAATACTAATTTTACTATTTACTGAATTTTAAACTATTCTACATGTTTTATTTATATAAGAAAAAAATTACATATGAGAAAAAATGCGTAGACCTGAAATGTATCACTAGAGAGTTTCTGTCAAATGTGAATACCTTTGTTCCCAACACCTAAGGTAGCCTGAAGAGCAAGTCCTTCCCCACAACATGCGTCTTTTTCTGTGCTTGCGGTCAGCTCCTGCATGGGGAAATGTTTTGATTTCTGACACTATAGATCCATTTTTTTTCTGTTTTGAACTTTATATAAATGCAATCAAACATTTTAGACCTTAATTTGGTAATGGGCTACATTGCTATTTTTTGAGGTTATTTCCTGCTATTTAAGGTATTAAATTAGATCAACATATTATCATTTATTCAAGTAATGGACTGACTCTGATATGAAACCTCAAAGTTTTCACATATATATGGAGAGAGAGAGAGAGAGAGAGAGATGAGGGAGAGAGGTTTTATATCTGAGTCAGTCTGTTAAATAAGTAAATGACAGTATTTTGATTTATTTTCCTGTAAATCGACTTTAAATTTGTTTCCAGTTTATGAATATTATAAACAAAGCTGTTACAAATGTCTTAGTGTAAGTTTTCCTATGTTGTCTTCTTTTTATTGAGAAAATATGAAGTATGTATTTATTATAAGCTTAAATTTTTTCAGTTTTATTGAGGTATAATTGAAATATTTTAATAATGTATAGGTTTAAGGTGCCCCACTTGACGTTTTGATGTTGTATTAGTCCATTCTCACGGTGCTATAAAAAATGCCTGAGACTGAGGGATTTGAGAAAAAAAGTGTGTTTAATTGGCTCACGGTTCTGCAGGCTGTACAGGAAGTGTAGTGGCTTCTCCTTCTGGGGAGAGTCAGGAAAGTTAGGATCATGGCAGAAGACAAAGGGGAGCAGGTGCGTCACATGGCCAGACCAGGAGCCACAGGAAGCAGGGAAGGTCTACACACTGTTAGGCAACTAGATCTTATGAGAACTCACACACTGTCATGAGAACAGCACCAGGAGTTTGTTCTAAACCATTCATGAAAGACCCACCCCATGTCCCAGTCATCTCCCACCAGGTCCCACCTTCACAATTGAGGATTATAATACAACATGAGATTTGGGGCAGGACACAGATCCAAACCACATCAGATACACATTGTGAAATGCTCATCATGGCCAAAGTAATTTGTATATCCATTTTCTCATGGAGCTACCATTTTATTTTTTTAAAATGTACTACATGTGTGTGTATGTGTGTGTGTCTCATGAGAACACCTACGATCTACCCGTTTAGCAAAAATCACATTTACAATACAGCATTAAATACAAGAACATTGCAGTACATTAGATCTGCAGAACTCATTCACCCTGCACAACTGGACCTCTACCCTTCGACCGACATCATCTGATTTCCCTCTCCTCACAGGCCTGGGACCCACTATTCTACTCTCTGCTTTCAAGAGCTTGAATATTTTAGATCCCACATGTAAATGAGATCATTAAGTCTTTCTGCATCTGGCTTATTCCACTAAGCATCATGTCCTCTAGCCCCATCCCTGTTGTTGCAAATGTCAGAATTTCCTTCTTTTCAAAGCCTAATAAAATTCAGTTTTCTGTGTACACATTTTCTTTACACATTCATCAATCTGTGGTCATTAAATTATTTTACAAATCTACACTATTATAAATAATCTTGCAGTGAACATGTGTTTGACATAATAATTTTATTTCTTTTGAATATATGACAAGAAGTGGGATCACCAGAGCATATGATAGCTTTATTTTTCAATATAATGAATAACCAAACCTACCACACCATGCTTTTGAAGTCTTAGTCATATTTTATTTGCCTAGGCCAATGTCCCGAAAAATTTCTCCTACATTTTCTTCAGTTTGTACATTTAAATATTGAATCCATATTCAATTAATTTTTGTCTATGGTGAAAAACTAGAAGTCTAGTTTTATTCTTCTATGTGTGGCTGTCTAAGTTTTTCAGCACCACTTACTGAATAGAGGGTTGTTTCTCCATTGCATATTTTTGTCAGTTTTGTCAAAGAACAGGTGGTTGTAGAAACTTGTCTTTATTTCTTGGCTGTCTATTCTTTTACATTATTATTATTGTTATTGTTTTTAGTAGCAGTACCATGCTGTCTTTCTTACTGTATCTGTGTAGTATAATTTGAAATCAGGGAATGTGGTGCTTTCAGCTTTGGTCTTTTTCCTTGGGATTTCTTTTGCTATTCAGGCTGTTTTTTGATTCCATATATATTTAAGGATTTTTTTTAAAACATGTAATCAATTATATTGGTTACTTGATAAAAATTGCATTGAATATGTATCTTGCTTTGGACAGTGTATTAGTCTACTGTGCATTGCTATAAATTAATGCCTGAGGCCAAGTGATTTACAAAGAAAAGAGGCTTATTTGGCTTACAGTTTTGGAGGCTGTGTGAGAAGCATGGCACCAGCATCTGCTTCTTGTGAGGGCCTCAGGAAGCTTACGGTCATGGTGGAAGGCAAAGGGGAAGCAGGCAGTGTCCTGTGGTGAGAGGGGGCACAGAAGAGGGGAGGAGGGTCGCTAGACTGTTTTTAACAATCAGATTTCAAATTAGCTAATAAAGAAATAATTCACTAATTACCATGGGGTTGATACCAAGCCATACCTGAAGGATCTTTTCCCCACAATCCAAAAACTCCTACTAGGACCCACCTCAAATATTTTGGATCACATTTCACCGTGAGATTTGGAAGGGACAATCACCTAAACTGTAGCATTTCACTCTTGTGTCCCCTGGTCTCAAATCCTTGTAAGATTGCAAAATCATCTTTTTTAAAAATAGTTCCCAAAAGTGTTAACTTGATCAACCTCCAACTGAAAATTACAAAGTCTCGCCAGGGTCTTAAGGCAATTTCCCTCCAGCTGCGTGCTGGCAAAATGTTTTAAAGAGTTATGTACTTCCAAGGTGCAATATTGCCATTGGGTAAATATTGTCAATACAAAAGGAATAAATTGGCCAAAGGCCCCACACACACCTAAAGCCTAGCAGGACAGATATTAAATCTTAAAGCTACAAAATAATCTATCTTGACTTTATGTTCTTAGTCAGGGTACACCAGGACAAAGTGGGTCCCAAAATCCTCAGGCATCTCATCCTTATGGCTGGGCACATTCCATGGGGCTAATAACACAGGCCAGAGTCAAGTGCCAGAAGTAGTTCCAGGTTGGGAGTACAAGCTGCCTTTGGATCTACCATTCTGGGATCTTGAGGGTTGTGGCTGCATTTCTGTAGCTCCACTGTGAAGTGCCCTAGTGGGGACTCTGAATGGGGTTCCAACCCCATCTTTCCCCATCTTTGGTACTGCCTTCGTAGAGGTTGTTTGTGGTGGATCCAGTCCTGTAGCAAGCTTCCTCCTGGGCACATAGGGTTCTCTACACATCTTCTGAAATCTAGGTAGAAACTGCCCAGCCTCCTTCACTCTTGCATTCTGCATATCTGCCAGAATCCAGTTATCCCAGCACCATTTACTGAACACAGAGTATTTTTTCCACATTGTTTGTTTTTGTCAGCCTTATGAAGTATCAGACGGTTTAGGTGTGCAGCTTTATTTCTGTTTCCTATTTTGTTCCGTTTCTTCTGCATATCTGCTCTTGTACCAGTACCAAGCTGTTTTTGTTACCATGTCATTATGGTGTAGCTTAAAGTTGGGTATCATGATGCCTCTGGCGTTCTTCTTTTTGCTTAGCATTGCTTTGGCTATTCAGGGTCTTTTTTGGTTCCATACAAATTTTAGAATAGATTATTTTTTCTAATTCTGTGATCAATGATGTTGATAGTTTTATGTAAATAGTACTGAATCTCTAAATTGCTTTAGACAGTGTGATAATTTTTACAATATTCCTTCTTCTAATCCATAAGCATGAAATGTTTTCCCATTTATTTGTGTCATGTATGATTTATTTATTTATTTATGCTGTGTTTTGTAGTTCTCCTTGTAGAGATCTTTCACCTTGTTTGTTACCTGTATTTCCAGGCATTTCATTTGTGTGTGTGTGAATATTGTAAGTGGGATAGGACTGTGTTCTTGATTTCACTCTCAGCTTGGACATAGTTGGGTATAGAAATGTTAGTGATTCTTGTACATTAAGTTTGTATCCTGAGACTCTACCAAAGTTGTTTATCTATTTTAGAATTATTTTGGCAGAGTCTTTAGAATTTTCTATGTATAGAATTATATCATCAGTTTGGACAGATATATCTACTTCTTTTCCCATTTAGATGTTGTATTAGTCTATTTGCACACTATAAAGAAACACCTGAGACTGCATAATTTATAAAGATTTTTGATTGTCTCATGGTTCTGCAGGCTGTACAGGAAGCATGGCTGGGGAGGCCTCAGGAACCCAACAGTCATGACAGAAAGGGAAGCATCATGTCTTACATGGCTGGAGCAGGAAGAGAGAGGAGGTAGGTGCCAAGTACTTGGAAACCACATCTCCTGAGGGCTCTGTCATGGGAACAGCACAAAAGAGGGTGAAGCATCCCCATGATCTAATCATCTCTCACCAGTCCCCACCTCCAACACTGGGAATAACAATTTGACATGAAATTTGGGTGGGGATGCAAATACAAACCATATCAGCTCCGTTTTATTTTTTCTATTGCCTGGTTGCTCTGACTAGGATTTCCAGTAGTATGCTCAATAGGAGTGGTGAGAGAGGGCATCCTTGTCTTATTTCAGTTCTCAAGGGGTTTGAGCTTTTGCTCACTCAGTATAATGTTGAGTGTGGTTTTGTCATAGATGGCTGTTATTATTTTGAGTTTTTTTTTTTTTTTTTTTGAGACGGAGTCTCGCTCTGTCGCCTAGGCTGGAGTCCAATGGCATGATCTCGGCTCACTGCGACCTCTGCCTTTCGGGGTCAAGCGATTCTCCTGCCTCAGCCTCCCATGTAGCTAGGATTATGGTTACGGGCATGCGCCATCACGCCCAGCTAATTTTTTGTATTTTTAGTAGAGACAGGGTTTCACTGCGTTAGCCAGGATGGTCTCCATCTCCTGACCTCGTGATCCGCCCGCCTCAGCCTCCCAAAGTGCTGGGATTAGAGGCGTGAGCCCCCGCACCAGGCTATTTTGAGGTATTTTTTGATGCCTAGTCTTTTGAGAGTTTTTATGAGTGAATGTTGGATCTCATCAAAAGCTTTCTCAGCATGTATTGAGAAAATCATATGTTTTTTGCTTTTATTTTGCTTACATGGAGAATCACAGTTACTGAATTGTGGATGTTGAATGAAACTTGCCTTCCAGGGGTAAAGCCTACTTGATCATGACGTATCACATTTTAAAGTGCTTCTGGATTCTATTTGTTAGTATTTTGTTGAGAAATTTTAGGTCTATGTTCACCAAGAATATTCATCTGATGTTTTCTTTTTTAATTATGTATCTTCCTGATTTTGTATCCCAAGGACACACAATGAAGGAAGGACAGTCTCCCAACAAATGATGTAAAAACTGGACATCCATATGCAAAATAAATAAAATTAGACCTTCTCTAACACCATATACAAAAATCAACAAAAATAAACATAACATGAAACCATAAACTCATAGACAACATGGAAAAATAATTCATGTCATTGATTCAGAAATGATTTATTTGAAGTTAATCCCAAAAGCAAGCCCAGCAAAAAACTACATGCAATTATATATCTGACAAGAAGTTCTATCAAAATGTATAAATAATCCATACAACTCAATAGCAAATATCAAATGACCTCATAAAAAGAGCAAAAACCTGAATAGATTTTTTTCAGAAGACACATGCATGAAAAACAGAGCATAAAAATGTCCTCAAGATGACTAATTGTCAGAGGAATTCGAATCAAAAGCACAATGACATATCACCTCACACCACTTAAAATGGCTATTATCAGCAAGACAAAAGATAAGAAATGTTGGCAAGAATGATCCACAGCCATAAAGAGAGCTTTGATTGGCCAAGAGACTGATTTCAGTAACTTTCTCCTGTGAAGAGACCACTGACCATGGACTTGTCCTGGCCAATTTCCAGAGGCTGTGCACTGTGTGTCTTTCTGCCCCTGCACAAAGCCCTTTTGATATGCAGGACCCAGCTGTAATTCATTTAGTTCTTAAGTCCTCACCCCAAAGCAAAGCTGAAATGCATGTATCATGTGTGTTTGCTTATTAGACATGAGAGCCTCCACGCCATGTGAATATCCATAGCTCCTTCTATAGCCTGCTGAGTGTGTACACTCGGCCAATCCATTTGCACAAATTTGTTTCTCATCTTTCCCTCTCTTAAAGTGCCTGCTCACAGTCTCTGTGGGAGGCTTTCCTTCCCAGCCTGTTAAGATGGCCGTCCTGCAGCTTCAACCCTTTCTGAGAAATAAAGTCTCCTTTCTAAATTTATAAACTGGGTGATTCTTCCGTTGAAAGCACAAGCTGTTGGGAAGAGTTATATGGCAATTCCATAAATGCCTGGAAGACAAGTGTGGATAGGGTAGGGTAAGAAGTCCTGGGGGCTGCACACCCCACTCTGATGGAATTTCCCTCCAGAAACTTCTGGGTTCTCAAGATGAGAATCCAAACAGATTCCCTCATGGCTCTGTCATCAGGAGAACTATACTCTGATAAGTATGCCCAGAACTTCCTCCAGACAGACCCTATAGGGAAAAAATACTTTTCAAGATCTTTATTCTGTGAGGGGAAGGGATTCTTTTCCATCCCAGACAGCTTCATCTTAGCCTTCCTGAGTCATGAAAAGGAGTATAATTAATAAAACATCTGGGGTCAGATTCAAGAAAATAATCTGTGGATGCTGCAGCCAGGAGGGGGAGTGGAGGACGGAGGAAAATCAGCTGTACCACTGAATACTCCTTGTAAATGGTACAGCCTAGAGAAAGAATAGCAAGAAATCATTGGAATTCAATTTCCAGAACATATACTGCTCCCCTACCCACCACATCACCTCACCACCAATATGATTAATCTGGATTAAAGAGAAAAGTGTGGAAAGGCACAGACTCCATCTAAGGACTAGAATTTAGGGAAACCAAAGGCAGTGGGAGAGAAAAAGTCAAGGACAGTAAAGTGACTTAAAACCTCTTAGACCAACAGCTTCAGGAACAAGGTCACATCCTCTCCCTCACTGAAATTAGATTTACCTCTCATGGGGCATCTGCAGGGTGCGCAGGTGAGAACTGGCAAAGAGAACATGAAGGCACTTTCCAAATCTCCATTAGTACCTAGCTCGCTTTAGCTGTTTGGAAAAAGCAAAACCACAACAAACATAACCAGGACTAGGATCAGTGTTGGAAGCACTTTTCACTGGCAAGACACTAAGAAGGAGGGCAAATTCGAGGCCAGTTACTATGCAAATATGCCACTGTGAGTGTGTGTGGTGGTGAGCTTTGAGACATAGGGTCTGTGGGTAAAGTTATAATCGATAAAATCTTCAACCACAGAATCCTAAAAAAAAGAGCCTTCCCCAAAGTCCCATCAGTTCCTGGACTCGCCATGTGTCTGGACCGTATCAGTGGATCCGGAGCTCCAGGGAAGGGGCTCCCTGATGGCTTTTATGATTCCTTGCTTGCCGTGCTGAGGTCTCCCTGTAGATTATGTTGGGTTTTCTAAGGCCTATTTTCTATTGTAAGAGGTGGTGGGGGAAACAATTTCTGTCACTGAAAGAGCATTCTGAGCCAGGGCACAGCCCCTTCCTACTGAGCTTGAGATTCTGGGAGGAAAAAGTTCTCTGACAGGAGGAAAAAGTTCCCAGACAGGAACTTCCCTGCAGGGCAGGAGCTGAGCGGCAGGGGGCGCTCAGGGAGCACCCAGCACAGGACCCAGCCCTGGGGCAGGTGCACAGGAGGCTGGGGCAGGGTTTTCTCTCAGGAATTGAATGTTCCTTATTTCAAAGCAATAATGACCTAACATTTAAATAAGAATTTAGCAAGTACTGATGTGCCTGTAAGTATTTTATTGTATACGCAGCCTATACCTAACCCAATAATTTAATGCAAACCGGATTTAAAAGGAGAAATGTCTAGGTCTTTCAAATGTATTTCTAGTTAGGAATTGAGGGGTGGTTTTATTAATTCAATGGGTGTTACTGTCCGGAGACACACTCATCCCAGAAGTTAGATGTGCAGAGGGCAAGGCTCAGGAAAAGTTCAGGTAGACAGTGAGCCATATGAACAGGGAATCACATTGAGGACCATGTCCTGTGAGATTCTGGGTTTCTGTGAGAGGAGTTCTGTCTTCATGGACTTCTGGGCATGTCAGAGGACAAATATTAAACAAAGTTCAGGGCAGGGAGCTCAGCATCCCACTGTGGCGTGGTCCACATGTCACCTATCTTCTTCCTCAGGGTGGCGTGGCCTGAGCTATGAAAAACCTGCCTCATGAATATGCAAATGCACTGCTGTCTACCGAGGTAAATACAGATCTTTCCTTGCCCAGAGACCATCACACAACAGCCACATCCCTCCCCTACAGAAGCCCCCAGAGCGCAGCACCTCACCATGGACTGCACCTGGAGGATCCTCTTCTTGGTGGCAGCAGCTACAGGCAAGAGAATCCTTAGTTCCAGGGCTGATGAGGGGACTGGGTCCAGTTAAGTGGTGTCTCATCCACTCCTCTGTCCTCTCCACAGGCACCCACGCCCAGGTCCAGCTGGTACAGTCTGGGGCTGAGGTGAAGAAGCCTGGGGCCTCAGTGAAGGTCTCCTGCAAGGTTTCCGGATACACCCTCACTGAATTATCCATGCACTGGGTGCGACAGGCTCCTGGAAAAGGGCTTGAGTGGATGGGAGGTTTTGATCCTGAAGATGGTGAAACAATCTACGCACAGAAGTTCCAGGGCAGAGTCACCATGACCGAGGACACATCTACAGACACAGCCTACATGGAGCTGAGCAGCCTGAGATCTGAGGACACGGCCGTGTATTACTGTGCAACAGACACAGTGTGAAAACCCACATCCTGAGAGCGTCAGAAACCCTGAGGAATGAGGCAGCTGTGCTGAGGCTGAGGAGATGACAGGATTTATGAAGTTTAAATCTGTTTAGAAAATGGGTTGAGTAATTGAGTAAAACAGCAATGGAAAGATGTGTACACTGTCATTATGTAGGAAATAGTATTTTCAACTGTCACCCTATAAGTAACACTCACAGAGTGGGAAAGGCAGCCATCAATCAAGCTGATGCAAACATTCCCATGGGGGCTTTGTGGGGACATACATTTTATAATTGGATCTATAAATCATTAGAAACAGGATTGCTTGATCTCATGGTAAGACTAAATATAATTTCCAAGAAGTGGCCGAAATTTCTTCCAAAATGTCTTTGCCCTTCCTTTTACACTGAATTTATTTTAAAGGAGTTTTAGGATCACAACAAGTTTGAGTAGAAGAAACAGAGTTCCCATGCACTCCTGCCCCCCGACGCTCAGCCTTCTCTGCTATCAACACCCTGCACCAGTGTCATAAATCGGTTACAGAGGATGAATCTCCACAGACACATTGGTTGTTTCCTTTTCTGGTGGTCCCTGGTATAACAAGCCTCAACTATCTTGAAGCACCCCAGGTTCAAGTGGATTCTTCAAGTGGGTTACTGGGAATGATGCCAGGTAGAAGGAAAGTGGGTGGGACCATTCCTCTTTGCACTCTTTCCTCAAGGATCCATAAAATGTACATTTACATGGAGCTCCTCTTTCTCCTGGTTTTATATGCCTCTTCCCCAATGGTAAGGTTTCCCAGTGTTTACAGCGGGGGTCCCCAGTCCCCGTGCTGTGGATCCGTTAAGGTGTGCAGTGCGTTAGGAACCGGGCCACACAGCTGGAGATGAGTGGGGGCGAGCCAGCATCGCTGCCTGAGCTCTGTCTCCTGTCGGATCAGCTGTGCATTAGATTCTCCTACAAGCCGAATTCACTTTTTTTATATATATACTTTAATTCTAGGGTACATGTGCATAACGTACAGGTTTGTTACATAGGTATACATGTGCTATGTTGGTTTGCTGCATTCATCGAATTCTATTGTGACCTGCACATACAAGGGGCCTAGACTGAGCGCTCCCTATGAGAATCTAATGCCTGACGATTGCAGGGGGAACAAGTTCATCCCAAAACCACCCGCCGCCATCATCCATGGAAAAATTCTCTTCTACCAAACTGTTCCCTGGTGCCAAAATGGTTGGGGACACTGGTGTAGAGGCAGGTCTGTACCTTGGAAAGCCAGCAGCTTCTGGTGAATCCCATAATTAATGTCCTTTAATGAGAAGTGGAGACTTTGGTCATGAGGGCCTTCGTGAATAATGCCCTACAGTTGGATTCAAAACATTGTAAGCTCTTGGGGGGTGTTTCTGGATAAAGCCCTTTGTGCAGAAAATGCAGACACATCCATGGGATCCATGCAGGAAAAAAGCTTCCTTTACAAAGTGGTTTGGCACCTGGAAGGAGCTCTCAGGGTTGGGCACTGTACCCTTTGCTGGCTGCACTTTAGCCAGAGGCTTAAGCCTGATTGGTCTTGCAGTGGGAGAGCCTTCCTGGGGTCAAAGGTTACAAAAATGCCTGTCATCTTCCAGCTGAGCAAGCCCATCTGCGTGCTTGTCAGTGTCAACCCCATGAGGGGTGCACTCTGGAAGATGACAAGATGCACACAAACCTCCTCCCACTGATTATCCACTACCACACACTCAGCTGCAACCCGTGCTCCAGAAACGGACAGGGGCCTGCAAGGATAAACAGAACGGAAGTATTTTATTACCTGGGAAAGCACTGCCAAATGCCACGTTTCAGGAAGGTTAACTCATAAGTGTTCAGGAAGTGACTGAAGGGCAGTGGTGGGTGAGGTGACAGGACTGCCTCAGGGCTTCACATGAGGAGGGCTCCCTCCCACACAGCCTTTTCCTCCAGGAGCTGCACCAGGAACTCACAGAGGATCAGGAAGGATTCTGAGAACATTCTTCTGTGGCGCTGACTAGAGGGGCAAAATAAATTATAAAAAATAAATCAATTCTAAATATAGTATGATGTTTGTTATTAGAAACTATTTCTGGATCCTGTGGGAACCCTGACATAAGCCACCATTCTCTGTGAACAAACATTTAACCTCTCCTTCCATGGGGAGGTCGACGAGCTTGGATTGGTTCTTTCATGGATAGTATCCCCCAAACTCCTCTCCACTCCCTGCGTATCCCCCGGTCTCTCAGTGAGAAGTTCTCCTGAGTGGAATGTGGTTGATGTAGTGAGATCTTCAAATTTCCCGTCTTCTGTGTTCTCATGTTCTCCCCTTATCTGAGATTAAGAAATGCACCTGCATGTAGTAAATTATAGCCTACTGTCTCTCATGGACAAAATAATGGCCACACCAACCAACCCTGTGGCTGACAGCAACCACTGGCGGCCACCATCCCCTCCACAGCCTGTGTTGGAACATCACCTGAGAGATTGTGTTAGCAACTTTCCTTCAGAATCATCTTAAAAACTTTGTGTCCCATTTCACATGGAGACGTCATTTTTCCATTTCATCTTCATAGAGAAATAGAAGGAGAAGAATACCAAATACACTTCCTATCTCCAGATTATTCAAATATAATTGTCCCTTTATCACCTTCTGATTTCTGGTCTTCACAGAATACTCTACAAATTTTTCTCACTGGCGTTATACCAAAAGTTGTGAAGCACCAGATACTGGGATTAATTTAACCAACATTATTATTCTAATAATTCTTAGAATTTAGAATTACAATTATCATCTTTTCGTATACGGATAAACTAACCTATGCCTTTGAAAATAAGCCCTTACATGAGAGTGAAAAGCTATAGATTTGGAGGATTTCCTTGCAAATCCAATATTTGGAAAAGGTTTTTTATCACAAATATACAAATTAACTTACAATTGAACAACAAAACCACAGAATTTAATTTTAAAATGGGCAGAGACCCGAATAGAAACCATATCCAAAAAACAAACATAAAAAGTGATCAACTTGATTTTCATTAGGTGTACTTATGTTTAATATTTAAAAAGTTCTACTAAACTATGAGAATGGGTAAAAATTACAAGGTAGACAATATCAGATGGTGATGAGGAAGTTGAAAAACAGGAACTTTCACCCCTTGCTGGTGGGAATGCCGAAATGGCACATAGAAAACTACAGTTAATAATTTATTGTATATTTCAGAATAGCTACAAGATAAGATTTGGAATGTTCATAACACTAAGAAATAATCAGTGATAGAGATGAAGGATATCCTAGTTATCCAGATTTGATCACTGCACATAAAATGCTTTTATCAAAATATCAGTTGTACCACCTAAATATTTTGAAATATTGTGTATCTATATAAATCAAACATTAAAAAACACCAATGCAGTGGAATCCAGCTAATTGCAGATTCCCATTAGATGGGATGTGCTGCATGATCTGTAAACTAATCAGAATCTGTGGGTTTGTAAAGGACTTTAGAAATCAACTAGGCTGCTTGTTTCTAAAGATAAGTCTCCCTAGTTTAAATATTTTCTTAATGGGTGACGATTTTGAACATAGAAGAAATAGTAATATTTGTGTCTTGTAAGTTTTCTTCTTCTCATGTCACGAGAAAAGGTTTGCAGGGAGGAATCTGGGACCATCTTTCAAGTCTCAACTTCACTGTGATTACCTCAGTAAGTATTTTCTGATACCCCTGACTAAGATAAGTCTCGTATCTGTCCTAGAAACTAAAAGTAGAATTCTAAGCATCTACCTGACCAGATGGACCCTTCCTCTTGACCAAGGAGTTCCAGAGACACTTTTAAACCTAGCTCCGGCCGTGTTAGAAATAGAGGATCAGAAATGCCTCATTATACCCTCCTCCCTTTGGAATTCAAGCACAACTAACCAGCATTTTTATGAAAACAGAGCTTAAGGCTCAGAAAACAGATTATTTGTAGCAGTAAGATACCAAATTCTAACCTTACTCGAGAATATCATCACAGGACAGAGAGCAGGCATTGAAAGGAATCAAAGGCTTTTACCCTAAAATATATTCCTTTGACATATTTTAAAATAGCCAGGCACAGTTATCTTTTGTGAGAGAGATTTACATTCTGTAGAGAATCTCCTTCCCTTTCCAGGTCTTTTTCTTATACCGAGGAGATTAGCTGAGGGTCTAGCTTCTTTTAAAGGTCTTAGGAGAAAACATTTCCCAGCTATTGCCTCTAAAGGTGGTCACATAAGAGACTTCATCTACATAGTAAGAATCTTGTTCTCCAAAACCTGTTATCTTAACCTAGAAACATTTTTCTACCGGTTTCAGGTCTTTAGAAAAAAGCTTAAATCTTTCAATCAATTGTCAATCAGAAAATATTCGAACTCACTGTAAGTTGTAATCCCCGCCCCACACTGCCTCACTTCTAGCTGTTTTGTCTTTATGGACCAAATCAACATATATCTCACATGTATTGTTTGGTGACTGTCTCTCTAGTACACTAAATTTAAGCTACCATCAAGCCACTTTGGGCACATGTTCTCAAGATCTTCTGGGGCTGTTCACAGTTCATGGTCCTCACATTCGCCTCAGAATAAATCTCTCTAAATATTTTGCAAGGTTGCTTTTTCATCAGTAGTTCTAACAGAACCTACTCTGTGGTTTTTGTTAAAAGCATTATATTAATATAGTATTAGTAATATTAGTATTAGTTATAACACATGTTGGAAAATTCTTATGAAGTTATGCATAGACTAACAATGGGATCAAGTGTAAATGTTTCAAAGTATTTAAGCAAGTTATTTCAAAATTTATCTTCTGCAGATACTTCTATCAGATTCATTATATCAGCTAATTACTTGCTTTATGATTTTTGCATTTTATTGTAGATGATCACACCCTATATTTTCTTGGCCTTTATCGTAGAAAATTGTGTGAAACTAGTCAGGGCTACATTTGCAAGTAATTGTCGCAGTGGCTGCCTGAATTGCAGTGGGTTTCCTCTGCAGCCACCAGTCACTCAGATTACTCCAATGACACCTTAATTTTGTTTCCTGCTTGGCTTTGGGCCTTAGTCTTGTGCTCTCCAGACAGACTCTGTCTTTCATCTCCCCTAGGTCAGGCCAGAGCCACATGGACCTGATGATTGTCAATATGGTGGGAAGGGTCGCACTGAACGGGCACTCTCTGTCCTTCTGAGGGAGCCATACTGCAGGCAGACATGGCAGTCCTGGCTCAGGGTGTGTCCTTCCAAGTATCCCTGCCCTTCCTGCAGGTGTGATGCTGATCCATGCATCTTCCTCCCATTCCTGGGTAGAGGGTCTCCTTGTTCTTTCCCCAATCTTCTCCCAGCAGCCACTATGTCTTCCCACTGATGTCTTCAGCTTCCTCTTTTCTGCCCTTCCCAGCAGATGAGTCTGTTATTCCTGAGGGAAGAGAGAGGAGGTGGGAGATGAGGCTGTTATTCCTGAAAGAATGGACAGAGCTTTGGAGCTTTTCTTTCTTCTACCCCAGTTTCTACGAGTTCCTCCAGTGCCTGTAACACAGAGCTGTCAGTGGCTTTGCCCCTGCATGTTAATTCTTTGGTCATGTAGTGGTGGTGAGGGAGCTGGGTCTGGATGCATTTCAGCCACAGCTGCTGTTCCACTTCCCCACACAGAACCGTCTCGGGAGGAAGAGGTTGGAGATTTTTCTGATGTGTCCTCAATCCTGGGAGAAAAGTTTTCAATAGCAATAGGAATCTCTCAGTTGTATGTCCGCTGAGAATTTAAACAATAACTTCTTTATAATACTAAATTTTAAACAATCCAATGAATATATCTAATTTAATTTTGTATTAGCTTATGTGACATTTGCTGGCCTCTCCCCCAGATAAGGTCATATTCTCTTCCTGTTTGTTCCTGCAAGTCACTGAATTTCACAAGATGTAAGGTCTCTTGATTATACTATAACATCAATAATCTGGTGTACTAAAGAAAATGTGCTAATTTGCAGCTTACTAAAATTAGTTGTTTTAGTAAAAATAATATATTTGTTATAGCATGCCTACATCTCCAGGCTGAGTAGAAGCTTTATTTGTAATACTCAGAAACTGCAAATAACACACATATTAAGGAGCTTTCTAAATAAATACTATGGGTGAATTCTTTAACTGGAATACTGTTCCTCATTAGAATCAACACATTCTTTATACACAACCAAATTACTGACTCCCAAGTAATTATACTGAGCAAGAAGCCACACAAATGAAATTGAAAATATAAGATTTCACTTTAACAAAATCTTGAAAAATAGATCTGAATTAACAAAGATGAGAGGTTGACTCAGTATGGTGAGAGGGAAATAATGGGGAGGCAGGAATGAGAGGAACACAGGGAGGCTTTTAACTGTAATCATCGTTATCTCGATTGTTATTTTGGATACACAGGTGAGCACACGTGAAATTATGTTTTTTTTCCTTCGGAGACATGGTTTTGCTTTGTCGTCCAGGCTGGAGCTCCGTGGTGAGATCATAGCTCTCTGCAGCCTCAGACCCTGGGTCTCCAGCAATCCTCCTCCCTCTGCCCTATGTAGCTGGGACTACAGGGGTGCACCACCATGCTCGGCTTCAGTGCGTATTAAACCGCACACTTCAATTATGCAGTATTTATTATATAGCAATAATGCCTCAATAAGGGTATTACAAATAAGTGGATAATTTGTTAAAGATTGATGGAAAGATAGATACCAACATGAGAAATGTATGACACTCAAGAAAATAAAACTGTAGGAAACTTGCTTTTCTTTATATTTGTTAGGTAATCACCACAGTGTGTACACATCACACCATGTTCCCATTACAGAGAAAAGGTTCTGCGAACCTCACGAGCTGTGACCCCTGTGTGCTGGGCTTGGTTCAGGGAGAAGTCAGGTCCAGTGGTGAGAAGCACAGGCCCAGATGCCCAGGCTCACTCTGACCAAATGTGAGCACTGGGGACATTGTAAAACCCACCTGTGCTTTTGCTGATAATTTTTCATCTTTAACATGGAAATAATATTGATACTATATACCATGGTTTCTCTGCGTATGTAAAAATAAAAGATGATTGGTGCTAACTTTAAAAATATGCAGTTTATGTAGATCTATGGTACCTCAATAAAACTGTTTTAAAATAAAAATTACAAAATTATAAGATTTTTAGGTTTTAAGGTTTAAGTTTATCACAAAACAAACTGACAATAGGAAAGCACAATTTCCCAATGCTTTCAATATCACAGATCTCCCCGAGGACATTCTGACATGCTCTGAGCCCCACTATCTCCAAAGGCCTCTCACCCCAGAGCTTACTATATAGTAGGAGATATGCAAATAGAGCCCTCCGTCTGCTGATGAAAACCAGCCCAGCCCTGACCCTGCAGCTCTGAGAGAGGAGCCCAGCCCTGGGATTTTCAGGTGTTTTCATTTGGTGATCAGGACTGAACAGAGAGAACTCACCATGGAGTTTGGGCTGAGCTGGCTTTTTCTTGTGGCTATTTTAAAAGGTAATTCATGGAGAAATAGAAAAATTGAGTGTGAATGGATAAGAGTGAGAGAAACAGTGGATACGTGTGGCAGTTTCTGACCAGGGTTTCTTTTTGTTTGCAGGTGTCCAGTGTGAGGTGCAGCTGGTGGAGTCTGGGGGAGGCTTGGTACAGCCTGGGGGGTCCCTGAGACTCTCCTGTGCAGCCTCTGGATTCACCTTTAGCAGCTATGCCATGAGCTGGGTCCGCCAGGCTCCAGGGAAGGGGCTGGAGTGGGTCTCAGCTATTAGTGGTAGTGGTGGTAGCACATACTACGCAGACTCCGTGAAGGGCCGGTTCACCATCTCCAGAGACAATTCCAAGAACACGCTGTATCTGCAAATGAACAGCCTGAGAGCCGAGGACACGGCCGTATATTACTGTGCGAAAGACACAGTGAGGGGAAGTCATTGTGAGCCCAGACACAAACCTCCCTGCAGGAACGATGGGGGGGAAATCAGCGGCAGGGGGCGCTCAGGACCCGCTGATCAGAGTCATCCCCAGAGGCAGGTGCAGATGGAGGCTGTTTCCTGTCAGGGTGTGGGACTTCATCTTCTTCTGACAGTTTCTCTAGTGAACCTCTCTAACCTCAGAATTCTGTGCTTACTAATGTCATCTCTACGTATTTTTTAAAAGATCATTTTAATATGAGCACCTATTCTCACACGCACCAAATGCAGATTGACGCTTACAGAGATGAAAAGTTCTCAACCATGGTCACCAGGATGAGAGTCCTGAGGAAACTCAGGGGTGCCTGGTGACTCTTCCGCAATCAGTCCTGGGACAGAAACCTCAGGGACAGCCTTTATGAGTTTTGATCACATCTAACAGAGAGGATGGGCCAGGGCCAGAGTCATGTAGAACCTCACAGGTTCCACGTCTGACCCTTCTCCTGACACTAAAGCCAATCAGCATCAGCACTGACCTGGTGCTCCTTTTGCTCCCAATCCATGTTCTTTCTTTGGAGAGTTTCTTCTCCCTTTTTTATTTGCTTTTCCTGTTTCCTGAAAAAGAAACAGATGGTCCCCTTGGTCCACATTCCAGGGCTCAAGGCATTTTCTTGGAGCTCAGGTGGGGCTCAGGCTGTGGCTCCTGCAGCCACGTGGGAGAGGCTGATGGGACTTCCTTCTCTCCCCATTTTCTCAGGACCCTCCACTGTGTTGTGTGTAGGCTCATCTGGGAATGCAGTTGACCATTAATACTGAAGGGGACAAACTCATTTGATCAAAATGGGATGTGGATGTGGAGTTAACCCTGTTCCGTGCACAGTGTCAGAGTCGTCTGCTTCAGAAGTAGTGTTAGAAAGAGCTGGTGAAATTTATCAGAATCAAGATGGAGCCACTTGTGTTAAAGCCCTAATGAATGAAGCTGGGGAAGGCCATGAAGGAGGGTTCTAACACACATATTCCTGATAATAAGAACTACCATAAATAGACTCTGCACAACCATAACCTTGCACAGAAGCCACCACAACATTAAAAGAATTACTTCTCCCAGTGTATCTGCCCAGCAACTCCCTGTTCAACTTTACACCGATGTGCCCCTGTTATTGATCCTTCTAGCCCAGGACAATTGTCTTAAACAGCTGATGTGACCCTCCTCATTTTTCCTTTATTCTTTATCTTCCTATACCAACCTGAATGCACCCATACATTTCAATTGCAATACACTTCCTAGAATACATATTATTATATTTTAGAGTCTCTCTCTCTCTGTTATTCAGGGTTGACAAGCTACAGATGGACATGCCACTTTCTTTTTTTATGACTTTTTTTAAAAATTTTATTATTCTTGTACTTTAAGTTTTAGGGTACCTGTGAACAATGCAGGTTTGTTACATATGTATACATGTGCCATGTTGTTGTGCTCCACCCATTAACTCGTCATTTAGCATTAGGTATACCTCCTAATGCTCTCCCTCCCCACTACCCCCACCCCACAACAGTCCCTGGAGTGTGATGTTCCTCTTCCTGTGTCCATGTGTTCTCATTGTTCAATTCCCACCTATGAGTGAGGAAAAAAATGATGAGTTCATGTCCTTTGTAGGGACACGGAAGAAACTGGAAACCATCCTTCTATCATTCTCAGCAAACTATCGCAAGGACAAAAGACATGCCACTTTTCTGTGAGATGTGGAGGATGACAGTTTTTGGAGATGTCTGGGAATACCCAGTGTCCAGAAGATCATCCATCAATAAGTGCAGGCTGGAGGTCCCAGAGAGAGGCAAAGCTGCTGAAACACCATGGAATTTCATTTTCTCCAGTTCTGCTCTGATGGAATCAGGCCCACCTGTTTTGCTTGTCTTAAGTAAATTCACAGCACCACATATATTAGTGTTGCAGTGAATAACTACAAAGTCTATCCTAACCAAGTGTACCATCAAATTTACCATTACCCAGAGGGAAGAATCTTTAACATGAGATCTATGTTCATAATTTTTTAAGGTGAAAAAGTGATCACTATCCAATCAGGCAAATATGATTTTGCTAATGAGTGGTAGATGTTGCATGTATTTTTGGATGTCATCCCTTTTTCAGATGCATGGCTTGCAATTATATTTTCCCATTCTGTAGGTTGGAATTATTTCCACACTTTGTAGAATCTTTTTGTTGTGATGTAGTTCCACCTGTTTAATTCTGCTTTTGTTGTCTGTGCCTTTAATGTGAAATATAGGAAATCATTGTTAATATATTATTTTCTGGGTCGGGGAAATTTTACAATTGCAGGCCATATGTTTAAATATCTGGCCCATTCAGAGTGATTTTTGTGTTTATTCTAACCCAAAATTCTTAACTCTTTGCATGTGTACATCCAGTTTTTCTAACACATTCATAGGGAGAGACTTGGTTTATCTGTTTTATATTGTGGGTTCTTATGCTGAAAATCAGTTTGCCATTGATACATCAGTTTATTTCTGAGCTCTTTCTACATATTTATGCCAACTCCATCCTGTTTTTATTATTCTACTTTTGTTATTACTTTTGAAATCTGGAAGTAAGATGTAAGTTTATTTTTGCCTTTTTACAGATGCTATAGCAAAATATTTTAACCTTTCACTCTTCCATATAAAAGTATGGCTTTAAATAATGACTTTTATTATATACAGGTTATATTCTTGTATTCCTAACTTTTAGAGGTTTTATTATGAGATCTTGAATTTTTTAAATGTTATTTTCTATGTCTGGTGAGAAGTTAACTGATGCTTTTCCTTTATTCTCTTAATTTACCACATCAGATTTATTGATTTGAAGATATTGATTCATCAGCGCATCTCAAAAATAATTTGGAGCTTGTCATGGTGTACAATCCTTTTAAAGTCTTATAGAACTTAGTTGACTATGAATTGGGAGTAGCTTGTTTACATATACTAAGAACATTTGTCAGAAGTTTGGTTTTCTTCTTTTGCCTTGTCTATTACTGGTAATACAGTGATTGGAGCCTCTTAGAAAGAGATTAGAAGGTGGGGACCTCACGGATTTTTTAAAAAGTTAGAGAACGGTTGTCATCACTTTTTTAAACGCTGAGAGTCATTTGTTATCTAATATATAACCCATCATGAGGAATATCTCTAGTGTGCTTGGGAAGCATGCATATTACGCTGCTGTTGGTTGGAATGTTCCGTAGATGTCTGTTAGGGCAGTTTGTTCGAGAGTGCTTAAGTCCACGGGCTTCCTAAGAATTTTTCTGTGGATGCTCTGTACATTATTGAAGGCGAGGTTTTGAAGTCTCCTAATTTTTTTATAGTTTTCTATTTCTCCTTTTATACATCTTAAAGTTTCATAAATGTAGTTATATTTCTAGTTTTTCAAATATGTAAAAGAGAAATAAAAATATTTGCTTAGTAATTTTAATGAGAAAATCACATAACAAGAAATTATATTTTCCAAATGCTGCCATCAACACTAAACTCCTCCAGGAGTCTCACATCTGCCCTGGGCTCTGCTCTCTCCTCAGGCATCCCACCTCAGCATTTGCTGCAGAGGAGGGGACGTGAAAATAGGGCCCTCCCTTTCCTGATGGAAACCATCGCAGCCCTGAGCCTACAGCTCTGGGAGAAGAGCCCCAGTCCAGCATTACCAGGAGTTTTGATTTGACAATCAGCTCTGAACACACATGGCTCACCATAGAGTTAGGGCTGAGCTGGGTTTTCTTGTTGCTATTTTAAAAGGCAAATAATGGAGAACTAGAGATATTAAGCATGAGTGGATGTGAGTGAAAATACAGTGATTATGTGTGGCAGGTTCGGACCAAAATGTCCCTATGTTTGTAGGTGTCTAGTGTGAGGTGCAGGTGGTGGAGTGTAGGGGAGAGACAAGAGGCAGAAAAGTGTGCAGGAGGCCGGGTGAGGCTGTAGACACTGTCAGCCCACTATGCCAATCCCACCACGAGTGCTGGAGAAGGTGGGAGTCTGATGAAGCTTACTAACAACCCTGTGGTCCAAGCTAATTCCATCAAGGCCATTGGTTCTTCCCAGAGCATAGCTGTCCATCGGGAATCTCCCATGTGCCCAGCAGCAGCCACGCGTTAGCAACTTCACTGTGCACAGTCATTGTTTGGGAGGAGCTCCAGGATGTGTCTCTTTGTCAAAAACTGGGTGATGGTGTCAGAGAGCTGTGCCGGGTGCCTGGTCCACGTGCTCCCTGACATTGGAGGTATAGGAGGTGCGTTCTCAGGGTGGAAACACCTTTTATGGAAATGTACATAATAAATCACGATTTTCCTTGGTTCTCTTAGACGACATGGAGAAGCAAGCATGCACCCTGCAAACAATTGTAATTTCCTGCTTTACCCCAAGTTCATGATTTCTTGTAAACTTTGATTTCTGTCCAAGTACAGAGATACTGATTAGAGTGAGTTTGGTTCTTTCCACACACTAACCCTCACCTCCCCCAGATAGAGCACATTGTCCTCACTCTGAGTCTGAGGGAGGAGCTGTTCCTGTACAACTCAGGGACTGCAGAGACCCCCGTGTGCAGCTTTGCAGAGTCAGATCTTTCCTCATGTGAGGCGACCTCCACTGCCCGTGATTGCTGCTCAGGTCTAATTGTGGATTCGGGATTATGACACCCTTTGGGCTATCACAGGTCAATCTTATTCTGAAAATCACCGTAATTATAGACAGAGGTAATAATCCAGTACCCATTCTTCTGTCCGCAGTTTGTCTTTCTTATTTGGTTGAAAGTTTGAAGAAAAAATGTGACCATATATTCATCTAATTCTAACCTCTGAATCTGCTATTTGCTCTCGGGGACCTACAAATTGCAAAACAGTGAGTTCTTCATTTTCATCAAAATGTGCAAATTTGTGAATTTCAACATGTTGTTCAGAACCTGTGCATGCCGACAACTGTGATTCTCGGTGCACTCCTGGCCTGGTGAAGCCCTCACAGATCCTCCCCCTGGCCTGTGGCATCTCTGCTTCTCCATTACAACCAGTGCTTCCTGCTGGAGCTGGATCCGTCACCCCCCGGGGAAGGGACTGGAGCGAATCAGGTGCACAGGTCATGAGGGAGTGCACAATCCAACCCACTCCTCAAGAGTCCAGTCACCATCTCCAGATCCACATCCAAAAAACAGTTTCTCCTACAGCTGAGCTACCTTAACAAGGAGTACACAACCATGATTTTTATACAAAAGACACAGCGAGGGGAAGCCATTGTGCGCTCAGAACACTCTACAAATTTTCCTCCCTAGTGTTTTACCAAAACTGGTATATATTTCAGATACTGAAATATTTACAACCTACGTTATTATGCTAAGAATTCTAAGTTAGAAGTTAGAATGATAATTGTCTCTTTTTTTTCCTTTTTTTTTTTTTTTTTTTTGATACTGAGTCTCACTGTTGTTGCCTGGGCTGGAGTTCAATGGTGCAATCTCGGCTCACTGCAACCTCTGCATCCCAGGTTGCAGCAATTCTCCTGCCTCAACCCCCCAAGTAGTTGAGATTACAGGCGCCTGCCACGATGCCCGGCTAATTTCTGTATTTTTAATAGAGACGGGGTTTCACCATGTTGGCCTGGCTGGTCTCAAACTCCTGACCTCAGGTGATCCAACCGCCTCAGCCTCCCAAAGTGCTGGAATTACAGGCAGGAGCCACTGCACCTGGCCAATTATCCTCTTTTCATAGATGGATAAACTAACCTAGGCCTTTGAAAATAAACCCTTATCTGAGAGTGAAAAGATAAGCCATAGATTTGGAGAGTTTGCTTGCAAATCAAATATTTGGAAAAGGACTTTTATTACAAATATACAAATTACCTTACAATTGAACAACAAAACCACACAATTTAATTTTAAAATGGGCAAAGACCTGAATAGAAAGTGCATCTAACAATAAGTATAAAAAGTGACCAACTGGATTTTCATTAGGTAAATGTATGTTTAATATTGAAAAAATCCTAGTAACCTAATAGAATGGGTAAAATACACAATATAGACAATACCAAATGTTGACGAGGAAGTTGAAAAACAGGAATTTTCACCCATTGCTCCTGAGAATGCTGAATTGGCACATAGACAACTACAGTTAATAATTTATTGTGTATTTCAAATTAGCTAGAAGATAACATTTAGAATGTTCTTACCACAAAGAAGTAGTCAATGATTGAGATGAAGGTTGAAGGTTGTCCCAGTTATCCAGATATGCACATAATTTTCTTTTTTTCGAAATATCACATGTACCACATAAAGGTTTTGAACTATTATGCATCTATTTAAATTACACATTAAAAAACACCAGTGGAAGGGAATCCAGCTAATTGCAGATTGCCATTGGATGGGACGTTCTGTATAATCTGTAAACTAATCAGAATCTGTGTTTTTCTAAAGGACATTAGGAATCGTTATACTAGTTTCTAAAGATAAGCCTTGCAAGTTTAATTATTTTCCTAATGGGTGGCGATTTTGAACATTGAAGAAATGTTAGTATTTGTTTCTGGTTAAGTTTTCTTCTTCTAGTCTCAGGAGAAAAGGTTTGCAGGGAGGAATCTGAGACTATCTTTCAAGTCTCAACTTCAATGTGATTACCTCAGTAAATATTTTCTGATACCCCTGAGTAGGGTAAGTCTCATATATGTCCAATAAACTAAAAGTAGAATTTTAAGCGCCCAAGCTGACTGAATGGAACCTTCCTCTTCACCAAGGAGTTCCAGAGACTTGAAAACCTAGTTCAGGCCACATTAGAAACAGATCAGAAATGCCTCATTATACCCTCCTCACTTTGGAATTCAAGCACAACTGACCAGCATTTTCATGAAAACAGAGGACTCAAGGCTCAGAAAACGGATTCCGTGTAGCAATAAGATACCAAATTCTAACCTGACTCGAGAATAGCGTCATGTGACACAGAGCAGGCCTTGAAAGGAATCGAAGGCTTTTACCCTAAAATATATTTCTTTGACATATTTTTAAATCGCCCTGCACAGTTATCCTTTGTGAGAGAGATTTACATTCTGTAGAGAATCTCCTTCCCTTTCCAGGTCTTTCGTTATACTGAGGAGATTAGCTGGAAGTCTAGCATCTCTTAAAGGTCTTAGTAGAAAAACATTTGCCATCTATTTCCTCTAAGCGTGGCCACATAAGAGACTTCATCTGCATAATATGAATTTTGTTCTCCAAAACCTGTTATCTTAACCCAGACACTTTTTACTACTGATTTCTGGTCTTTAGATAAAAACTTAAGTCTTTCAATGAATTGCCAATTGAAAAATCATTTAATTCACCTGTAAGCGGTAATTATCTCCCCACACTGCCTCACTTCTAGCTGTTTTGTCTTTATGAAACAAATCAACAGATATCTCACATGTATCAATTGATGTTATTAAATTTAACCTGCAATCAAACCACTTTGGGCACATGTTATCAGGATCCTCTGGGGCTGCGTCACAGGGCATGGACCCCACATTTGGCTCAGAATAAATCTCTCTAAGTATTTTCCAAAGTTGGCTTTTTATCGATAGAATCTACTCTGTGGTCTCTGTTACATTCAAAAGCATGATAGTAATAAAGTATTAGTTATTAAAAATAAGCACATGTTGGCAGTTTCTTACGAAGTTACGCATAGACTAACTATGGGATCAAGTGTAAATTTTCAAAGTATTTATGCAGTTATTTCAAAATGTATGTTCCACAGATACTTCTATCAGATCCTTTATATTAGATAATTATTTGTTTTATGACTTTTTTTGTAGATGATCATGCCGTATCTTTTCTAGGCCTTTATTGTAGAAAATTGTGTGAAACCAGTCAGGGCTACATTTGAAATTCATTGTCACAGTGGCTGCCTGAATTGCAGTGGGTTTCCTCTGCAGCCACCAGACACCCAGATTCCTCCAGTGACACCTTAATTTTGTTTCCTGCTTGGCATTGGGCCTTAAATTGTGTGTTCCAGAGAGACTCTGTCTTTCATCTCCCCCAGGTCATCCCAGAGCCACATGGACCTGATGATTGTCAATGTGGTGGGAAGGGTTGCACTGAACGGGCACTCTCTGTCCTTCTGAGGGAGCCACACTCCAGGCAGACATGGCAGTCCTGGCTCAGGACGTGTCCTTCCAAGTATCCCTGCCCCTCCTGCAGGTGTGATGCTGATCCATGCATCTTCCTCCCATTCCTGGGTAGAGGGTCTCCTTGTTCTTTCCCCAATCTTCTCCCAGCAGCCACTATGTCTTCCCACTGATGTCTTCAGCTTCCTCTTTTCTGCCCTTCCCAGCAGATGAGTCTGTTATTCCTGAGGGAAGAGAGAGGAGGTGGGAGATGAGGCTGTTATTCCTGAAAGAATGGACAGAGCTTTGGAGCTTTTCTTTCTTCTACCCCAGTTTCTACGAGTTCCTCCAGTGCCTGTAACACAGAGCTGTCAGTGGCTTTGCCCCTGCATGTTAATTCTTTGGTCATGTAGTGGTGGTGAGGGAGCTGGGTCTGGATGCATTTCAGCCACAGCTGCTGTTCCGTTTCCCACACAGAACCATCTCGGGAGGAAGAGGGTGGAGATTTTTGTGATGTGTCCTCAATCTTGGGAGGAAAGGTTTCAATAGCAATAGGAGTCTCTCAGTTTTAAGTCCTGTGGAAATTTAAATAATAACTTCTTCATTATACTTAATTTTAAGCAATCGGGTAAATATATCTAATTTAATCTTGCATTAACTTATATGACATTTGCTGGCCTCTGCCTCAGATAAAATTATATTCTTTTCCTGTTTATCCTTACAAGTCACTGATTTGATTTTCACAAGAGGTAAGTTCTCTCATTTGCCCTATACATCAATAAACTCATGTATTAAATAAAATGTGCTAATTTGTAGCTCAGTAAGGCTAGTTGTTGTAAAAATAATACTTTTTTATTGGATGACTACATCTCCAGGCGGAGTAGAAGATACATTTGTAATACTCAGAAACTGGAAATAACACAAATGTTAAGGAGATTTATAAATAAATGATAGGGGTGTACTCATTAACTGGAATACTGTTCCTCGTTAGAATCAACACCTTTATACACAATCAAATTACTGACTCACAAGTAATTATTCTGAGCAAGAAGCCACACAAATGAAATGGAAACTAAAAGATTTCACTTTAACAAAATATTGAAAAATAGATCTGAATTAACAAAGATGAGAGGTTGACTGAGTATAGTGAGAGAGAAATGACGGGAGGCAGGAATGAGAGGAACACAGGGAAGCAGGGAAGCTTTTAACTGTAATCATCATTATCTTGATTGTTATTTTGGATACACAGGTGAGCACATGTGAAATTACATTTTTTTTCTTTGGAGACATGGTCTTGCTTTGTCATCCAGGCTGGAGCTCAGTGGTGAGATCACAGCTCTCTGCAGCCTCAGACCCTGGGTCTCCAATCCTCCTCCCTCTGCCCTATGTAGCTGGGACTACAGTTGTGCACCACCATGCTCGGCTTCAGTGTGTATTCAACTGCACACTTTAATTATGCAATATTTATTATATAGCAATAATGCCTCAATAAGGGTATTGCAAATAAGTGAATATATAATTTGTTAGATAAAGACTGATGGAAAGATAGACACGAACATGAGAGATGTATGACACTTAAGAAAATAAAACTGTGGGAAACATGCTGTTCTTTACAATTGTTAGGTAATCACAAAAGAGCATACACATCACACCATGTTCCCATTACAGAGAAATGGTTCTGTAAACCTCACTAGGTGCAACCCCTGTGTGCTGGGCTTGGTTCAGGGAGAAGTCAGGTCCAGTGGTGAGAAGCACAGGCCCAGATGCCCAGGTCACTCTGACCAAATGTGAGCTCTGGGGACACTGTACAACCCATCTGTGCTTCTGCTGGTAATTTCTCATTTGTAACATGGAAATAACATTGATACTACATACCATGGTTTCTCTGCATGTGTAAAAATAAAAGATTATTGGTGTGAACTTCAAAAATATGCAGTTTATGTAGATCTATTGTACCTCAATAAAACTTTTAAAATAAAAATTACAAAATTATAAGATTTATAGGTTTTAAGGGTTTACCACAGAACAAACTTACAATAAGTAACCACAATTCCCAAATGCTATCAATATCACAAATCTCCCCCAGGACGCTCTCACATGCTGTGAGCCCCACTCTCTCCTCAGGCCTCTCACCCCAGAGCTTACTATATAGTAGGAGACATGCAAATAGAGCCCTCCCTCTGCTGATGAAAACCAGCCCAGCCCTGACCCTGCAGCTCTGGGAGAGGAGCCCCAGCCCTGGGATTTTCAGATGTTTTCATTTGGTGATCAGGACTGAACACAGAGGACTCACCATGGAGTCATGGCTGAGCTGGGTTTTTCTTGCCGCTATTTTAAAAGGTAATTCATTGAGAACTATTGAAATTGAGTGTGAGCGGATAAGAGTGAGAGAAACAGTGGATACGTGTGGCAGTTTCTGACCAGGGTTTCTTTTTGTTTGCAGGTGTCCAGTGTGAGGTGCAGCTGGTGGAGTCTGGGGGAGGCTTGGTACAGCCTGGGGGGTCCCTGAGACTCTCCTGTGCAGCCTCTGGATTCACCTTCAGTTACTACTACATGAGCGGGGTCCGCCAGGCTCCCGGGAAGGGGCTGGAATGGGTAGGTTTCATTAGAAACAAAGCTAATGGTGGGACAACAGAATAGACCACGTCTGTGAAAGGCAGATTCACAATCTCAAGAGATGATTCCAAAAGCATCACCTATCTGCAAATGAAGAGCCTGAAAACCGAGGACACGGCCGTGTATTACTGTTCCAGAGACACAGTGAGGGGAGGTCAGTGTGAGCCCGGACACAAACCTCCCTGCAGGGCCGCGCGGGGCCACCAGGGGGCGCTAGGGACCCACTGAGGGCGGGACAGGAGCAGGTGCCGGGAGAGGTTTCCTTTCTCCTCAGCTGGAAAAGTCAGGTTTGTGTTTGCCGGACTCTGGAGCTTTCTAGGCTGTGACGTTTTATTACTTGTGTTTATTATGAATTTATTATCGTTAGTATTTAAATTTTAGTAATTTAAAAATTATATATATATGTTTACACTTTAATGAAATAAGCATTCCTATTTGCACCGATTCTTCCAGAGTTTTATTAACATTTGTTGACGTCAGCAGCTACGAAGCTATAGGGACATAAATTTATAACCATAGAAAGATGTATAGGCCAGGCGCGGTGGCTCACGCATGTAATCCCAGCACGTTGGAAGCCATAGGTGGGCTGATCACTTGAGGCCAGGAGTTCGAGACCAGCCTGGGCAAAATAGTGAAACTCCATCTCTACTAAAAATGCAAAAATCAGCTGTGCGTATTGGCATGTGCCTTTAATCCCAGCTACTCGGTAGGCTGAAGCAGGAGAATCACTTGAACACGGAAGGCAGAGATTGCAGTGAGCTAAATGGCGCCACTGCACTCCAGCCTGGGTGACAGAGCAAGATTCGATCTCAAAAAAACAACAAAAAACAAAAACAAAACAAAGAAAGAAAAAATATATAAATACAAAGACATATGCATATATGTGTAGGAATTCATAATAAACATTACAATAAAGTAATTCTAAAAATATGTCCTAAAGAATCAAACTTAATGATGAGCTAAATGTAAATTATTTGAGTATTTCACAATTGATTTTGGTTATTTTTAATTGTTTACATCAATTGATTTATATTTGTTCATTTAACTACTGTTAAATAATGGTTATTTCAAATGTGGTTGTCACAATAAATAATAAGAATTTGAATTGATAAATGATAATTATCTTAATCATTTCTTAATTATCTTAGTTATCCCATATGGTATTCACAAATCATAACATTGCTTCTTACCTTGTAAATATAAACAACCATAATTCGTGAATTTAAAATAAAATTTTTTATTTTAATTTTTTAAAATTTATCCCAGATCATTATCTTTTTCTTCAGTTCCAGCTCTCATTTGATGGTCTCAAGGGCCCATCTGCACCCCTGTCTCCTGAAGGCTTCTGGGAGTGGCTGTGGGACAGGCAGAAGCAGGAGCCCATGTGAGTCCACACGACCTGGAGCCTCCCTCTCCTTGGATTAGGCCATCTCCTCGGGATCACAGGGCTCTTCATTATCCTCACCCCGCTGTTGTACCAAACAAGCAACATCACACTTCAATTCATCACGCTTTGCTTTAATTTTCTAAATCATCGTGAAGGTGATAATGTTAACAGTAAATGTATCACTAACAAATAGGATAAGCCCTTTTCCATGGGACAGGGTTTCTTACAAGGACTTGACATGTATTATGTATTTTCCATTTATTTATAGATGAGATACTAATATCTCCATATTGGAGACAATTCCTTTAAGTCATTTCTTAAAATTAATTTTTCCTAGGACTCCAAACAAATCCATGATATAGTTGAAAATTTCAGGTGTAAGAGTTGGGCCAACATTGAGACTATATTAACATTTATAACATGTGCTTGCAAATATTGTTATTTTTCTGTCGGCTGTCCCCAGTTATGGTTTGATACAAAATGTTAGTAATTTATCCTAATAAAACAGTTTACAATATTATATCAATAGTTTATTAACTTTGTATAACTAATAATATAAAATGTTCAACATATTTTAGCCATATTTTACTTATTTGTGAAATGTGTGCTTATTAGTTTTTCGTTTTAAGATGTCACCTTTATCTTTTTTATTTCTGGGATTTTATTCTAGTAGATATAACTAAATGTCTTTAAATAATTATTGTAATAATCACATTTATATTTTCTATTTGAATTTTCATATGCATGTTATTAAGATTTTAATTTCAATAAAAATATTTTCCTCCAATTGTCTATTTTCTGTTTTTATGAGATAACATATACAAAAATGCATAGCTCTTCAATGTACAGTTTGAGGGTTTCTGGCAAATGTGCACGTTTGTCTCCAGCACCTAAGTTAGGGTGAGGAGCAGGTCCATCTCCACAAGTGTCCTCTCAGTGTTTCCAGTCAGCTCTCACATAAGGATTTTTTTTTAATTTCAACTTTTAATTTAGATACAGAGGGGACGTGTGTGGACTTGTCACACGGGATTATTGAGTGATGCTGAGGTTTGGAATCCAGATTCCATCACCCCCTCCCTCCACTCTCCAGCAGTCCACGGTGTCTATTGTTCTTCTATTTATGTCCATGTGTGCTCAATGCTGAGCTCCCACATAGGAGAATATGTGGTATTCGGTTTTCTGTTCCTGCATTTATTTGTTTATGATTAAGACCAACAGCTCCATTAATTTTGCGGCAAGGGACATGATTTCATTCTTTTTCATGGCTGTGTAGTATTATATAGTGTAGATGTACCATATTTTGTATATTCAGTCTACCAGTGATGTGCATCTGGGTTAAACTACGTCTTTGCCACTGTGACTAGCACAGCCATGAATACGCATGTGTAGGTGTCTCTTTGGTAGAATTATTTATTTACTTTTTAGTGTATACCCTGTAGTGGAATTGCTGGGTAAAATGATATCTCTGTTTTAAGTTCTTTGAGAAATCTCCAGTCTGCTTTCCAAAGTGGCAAGACTAATTTATATTCTCATCAACAGTGTATAAGTGTTCTCTTTTCTCCAAAGTCCCACAAGCATCCTTTGTTTTTCGACTTTTTTGTGATACCATTCTGAGTGGTGTGTTGCTGCTCACCTACAATCATCTCATATTTGATAAGGCTGATGAAAAGAAGCAATGAGGAAAGGACTCCCTGTTCAATAAATGATACTGGGACAACGGGCTAGCCATATGATGAAGATTGAAGCTGACCCTGTACTTTCAACATATATAAAATTAACTCAAAATTGATTAAAGCCTTAAATGTAGGACCTCAAACCATAAAACTCCTTGAAGACACCCTTGAAAACACTCTTATCGACACTAGTTTTGACAAAAAATTTTTGGCTAAGTATCCAAGGCCAGTTGCAACAAAAAGAAAAATAGACAAGTGGGACCTAATTAGTTAAGGAGTTTCTGCACAGTAAGACAAACAAACAAACAAACAACAAACAAAACTATCAGCAGTGTAAGCAGACAATCTACAGAATGTGAGAAGATATTCACAAGCATTGCATCCCACAAAGCCCTAGTATCCAGAGTCTGTAGATAAACAAATCAAAAAGAACCAAAAAAAAAAAAACCCTTTAAAAATTGGCTGATATGGTTTGCTGTGTCCCCACCCAAATTTCAACTTGAATTGTATCTCCCAGAATTCCCATGTGTTGTGAGAGGGACCCAGGGGGAGGTAATTGAATCATGGGGGCTGGTATTTCCCGTGCTATTCTCTTGATAGTGAATAAGTCTCATGAGATCTCATGGGCTTATCAGGGATTTCCGCTTTTGCTTCTTCCTCATTTTCTCTTGCCACCCACCAGGTAAGGAGTGCCTTTTTCCTCCCGCCGTGTTTCTGAGGCCTCCCAAGCCATGTGGAATGTAAGTCCAATCAAACTTCTTTTTCCTCCCAGTTTTGGATATGTCTCTATCAGCAGTTTCAAAATGGACTAGTACATAGGCAAACGACACAGACACTTCTCAAAAGAATACATGCAAGTGCCCAGCAAATATATTGTAAAAATGTTTAACATCACTAATCATCAGAGAAATGCAAGTAGAAAAATGTTCTGATTTCTGTCACTATAGGAGGTCCCTTTTTCTTGTTTAGAACTTCATATACATGGAATAAAATATTATAGATCATTTTTGTAAGGGGCAACTTTTACTATTTGTGAGGTTCATTCATGTAATAGCATTTATCAAGGTTTTGTCATCATATGTATAAATATGTATGTACTCATACACATATAGATATTTCATATCTAAATCAATTACATTAATAAATGACAGATTATTAAATAAATAAATCTGTTTATTAAGTAAATAAGTGACAATATGTATATCTATTTTCCTGTTGATGGGATTTAAATTTGTTTCCAAAATAAACATCATAAACAAAACTATTATAAGTATCTTTGTACAAGTTCTTCTGTTTATATTCACACATTTTATTGATAAAATATGTAGATATATAGGTATGCATTATAACTTTTCAGCTTTATGGAGCTATCACTGACAAATAAAATTGTATATATTTAGGGTACACCACTTGATGTATTGATGTACCTGGGGAGATGCTCATCATGATCAAGGTAATCGGCATGCCTGTCCTCTCAGAGAGTTATCATTTTATGTCTTTAATTTACTGTGTGTGTGTGATAAAAACACCTAATATCTACTCTTCTGGCAAAAGATACCTTTATAATACAATATTCATTAGTATAGTCACATTGCTTTACGTTTCATCTCCAGAACTATTTCAACCTGTGTTTTAGTCCATTCTCACCCTAATGTAAGGAACTACCTGAGACTGGGAAATTTACGAAGAAAAGTGGTTTAGTTGACTCGCGGTTCTGCAGGCTTAACAGGAAGCATTATTGGGAGGCATCAGGAAACTTACAGACATCATGGAAAGTGAAGGGGAAGCAAGGACCTTCTTCACATGCTGGCAGGGGAGAGAGAGAGAAAGAGCAAGGCGAGATGAGCCACACTTTTAAACCATGAGACCTTGTGAGATCTTGCAAGAATCACAAAGGGGAAGGTCGCCCCCATTATTCAATCTCTCCCCATCAGACCCCTCCTACAACACTTGGGGATTAAAATTTAACATGAGATTTGGGTGAAAATGCAGAGACAAACCATATCATTCCACCCCTGGTCCATGACAGATCTCATGTCCTTCTCACATTGCAAAATATATTTATCCCTTCTCAACGGTCTCCCAATCTTAACTCATTTCAGCATAATCATAAAAATCTATAGTCTAAAGTCTCCTCTGACAAGGTCAGTTTCTTCCCCCTATAAATCTGTAAAATTAAAAACAAGTTAGTTATTTCCAAGATACAACTGGGGTGCATGTACTAGGTAAATGCTCCCAATCCAAATAGGAGAAATTGGCCACAGAAAATGGATTACAGGTCCCATGCAAGTCCAAACACCAGCAGGGCAGTCATTAAATGTTAAAGCTCCAAAGTAATTTTTCTTTTACCCCATGTCTCACATGCAGGACACACTGATACAAGAGATGGTCTCCCAAGGCCTTGGGAAGCTCCACCCTTGTGGCTCTGTAGGGTCCAGCGCCCATGGCTGCTTTCATAAGCTGGCATTGAGTTCCTGTGGCTTTTCTAGGCACACCGTGCAAGCTGTTGGTGGTTCTACCATTCTGGGGTCTAGAGGATGGTGGCCCTCTTCTCACAGATCCACTAGACAGTGCCTCAATGGGGACTCTGTGTGGGGGATCCAACATCACATTTTCCTTCTACACTGGCCTAGTAGAGGTACTCCATTAGGGCTCAGCCCCTTCATCAGACTTCTGCCTGAATATCCAGGCATTTTCATATATCATCTGAAATCTAGGAGGAGGTTCCCAAACCTCAGTTCTTGCCTTATGTGCACCAACAGACTCAACACCATGTGGAAGCAACCAAAGCTTAGGGCTTGCACCCTCTGAAGCAATGGTCTGAGCTGGAACTTGGTCCCTTCTAGCTATGGCTGGCACGAGACAGACAGGGGTGTAAGGTGCCATGTCTCAAGGCTGTACAGAGCAGTGAGGTACTGGGCCTGGACCATGAAATCATCTTTCTCTCCTGGGCTTCTGGGCCTGTGATGGGAGGGGCTGCCACAAAGATCTCTGAAATGCCCTGGGAACATTTTCCCCATTGGGCTCCTCATTACTTATTCAAATTTCTGCAGCCAGCTTGAATTTCTCCCCAGGACATGGGTTCTTCTTGTCTACCAGATGGTCAGGCTGCAATTTTTTTCCAACCTTTTATGCTCTGCTTCCCTTTTAAATATGAGTTTCAATTTCAGACCATCTTTTCATGAATGCATAGGACTTATGTTTTCAGAAACAGCCAGGGAAAATCTTGAATGCTTTGCTGGTTAGAAATTTATTCTGCCAGATACCCTAAATCATCTCTCCCTAGTTCAACATAGCACAGATCTCTAGGGCAGGGGCAAAATGCCGCTAGTCTTTTTGCTAAAGCATAGCAAGTGTGAGCTTCACTCCAATTCACAAGAAGTTCTTCATCTTCATCTGAGACCACCTCAGCCTGGACTTTATTGTCCATATCACTATCAGCACTTTGGTCAAAACCAGTCAGTAAGCCTCTAGGAAATTTCACTTTTCCACGACTTCCTGTCTTCTTGTGAGCCTTCTAGGCTTTCCCAACATCTGTCCATTACAAAGTCACTTCCCCATTTTCAGGTATCGTAATAGCAGTACCGCACTCCTGGTGCAAATTTTCTGTATTAATCCATTTTCCCACTGCTATAAAGAATTACTTGAGACTGGGTAATTTATGAAGAAAAGAGGGTTAGTTGGCTTACAGTTCTGCAGGCTAAACAGGAAGTGTTACTGGGAGGCATCAGGACACACAATGATGGCAGAAGGTGAAGGGGAAGCAAGAACATTCTTCACATGGTGGCAGGAGAAAAACAGCAAGTGAGCGGGGAGGTGCCACACTTTTAAACCATCAGATCTCTTGAGAATTTTATCATGAGAACAGCAAAGAGGAAGATCACCTCATGATTCAATCACTTTATATTAGGCCCTTTCTTCAACATGTAGGGATTACAATTTGACATGAGATTTGAGGGGGAACGCAGGGCCAAAACACATCAACCTGCATAACCGAAATTTTTACCCTTTGACCTACATCGCCCAATATTTTCCTCCTCTCAGGGCCTGGGAGCTACTATTCTACTCTGCTTCCAAGAGCTGAAATATTTTACATTCTACATATAAATGAGATCATGCAGCATTTGTCTTTCTGTGTCTGGCTTATTCTAATTAGCATAATGTTCTCTATGATGCTGAAAATGTAAGAATTTCCTTCTTTTAAAGGCTGAATAATATTCAATTTTATGTATGTATATGCCACATTTTATCTGTTCATTCATAAATGGACATTGACTTATTTTCCATATCTAGGCTATTATGAATAACCTCACAATGAGCATATTTGATACACTCACTTCATTTTCTCTAGATGTACACTTAGAAGTGGGTATACCCTATGTTCAATTCATTCAGTAATCTTAATGTTGTTTTTATAATGGCTGTACTAATTTACATTTTGTTCCAAACCATACATGGATACCTTTGTACCAAATTTTCAGGTCTACGTTTAAGTGTTAAATCCATTTCTTGTTGATTTCTGTGTATTTTGTGAGGGAAGGTCCTTTTTTTTTTTTCCTTAGAGTTAGAATCTCGCTCTGTCACCCAGGCTGGAGTGCAATGGCATGATCTCGGGGCACTGCAACCTCTGCCTCCCGGGTTTAAGCGATTCTTCTGCCTCAGGCTCCCGAGTAGCTGGGATTACAGGTGTGCATCAGCACGCCTGGCTAATTTTTGTATTTTTAGTAGAGACAGGGTTTCACCATATTAGCCAGCTGGTCTCAAACTCTTGACCTCGTGATCCACCTGCCTCAGGCTCCCAAAGTGTTGGGATTACAGGTGTGAGCCATCACGCCCAACCAGTCCATTTAATTTCTTCTACATATGGATACCCAGTTTTCACACCACTTGCTGAAGAGACTGTCCTTTGTCTATTGTGTGTTCTTGGCAACTTGTCAAAGATCAGTTTATTGAGAAGAAGTGGGTTGATTATCAGGTGTCTATAATGTTCCATTAGAGTATATGTCTGTTTAAATGTCAGCATTATACTGTTTTGATTTAGATAGATTTGATTTTGAAATTATAGAATATGATATATTCAGCTTTGTTATACTTTCCCCAAAATTACTTTGGCTATTGGAAGGCTTTTGTATTTGTATATAAATTGGAGCATTTTAAAAATATTTTTGTAAAAACATGCCATGGAGATTATTTACTTTATTGACAAATAATAGATATACCTAATTTATGGGAGCATGCAATATATTTATACATTTACAAATATGTGAAGATCAGATCAGGATTGGTATATCTATCACGTTAAACAGGTATATTTTCTTTATGCTAGGCACATTGGAATGACTCTCTTCTAGTTATTTTAACGTGTACATTAGATTATTTTTAACTATAGTCACCTTACTGATCTATCAGACATTTAGGTTTTATTTCTCCTATATAACTATGTATCTGAATTCAGTAATCAACCTCTCTTTATCCCCTTCTCTCTTGTATCCACCCAGGCTTCTGGTAACCAACAATCTACTCTTCGTCTTCAGGAAATCCAATTTTTTAGTTTTGACATAAAAGTAAGAAGATGCCATATTTGTCTTTCTTTGCTTGGCTTATTTAACTTAACATAACGGCTTCCAGTTCCATTCATATTGTTGCAAATGACAAGATATCGTATTTTATGGCTGAATAATATTCTATTGCGTACATAGATTACATTTTCTCTATCCATTTGCCCACCTGCAGACACTGAGGTGCTTTCATATCTGGGCTATTGTGAGTAGAGCTGCAAAGAACATGGAGTGCACATGCCTTTATGAGGCGGTGATTTTATCTTCTTCAGAACATACCCAGAAGAGGATTTGCCACGTCATCAGGTATTTCTATTTTTAATTTATTTTGGAGTCTTCATATTACTTTGTACAATAGTGGAAATGCAATAGGAATAACCATTATAAAAAGCAGTTTCAGTTTTGAGGTATGATCCAAAAACAAATAATGTTTGACCATGATTCTCACTGGGAGTCTCTAATGAGCCTGGTGGAAATGCAGGAAGTTTTCTAACCTTGTTAAGAAAATTATGACTTTGCACATTTTTCTTTTTAAGGCTGGTAATTGGCGTGATTCCAGATGCATACTGTTGGCGGGTTTCAGAATGATACAGAAAATCATTATGAGAAGGCAAGAAAAAGAATGATAGAGAGAGAGAGAGGGAGAGAGAGAGAGAGTCAGGCCAACAATGAGAAAAAATAAATTTCACAAGAGGAGAAAGTGCTGGATATCAGTGTTGGGTTTTGGTCATAGACACATCTGTACTGAGTAAGAAACTATGAAGTCAAGGGAGGAGTCTAGAATTTGTTCAAGTGAAGCATCAGCATATTCTCTGAGGCACATATTGTCACCCCATCATAAGGGTGATGAATTTTTGAATGCCATGAAATGTGAGTTCACAGTAAGTAATCATGTTTCCATGAAATTTAGTTAAAATGCCAAGGGTGTGTTCAGATCACTCATGCACAAATACACAAAATTTGCCTTTGCATTTATAGCTATCTAGAGAAAAAGTGCATTGAGATGTCAGCAGGTTACAGAGATCTGTTTAAGTTTGGGATCCCATGGGAGAGTGCCTCTTAGTGAAGGTTGGTCTATTAATTCAGTAAGTAAAAATTCTCTCTATGGGAGTAGCTTCTAATTGTGTGGAAATTTCAATTCCTTATTGAGTTTTTAAAAAATATCTCAGGGACTGACTCCATGGAGTTTTACTGCTGTATTGATAAAAATTATCATCAAAGACCAAAGGTAGATAAAACCACAAAGATGGGGAGAAACCAGAGCAGAAAAGCTGAAAATTCTAAAAATCAGAGCACCTCTTCTCCTCCAAAGGAACACAGCTCCTCGCCAGCAACAGAACAAAGCTGGACAGAGAATGACTTTGACAAATTGAGAGAAGAAGGCTTCAGACAATTGGCAATAACAAACTACTCTGAGCTAAAGGAGGATGTTCAAACCCATTGCAAAGAAGCTAACAACCTTGAAAAAAGATTAGACAAATAGCTAACTAAAAGAAACAGCATAGAGAAGACCTTAAATAACCTGATGGAGCTTAAAACCATGGCACGAGAAATACATGATACATGAACAAGCTTCAGTAGATGATTAGATCAACTGGAAGAAAGGTTACCAGTGATTGAAGATCAAATGAATGAAATGAAGTGAGAAGAGAAGTTTAGAGAAAAAAGAGTAAAAACAAATGAACAAAGCCTCCAAGAAATATGGGAGTATGTGAAAAGACCAAATCTATGTCTGATTTGTGTACTTGAAAGTGACGGGGAGAATAGAACCAAGTTGGAAAACACTCTTCAGGATATTATCCAGGATAACTTCCCCAACCTAGCAAGGGAGGCCAACATTCAAATTCAAGAAATACAGAGAACACCACAAAGATACTCCTCGAGAAGAGCAACTACAAGACACATAATTGTCAGATTCACCAAAGTTGAAATGAAGGAAAAAATGTTAAGTGCAGGCAGAGAGAAATGTCGGGTTACCCACAAAGGGAAGCCCATCAGACTAAAAGTGGATCTCTCAGCAGAAACTCTACAAACCAGAAGAGAGTGGGGGTCAATATTCAACATTCTTAAAGAAAAGAGTTTTCAAACCAGAATTTCATATCCAGCCAAACTAAGCTTCATAAGTGAAGGAGAAATAAAATCCTTTACAGACAAACAAATGCTGATAGATTTTGTCACCACCAGGCCTGCCTTACAAGAGCTCCTGAAGGAAGCACTAAACATGGAAAGGAACAGCCAGTACCAGCCACTGCAAAAACATGCCAAATTGTAAAGACCATCGATGCTAGGAAGAAACTGCATCAACTAACGAGCAAAATAACCAACTAACATCATAATGACAGGATCAAATTCACAGATAACAATATTAACCTTAAATGTAAATGGGCTAAATGCTCCAATTAAAAGACACAGACTGGCAAATTGGATAAAGAGTCAAGACCCATCAGTGTGCTGTATTCAGGAGACCCATCTGACATGCAGAGACACACATAGGCTCAAAATAAAGGGATGGAGGAAGATCTACCAAGCAAATGGAAAGCAAACAAACAAAAAAAGCAGGGGTTGCAATTCCAGTCTCTGATAAAACAGACTTTAAACCAACAAATATCAGAAGAGACAAAGAAGGCCATTACATAATGGTAAAGGGATCAATTCAACAAGAAGAGCTATTTTAAATACATATGCACCCAATACAGGAGCACCCAGATTCATAAAGCAAGTCCTTAGAGACCTACAAAGAGACTTAGACTCCCACACAATAATAATGGGAGACTTTAACACCGCACTGTCAACATTAGACAGATCAACGAGACAGAAAGTTAAAAAGGATATCCAGGAATTGAACGCAGCTCTGCACCAAGAGGACCTAATAGACATCTACAGAACTCTCCACCCCAAATCAACAGAATATACATTCTTCCAAACACCGCATTGCACTTATTCCAAAATTGACCACATAGTTGGAAGTAAAACACTCCTCAGCAAATGTAAAAGAACACAAATTATAACAAACTGTCTCTCAGACCACAGTGCAATCAAACTAGAACTCAGGATTAAGAAACTCACTCAAAACTGCTCAACTACATGGAAACTGAACAATCTGCTCCTGAATGACTACTGGGTACATAATGAAATGAAGGCAGAAATAAAGATGTTCTTTGAAACCAATGAGAACAAAGACACAACATACCAGAATGTCTGGGACATATTTAAAGCAATGTTTAAAGGGAAATGTATAGCACTAAATGCCCACAAGAGAAAGCAGGAAATATCTAAAATTGAAACTAACATCACAATTAAAAGAGCTAGAGAAGCAAGTGCAAACACATTCAAAAGCTAGCAGAACACAAGGAATTACTAAGATCAGAGCAGAACTGAAGGAGATAGAGACACAAAAAACCCTTCAAAAAAATCAATGAATCCAGGAGCTGGTCTTTGGAAAAGATCAACAAAATTGATAGACCACTAGCAAGACTAATAAAGAAGAAAGAGAGAAGAATCAAATAGATGCAATAAAAAATGATAAAGGGGATATCACCACCGATCCCACAGAAATACAAACTACCATCACAGAATACTATAAACACCTCTACGCAAATAAACTAGAAAATTTAGATGAAATGGATAAATTCCTGGACACATACACCCTCCTAAGACCAAATCAGGAAGAAGTTGAATCCCTGAATAGACCAATAACAGGCTCTGAAATTGAGACAATAATTAATAGCCTACCAAACAAAAAAAGTCCAGGACCAGACGGATTCACAGCCAAACTCTACCAAAGGTACAAAGAGGAGCTGGTACCATTCCTTTTGAAAGCATTCCAATCAACAGAAAAAGAGGGAATCCTCCCTAACTCATTTCATGAGGCCAGCCTCATCCTGATACCAAAGCCTGGCAGAGACACAACAACAAAAAAAGAGAATTTTAGACCAATATCCCTGATGAACATCGATGCAACAATCCTCAATAAAATACTGGCAAACCAAATCCAGCAGCACATCAAAAAGCTTATCCACCACAATCAAGTTTGTTTCATCCCTAGGATGCAAGGCTGATTCAACATATGCAAATCAATAATCGTAATCCATCATATAAACAGAACCAAAGATCACAATCACATGATTATCTCAATAGATGCAGAAAAGGCCTTCGACAAAATTCAACAGCCCTTCATGCTAAACACTCTCAATAAACTGGGTATTGATGGGACTTATCTCAAAATAATTAGAGCTTTTTATGACAAACCCACAGCCAATATCATACTGAATGGGCAAAAACCGGAAGCATTCCCTTTGAAAACTGTCACAAGACAGGGATGCCCTCTCTCACCACTCCTATTCAACATAGTGTTGGAAGTATGGCCAGGGAAATCAGGCAGGAGAAAGAAATAAAGGGTATTCAATTAGGAAAAGAGGAAGTCAAACTGTCCGTGTTTGCAGATGACAAGGTTGTATATTTAGAAAACCCCATAGTGTCAGCCCAAAATCTCCTTAAGCTGATAAGCAAGTTTAGCGAAGTCTCAGGATACAAAATCAGTATGCAAAAATCACAGACATTCCTATACACCAATAACAGACAGAGAGTCAAATCATGAGTGAACTCCCATTCACAATTGCTTCAAAGGGGATAAAATACCTAGGAATCCAACTTACAAGGGACGTGAAGGACCTCTTCAAGGAGAACTACAAACCACTGCTCAATGAAATAAAAGAGGATACAAACAAATGGAAGAACATTCCATGCTCATGGATAGGAAAAATCAATATCATGAAAATGGCCATACTGCCCAAGGTAATTTATAGATTCAATGCCATCCCCATCAAGCTACCAATGACTTTTCTTCACAGAATTGTAAAAAACTACTTTAAAGTTCATATGGAACCAAAAAAGAGACCACATTGCCAAGACAATGCTAAGCCAAAAGAACAAAGCTGGAGGCATCACGCTACCTCACTTCAAACTATACTACAAGGCTACAGTAATCAAAACAGCATGGTACTGGTACCACTACAGAGATATAGATCAATGGAGCAGAACAGAGCCCTCAGAAATAATACCACACATCTACAACCATCTGATCTTTGACAAACCTGACAAAACAAGAAATGGGGAAAGGATTCCCTATTTAATAAATGGTACTGGGAAAACTGGCTAGCCATATGTAGAAAGCTTAAACTGGATCCCTTCCTTACACCTTATACAAAAATTAATTCAAGATGGATTAAAGACTTAAATGTTAGATCTAAAACCATAAAAACCCTAGAAGAAAACCTAGGCAATACCATTCAGGACATAGGCTTGGGCAAGGACTTCATGACTAAAACACCAAAAGCAATGGCAACAAAAGCCAAAATGGAGAAATGGGATCTAATTAAACTAAAGAGCTTCTGCACAGCAAAAGAAACTACCATCAGAGTGAACAGGCAGCCTACAGAATGGGAGAAAATTTTTACAATCTACCCATCTGACAAAGGGTTAATATCCAGAATCTACAAAAAACTTAAACAAATTTACAAGAAAAAATCAAACAACCCCATCAAAAAGTGGGTGAAAGATATGAACAGACACTTCTCAAAAGAAGACATTTATGCAGCCAACAGACACATGTAAAAATGCTCATCATCACTGACCATCAGAGAAATGCAAATCAAAACCACAATGAGATGCCATCTCACACCAGTTAGAATGGTGATCATTAAAAAGTCAGGAAACAACAGGTGCTGGAGAGGATGTGGAGAAATAGGAACACTTTTACACTGTTGGTGGGACTGTAAACTAGTTCAACCATTGTGGAAGACAGTATGGCGATTCCTCAAGGATCTAGAACAAGAAATAACATTTGACCCAGCCATCTCACTATTGGGTATATACCCATAGGATTATAAATCATGCTGCTGTAAAGACACATGCACACATATGTTTATTGTAGCACTATTCACAATAGCAAAGACTTGGAACCAACCCAAATGTCCATCAATGATAGACTGGATTTAGAAAATGTGGCACATATACACCATGGAATACTATGCAGCCATAAAAAATGATGAGTTCATGTCCTTTGTAGGGACATGGATGAAGCTGGAAACCATCATTCTGAGCAAACTATCACAAGGACAGAAAACCAAACACTGCATGTTCTCACTCATAAGTGGGAATTGAACAATGAAAACACTTGGACACAGGATGGGGAACATCACACACTGGGTCCTGTCATGGGGTGGGGGTAGTGGGGAGGGATACCATTAGGATATATGCCTAATGTAAATGAGGAGTTAATGGGTGCAGCACACCAACATGGCACATGTATACATATGTAAAAATCCTGCACGTTGTGCACATGTACCCTAGAACTTAAAAGTATAATAAAAAGATTAATATGATTCCTTCCAGTGTTTCAAGAAAACTTTTTCTCCAAAATTTTTTCCAGCGTATAAATTTTTCTGGCTGAATATTATAAGAGGCTGTTGCTAAAAAGACATACTAGAATGGCAGCTTTAATCTGTTCATGATAGGAGTGAGCATAATACATGATCTCTTTGAGTGTTCTGCCTCATCCAAATGCAGTGTGGCAAAGGCTAGTATTGGAGGTAAAACCTCTAAATGAATTTTTTCCAGCTACCAAGTCATAGGACAATAGCAGATACGTCCTTGAGGTAGAGGACCATAATGCCACAGTGTTAGTAGCAGTACATTTGTCCAAGGGAGTTCCAGGGTTTATTAAAATTATGATAATTTTAATGTAAGAATACCATTCTTTTAAACTTATGTGGAAGATTGTAGGAGGTTTTCACAATGTTGTCCTTTACTATCAGCCATGCCTCACATAATCACTTTATAATACTTTCATGGGTGTTCTTCACTCAGTTCATGCAAACCCTGGCAGTTTACAGGCTAAAAACACAAAATACAGAAGCTTTTAATCAACTGAAAGAGCTGTAGCCTTTTCTCAAGGAATTATTTCAAGACACGGAGAACACAGATGGATGATAAATAAAATACATTCACATCCCCTTAAGGGTAGAAATTGAGGAAAATTTACCCAAAGGTGTCCAAAGGGCCCTGTGACTTGGTTTCTGTCTAAGTCCCAGTGTTAGGGTTCTTCCAGGATTTTGTGGCTAGCTCGTCACTCCTCATCAAGAATTAACCTCTGCTGTTTCCTCAAAGTGTTTATTTAATCTGATAACCAGTTTGTCTATAAATTATAGAGTTGAAATGCAACAAATTTCATTTGAAATAATCTGGCACAAATTATCTAAGCAAAGTCGATAATGATGTTTTTTCATTCATTTGTATTTAAGATCATCAGCTAAGCGTTGATATTTTTGATAACACCCATGTCTCTCTCAGCAGTTTTGTCTTCTGAGGATATGATCTGGCGTGGCAGTTCTCTTAGCTTCAGTGTTACCTCTTTTTGCCTTGACTTCCACCTTTATATTTGCCCGGAATCTGGGATATAGGAGTGCCTCTAAGAGTCCCCTAACTTGCCCATTTTGGTGAGTGTTCTGGAACCTATGAGATGCTCTTTTGTTTACAAAGCACCCCAAAGCCATGTACTGTGCCAAAAGGTGTTTATTTCCTAGTTTGACAAATTAGAAAGTTCTAATAAATACAATCACTTCTGCCATCTGGGCTGATTTTATATCAGATAGAGGACTGTGTTCTAAAGGAAATCTTACATTAGTAAGAGCAATTTTAGTCATTAACCTAGAGTTGTACTATTGAGGTGCAAGTCATAAGAAATAATATTAGGTCGAGGTTCTCAGTGGGAGTGTCTAAATGTCTTGTGTGTACAGGGTCTCCTCTATTAACATGAAGCATTTTTGAGCACAGTCAGTTTCCAGCTATGCTTCTCCCTGTCTCACTATCACCACAAACTAACTATGACCCCACCTGGAACCTAGGTTAATTTCCAAATAAGTCATTCTTTAATCTTTGTGCCTCTAGATTATTATGTGAGTCAATTTCAGTAGAAACTTAAAAAGAACATTTGAACGGACTAAACAACACAGAAAATCACTAATAAAATGCAAAGCCTAGATGTGAGAGGCTCCAGGCCTGGATAATGGAACACTTCATGTATGCAGGTAATTTCTTTTCCCAATTCAACACTGATACACCCAGCATATCAGCTTCATGCCCCATTTTACTCCTATTATGTAGAGATATGGCAATGACATTCTCAAGGTCCACACACATATATGAAAATTGGTAGGACTAGGGGAGGAGATGAGTCTGCACTTCTCCTCTGAAGGACCAGGAAAGCCTGGACAGACCATCTCCCCGGCCTCCATGACTGCACCTCCTGCCCACATGGACACTCACCCCTGATAGGATAAGAGGATTCCATTGATGAGGCTGAGTATTTTATGATATAAGTTACTAGAGAGTGACATTGAGGTTTCAAAAACTAATATTTATAACCTAAATTTAATTTCCCCCAAATTGTTACCTCTTTCTTCAGTGAAAAATTGCTTGCCGTGATTGAGATTTAGGTAGATTCCAAATGTTCACAACTAAGCTTCCAAGAGCGTATTGGGAGCAAAAACTGAATGAGGGTAGAGAAACCCATCATCATGTATTCAACACTAAATTCAAGTGGACTCAGCACTGCCTTTGATCACTGCTGCTTCTCTGCAGAGTTCAGGTTTCTACTTCTCACGATTCCAACATAGACTCTCTCTCTCCCAAATGTTTGGCCTCCACTTGCTGTAAGGTCGCACTCTGTTCTTAGTTTGTTCTCTGAACCATTTTATGAGGGTGGTGATGAGCCATTTAATGGAAATTTTATATCATTTCAGCTGAATCCCATGGGGGATCATGAATTATTCTTCTGGTTATAGTAATGGATTTTTCTTGGTGTGTTCATTACCAGTAATATTCAAAGTCATTTCATTTAAATCTTTGATGCTTCATTTTTTGTTGCTATGACATTCTTTCTTCTATTGAATCTTCCCACTAGCATTATAACATGATCTAGTATCCAGGCTCAGTTGTCATCAATAATAACCACGTATGTCAAAACCTATGTCTTCTTTCCACAGGAGACATATTTTTCTCTTTTCAGGGGATGAACACACACTGCTGAGTGACCCCCACTCACAAGTACATATACACAATTATGAGATTTTTATTTATTTGACTAATAAGATGTATCATTCTCCCTTAAAATTCTTCAACCCCCAGAAGCCCGTGACAAACTCTTCTGCATCTGTTCATACCATAAACTCAGAAAACAAACCACATGGTGAGTAAAAGCTCACACGGTTCTGGATATGGGGTCCATCTCTTCCCCTGCAATGTCCTGCAGCACCTCAGACCACCTGTCCTGGTTCTATCAAGGAAGTTTACCTCCAGCACAGTAAAGAAAACAATTGAAGGAGGAGAGAACCTGCAGATGATAGACAATATTCAAAACTATTCATATGACAAGGGATTACTATCAAGCACATAAACTCAACTGAACTGCAAATAACAATATGATTAATAATGGGCGAATAACATGGATAAACGTCTCTCAGAGGAAGACATGCAAAGGATAGATAGATAGATCGATAGGGATATATACATACATATATTGCTAGAAATAACTAATATCAGGAAAATGCAAATTCACAATGAGCTATCTTTCCTTAATCTTTGCTGGAAAGTCTGTTAGCAGAAAGACAACATAAGGAAAACAAAAGCTGGCCAGGCTTCATGGAAATGAACACTTTTATAGACCACTTGTGGAAATGTAAATTAGTACAGCCATCATGGGAAAAAAAAGACAACTACCATATAAATCAGCAATGCAACTGCTGAGTGTGTGTGTGTATATATATATATATATATATATATATATATATATATATATATATAAAATTAAAAGAAAAAACTAATATTGAAGAGATACCTGTCGACCCATATTTATTGCAGCCCTAAACACAATTACGATATGAAATTAATGTATGTGTCCATCAAAACGTGAATGGGTAAATAAAACGGGGTATATTTACACAATGGAATATTATTCAGCCTTAAAAATGAAATTCCGCTGTTTGAAACAACATGGATGTAACTGGGAACCGTTGTGTTGAGTGAAACAAGCCAGACACAGAAAAAAAAATACCTCATTTTCTCAATGTTATGTAGAAGTTTAAGAAAGTTCATCTTCTAGAAGGAAATAGTAGAGTAGTGGTTATGAAATATCAGAAATGGGTGGAGACCGAGAGATAAGAAGTGGTTTGTTAACAAATGCACAATTACAGGTAGACAGGTGGGATACGCTCTAGTGCCCTACAGTGCAGAAGGGTGACTACAGTTAACAATATATTGTACACTTTATGTTTACAAGTAGCCAGAAGAGAGAATTTTGTATGCTACCAAGCAAAGAAATGTTAATGTCTGAGCTGATGAATTAGCTCGTTGTTCTGATTTGGTCAAACCACATTGCACAGATGTATTGAAATATCACACTGTACCCCATAAATATAAACAATCATTATCTGCCAACTTAAAAAATCCTTTAATTAAAAAAGATTTTATTTGCATACATTACAAATGATTCAACACAGAGCCAGGAAAATATAACATTTTTATTTGAAATAGTTAAATTCCTAACAAAATAGTTACATTCTTTTGCACCAAACTGTGTATTTGATCATGGTAAGTATAGACAGACTTATGCAAAGAATAATATATTTTAAACTTAGACTTCTACTTAATACTATAAATAAAAATAATTTTAGAACAGCTAAGTAAAAGGAATAAAGTTGAGGAAATGTGTGTGTGGTGTGTGATGTGTGAGCTTTTTCTTGTAACCACACTGTCCATGGTGGATGTGTGGTGTGTGTGTCTGTGTCTGTTTGTGTTTCCTCTGCTAGGGGTTCTCTGTGATTCTAGGATCTGTAGTTCAGTGTGTTTCAAAAAATTGGGAACATTCTTAGCCATTACTTTTTCAAATACTTTCTCTTTATCTGCAATTTCTCCTTTTCAGAATTAAAATATACATATACTACACTTTTTGATATTAATGTTTAGTTTCTTCAGTCTCTGTTCCTTTGCAATTTACATTGTGAATTTTCTAGAGACAATTTAAGTGCATGGTTTCATTTAAAAGCTGAGCCAGCTCTACTGAGGGGTATGCCCAAAGTTTGCTCAATGTTTATACTGCATTGCTTTTGGTTTCTTATGCACTTCCATTTGATTCTTTCTTAATATTTATATCTCTCAGTTCCCTATCTAGTCCTGCATTATGTCCACAGTTTCTTGAAGAGATTCTCACATATGAATTACAGTTACTTTACATATCTTGTTTAATCAGATATTTCTAATATCTGTATCATTTACAAATCTCATTCTGAACATTTGTTTATTGTGACTTTAGTATTTCTCATTAATATAGGTAATAATTGTTGTTGATAACCAGACATGTTGGGTCAGACAGTTGATATTATCTTATTATTTCATTTTATCCATTTTCTGCCTGTATTTGACCACACTTTATCTTTGCCAGGCCTTTAATGTGGAAATGTCTGAATCTTCTCAGAGCTACATTTGACATTTACTTTTGCAGTGGACGTCAGAGTTGAAGTCTGTTCTTCTGTGCCCGACAGAGACTTCAGATCCTCCAGTGATACCTTGTTTTTCTTTCCTGCTTGGCTTTGTCTCTTCACCTGTTCCCTCCTCCAGAGAATCTCCTTCAGTTCCTTCAGGGGGGTTAAGATGTTATATTCAACTGACAATTGTAAAATTGTCATAGAATAAAGGGATATTTAGAATAAAGGGATATTTTCTGACCTTTCATGGGTCCATATTGTGATCCTGAGTCTGGGTGTGACCTTTCCATTGTTTCTGAACTCCCTCCAGATGAGATGTTGGTCTGTGTGTTCTTGCTGTTTTCCCTGGGTGAGAGTCCTCTTGTTTTCCCCAGTTGTTCCCTCCCACAGCTCCAATGTTCTCTTTTGGTGTTATCATCTTCCAGATTTGCTGACCTGACCCATAGATTAAGGCTCTGATTCAGTATGAAAGGGGGAGGTACTTCTCAATGGAACTTAAGTAAAGACCTCTTTTTCCATCTCATTTTCTAAGGGATTGTCCCAGTGCCCCTAAGATCCTGGTTTTGGTGGCTTGCCCCTGCAGAGTAATTTCTTAGTTCTGCAATGGGGATAAAGGAGGTGAGTCTGAATGCATTTCAAAGTGTGGGTTCTTTTTCTCTCACAGACAGACACATTGGCACGGAAAGATTTTTGTAACTCTCCACATTATTGGGAAAACTGATTCAAGAGGATAGGAAAGCTCTTCAGTATGTGGTCCCTGAGAAATTCATACAACACCTTTTACCACACTTGACTTCAAGCAACCCAATATATATATGTGTGTTTTTCTCTTGTAGTAGCCTACATTTTACATGCCAGACTCTGCCCAGTTCAGCTCATATCCTGGCCTTGTTACTGCCTACAAGAACTTGCCTCTCCCTGCATTTCAGATTTGATGTTTTTCTTAAAACTTCAAGTATTTAAAGTATTTTTAAAACTTTGCAAAATCCCATTTTCTCTGTTTACCTGATATTGTTGATGTTGTTATTGTAAAAAGTAAGTAGAATATATTCCTCATCTATGTACGTTTCAAAACTGAGTTGCAGCTTTTTTTGGTAAGACCCAGAGTCATAAAAGACTGCAAATACTGTTAAGCTGCTTAACAGAAAAACAAATGCTGGTAAATGTGTTCACTGGAATACTACCCGTCATTTATAATAAATAAATGCCTGACACACAGAACAACATAAAATATCTAAGTATTTATACCGAGTAAAATATGCCAAACAAATAAGAATATATACTATGTCATTTCATTTTTATAAATGCTGATGAATAAAAAATGCATCTGAAGTAAAATAATGAGGATCAGTAGTTGCTGGGGGAAATGGTAGAAGGGAAGGGGAGAGGAGGAGGAATACAGCAGAATAAGAGGAAGTGTTGAGAAGAATTCACTTGTCCACTTTCTTGATAATGACGACAGTTACATCACGTTTATTAATTGTACATTTTAAATATGTGAAGTTTATTATCTTTCAATTAAGCCACATAAAATGTATTACAAGCAAATGGAAATTTAGACAAGCACGGAGTAATAGAAAGATACAAACATATGTTAAATGTCAGAAGTATCTGAAAATTAGTGTGTCTGGACCCTAGTTCTCTCCATATTTTCAGGTGAGTGCTGGTGGCAACATCACACATGCTCTTACTACAGAAAGTGGGTTCTGAAAACCACACCAGGCACGTCCAGCTTTGTCCTGGAGTTGGTTTAGGGGGATGTCACAGCCAGTGACGAGGAGCACAGGGCCAGATACCAGCGTTCACTTATCCCAGACATGAACTCCTGGATGCATACAGAGCCCCCTCCACTTGTGGGTTTACTTCCACTTCTGTAAAAGGAGAAAATATTGACTCCTACAGAACATAATTTACACAAATATTTACAGATGAAATAGGGTGATCAGGGCAAAGTGTTTATCACAGCACAATTTCATAAGACAGCATATTTTCCAAATACCATCGTCAGCAAACATCTGCAGGGCACCGTCTTATTATCTGGGTACAGCCTATTCCTCCAGCGTCCCACCCTAGAGCTTGTTATATAGTAGGAGATATGCAAATAGGGACCTCCCTCTACTGATGAAAACCAACCGAACCCTGACCCTGCAGCTCTGAGAGAGGAGCCTTAGCCCTGGATTCCAAGGCCTATCCACTTGGTGATCAGCACTGAGCACCGAGGATTCACCATGGAACTGGGGCTCCGCTGGGTTTTCCTTGTTGCTATTTTAGAAGGTGAATCATGGAAAAGTAGAGAGATTTAGTGTGTGTGGATATGAGTGAGAGAAACGGTGGATGTGTGTGACAGTTTCTGACCAATGTCTCTCTGTTTGCAGGTGTCCAGTGTGAGGTGCAGCTGGTGGAGTCTGGGGGAGGCCTGGTCAAGCCTGGGGGGTCCCTGAGACTCTCCTGTGCAGCCTCTGGATTCACCTTCAGTAGCTATAGCATGAACTGGGTCCGCCAGGCTCCAGGGAAGGGGCTGGAGTGGGTCTCATCCATTAGTAGTAGTAGTAGTTACATATACTACGCAGACTCAGTGAAGGGCCGATTCACCATCTCCAGAGACAACGCCAAGAACTCACTGTATCTGCAAATGAACAGCCTGAGAGCCGAGGACACGGCTGTGTATTACTGTGCGAGAGACACAGTGAGGGGAAGTCAGTGTGAGCCCAGACACAAACCTCCCTGCAGGGGTCCCCAGGACCACCAGGGGGCGCCCGGGACACTGTGCACGGGGCTGTCTCCAGGGCAGGTGCAGGTGCTGCTGAGGGCTGGCTTCCTGTCATGGCCTGCGGCGGCCTCATTGTCAAATTTCCCCAGGGAACTTCTCCAGATTTACAATTCTGTACTGACATTTCATGTCTCTAAATGTAAAACTTTTTTGTCCTTTTTGTTTCTTTGTTTTTGTAACAGGAGGACACACCCTCACCTCCACAGAAACCACAGTGTCACTTTGGGGGCAGATGATCCTTCTGTGGTCAGCAGGATGAAAGTTCCGAGGAATCTCAGGGGAACCCGAAGAGTGTTTGCCAGTTAGACTCAGGGCAGCGACCTCCACGGGAATCTCTGATTAGAACAGGCTTTGAGTTCTGATAGGAGCCAAGAGAGACGCTCACACAGGGTCAGGGTCCTTAAAGCCTGATGGTTTTCACAGCTATCCCCCCTGGTCTTGTAAAACTGTGTACATATGACTCAGACTGATTCACTTGACCCCCTTTCTGCTAATCCATTTTCCTTCTCTGCATACTTGATTCTCACAATTCCCTTTCTTCTCTTCCCCGAAAACTGAGGATGTGTTTTCTGTAGTCTAAATTCCAGGGCTCAGGTCTGCAGGACCTGGGTAGGCTACGGGGACTTTCTCACTCACCATTGTCTGGACTCTCCTGTTGTCGTCTGTGAACAGAGATGTTTGGAAGATGAAGTGGACATTAGTCATGAAGGGAATAATACTAGTTTTCTCCAATGGGATACTGATGTAGAGCTGATCTTGTGCTTCTCACACTGTCACAGAGTTTGGACTCTCACCCGTGACTTTGAGGAGAGCTGAGGATGGACACTCCATTGTGCTGTGAGCTCTGGGTAACAATAGTAGGGCCTGGCTAGGCAGCCTAAGGTCAATACTGCTGGCCTTCAGGAAAGACAGGCTGGAATTCCTGGGAAGACCTGCATCTGCCGTCCACCATGGAGTCCCATCGTCTTCTATTATGCCCTGATTGAATCAGCCCCACCTAGGTTATCTAGAACACTCTTCGTGACTTACGAAAAAATAATGGGAGGCTCTACTAACACCTGTGTTATGCCATGGGAGCAACACCTAAGCTAGTGTGTGATTGAGTAGATGAGACTGTGGTCTAGTCAAGGTGACACATAAAATTAATTGTTGCCATTATAATATTTTATTATATATTTGGCAATATAGTCGTGCTCATATTATAAATACTTTTGCTACGTTGTTGTTATGTCAGAAGCTTTTGAATAAGAACAGCTTCATCTTGAATAGGGGCTAGGAAAAATAAGACTGAGACCTGCTGGGCTACGTTCCCAGTAAGCTAAGGCGTTCTTAGTCACAGGATGAGATAGGAGGTCTGCACAGGATCCAGGTCATAAAGACCTTGCTGATGAAGGTTACAGTAAAGAAGCTGGCCACAGCCCACCAAAACCAAGACAGTCACGAAAGTGATCTCTATTCATCCTCACTACTCATTATATGCTTATTGTATTGCCTTAACATGCTAAAAGACACTCCCCCTAGTGCATGACCGTTTACACATGTCATGGTAACATCAGGAAGTTTCCCTGCATGGTCTACAAAGGAGGGGAGGAAACCTCAGCTTCAGGAATTGCCCAGGGGACTCATGAATAATCCATCCGTTGTGAGAAATACATTCATCCCTTTGAGAGAAAATGCACAGGGGGTGGAATGAGGCTGGGAAGCTGATGGCACATGGTGGAAGCCTGTCCCTGAGTGAAGGAGAGGGGGAAGCTGGATTGGGTGGAAGGTCCCTATATTTGTGTGCTGTGCAAGGAAGTGCAAAATATAATTGAGTTTTGTGCAAGTCAGTGCTGCCTCTCAGGTGATCCCCATGACTCCCAGAAATGGCTCTGCTTAGGAATCCCTGAGGAGTCAGTCATTTCATTAGAGTAGACCACAGGACATGGGCTTCAGCACACGCCATGCCACAGATGTCAGAAAGCAGCTGCTGGGAACCTGACCCACCTGCATTTTGCTGCCTGTAGGAAAAGGCAGGGAGGTGCATCCTCAGGGACAACACACTGTTTTGGATTTCTATAAAGAACACCTGCTTTTACTGTGTTTTATTGGAAAATACATGAACAAATGTGAGCCTGCAAACAATTGTAATTTTCAGTTATTTTAATTGCATTCATTTGTAATTCTGCATGATATGCTGACACAGAGTTGCATTTTTCATAGATATTGTTCAATGAATCAAGAACATGCATTTTCCACTTTCACTGGTTTTTCTCCGTGTGCAGAGACCTTGAGTAGAGCCTGTCTGGCCCTTATCCACACTATCTCTTGTGTCCCCGGGAAAAAGCAGAGATTTGCCTGACTGCAGAATCTGGGGTAGGAGTCTGCTCAGCTCACAGCCTGCAGAGAAGCCCAGTGAAGTTTTATGGAGTCAGAGAGCTTTCCCATGTGGGGAACCTCTAGCTTACCCATGGCCAGAGATTACTGGTCAGCTGTAATTGAGAGTTTAACAATTAGAGCACTCAGAAGCCTATCTCATCGCAGCTTCATTATGTAACTTACCACCATTAGACTGCGGTAATAACTCAATCTTGATTTTTCTGACCCCATTTTCTCATCTTATTCATTTGTAAATTGGGTTATAGAAAATGTTATGTTTTAGACTCTGATTCAAATCTCAGAAGTTTATGAACTCATCAGGAATAATACAAAATGTGTCTAGTTTTGGGGAAATGTAAATGAATGTCCATGCAGTGTGTGTGTTTGTTGTGTGGGGATATGTCAGTCACACCCCAATGAACATGATTTCTGAATTATATCATCAAACTACAATTAGATTTGCTGAAAATTGCCTGCAGTAATGTCTGTGATGATGAACCTGTCACCTTGTTGTGAGGATGCTCAGTGCACAGGCGAGGTTGCACAGGAGACATCCAAGGAGCAGCCCCCAGGCTTGGCAGAATTCCTGGCCAGGAGCCAGACATAGGACTGGGTGTCTCAAAAGCAGATTCCCCAACCCCATCCCTTTATTTGGACTGCATGGGCATCATGAGGACCAGCAGGAGATGCTCAGAACTCACTCAAGGCAGAGCACCATTTAGGAGCAGGTGCAGCGAGGAAACAGCCAGAGAACCTCTGACTAGAAGCTTGGGTTGTTTTCTTTTGCTTAAGAGCATCCAAGCCTAAGTATATCAACCACTATATGTATATATATAAGTAGACTATCCACTATATATAGAGAGAGATAGATATAATCTGTATATATATACAGATTATATCTATCTATATACATTATATATACAGATTATATATATATAATCTGTATATATAAGAAAGTTATGAGTTACAGATTATATATATACATTTATATATATACATTTATATATATTTATATACATTTATATATATACATTTTATACATATTATATATATACAGAGCAAAACGAGGTAAATATGACTCTGCCATTAACTCCTTGAACCTGGGTCATTTTTTCTGAGAATGCCGTCATCTACAGCATGATGGTTCTCATGTCAAAATCAACACGCATAGTTAGTCACCATGAAGACTGTTTTATCTCATGGTAGAAATGTTTATTTAATTAAAAAATTACATTTCATACGAAAGGGTCTGTATTATTTCTTTCTCACACTGCTGTAAAGACATCACCTGAGACCGGGTAATTCGTAAAGGAAAGAGGTTTAATGGACTCACAGTTCTGCATGGCTGGGGAGCCTCAGGAAACTTACAATTATGGTGGAAGGTGAAGGGGAAGCAAGTCCCTTCTTCACAAGGCAGCAGGATGGAGAGAGAGAGAGAGAGAGAGAGAGAGAGAGAGAGAGAGAGAGAGAGAGAGAGAGAGAAGGAGAAGCAGGATAAAGAGCCGGAAACTTATCAGACAAACCAATCTCCTGAGAACTCTATCAGGAGAACAGCGTGGAGGAAACCACTCCCACAATCTAATCACCTCTCACCAGACCCCTCGCCTGACACTTGGGGTTTACAATTCAGTATTAGCTTTGGGTGAAAACACAGAGCCAAACCATGTCAGAATTTCTAGGTGAGAATTGGTCAATTCATAAGTTATTAGTGAAGTATCAGAAAAATAAATAGCACCAGTGTTGTTGTTATCCAGTTAATTTATAAACCATGTCAATATCCATTTTATGAGAGGTGTAGGAAAAGTGTGAGATGGATAGATAGATAGATAGATAGATAGATAGATAGATCTACCAAATACAATATATATAACTATATTATATATATTACTATGTATATAATATATAGTAAGTGATATATGGTATATATATATGACATTAATTCTACCAAATACTTCACATATGTATGTGCATATATATATAATATTAGGTATGATATATATATGAAATATCAGGACATATATATATATATATTTTATAATGTCTCCTGGGATTTAGTGTTGAATTTTTTAATATCTACATGTATTCCAGGATAAATGTTGGTGGACTTCATAAAATATATTCTAATTTTTATGTGCAAGATGATCACTTTCAAATAAGGTTTAGCTACAGAAACCAGATGTATCTTTCTACCAGAAATTACTGGAAAGCACAGTGAAATTTCTTAATCAGGATTTTAAGATGCTTGACACCACTCAACAAAGACAGTGATTACTAAGAGAGAGAGGAAATAAGCATAAGGAGCCCTCCGGTGAATGCAGGCTCAGATACTTCCTCAAAGGTGTTGCCAGGCTACAGTGCTGGAGTGGAAACCATGTGGATTTAGCATTAATAAAATGGAGCTGGAAACCCACGTAGGCCAAGAAGTGTGGATACCACAGGATAGCAAGTGGATTGCAGAAAACTGTCAGAGAGTGAACCCCATAGATGGCAGGAGGAACACCCAGACTTGACAGAGTGCAGATCAGTGTGTAGAAAGCAGGGAAAGTTGTACGTGAGAACACACCCTGCTGCAGGAAGCTCTCCCTAAAATCCAGAGCCATGGTAAATATATGAATATACACTTACAAACTTTAAAACATACGGAAAGGCACCATAATAAAGTCAAATAAAGGAAAGGTGGGTTGGCTACATTAAAATATAAAAAGAGTATTTCTGAGCAAATAATAATACTTATGAGGGGAACAATTTTATTCTACCATGGCAAATGATTTCAGAGAGCAACATTCGAAATGCTTATGGCCATAATGAGGAAGCTTCAAACAAGTATACGAATAGAATTATTACCAGAGTGGTAGTACCAGAGCCCTCAGCTTTCTGATGAAAACTGATTCTTATTATGAAAGCTAATTATTATTATAAGCTTATTATTATTAACACTAATTATTATTAATTATAATATTATATAATTATTATAATATTATTATGAAAGCTTATTATTATTATGAAACTGATATTACTAGAGCCCTAAGCTAAGTGTTATTACCAGAGTCCTCAGCTTTCCGATGAAACAACAACGTCTGATAAAAATTGTAATAACCCAAACATATAAAATCAATTCAAATTATTCTAAGGATGCACAGTAAATAAAAATCATTGATTGATAAAGTGTGCTGCTATAGACTGAATGTTTATTTCCGCCCTCAGACATTTGTTGGAATTCTAACCCCAATGTGATGGTGTTACGAGGTTGGGCCGTTGGTAAGTGAATGGGTCACCTTTGGAAGATGACTAGGCCCCATCCACCCTCATGAATGGAATCAGTGCCCTTGTTAGAGACTCCAGAAAGCTCCCTCTCCTCTTCCACCAGGTGAAGGAAAAGTAGAAAGATGGTCAACTATGAAGGAGGAAGCAGGTTCTCACCAGATACCAGTTTCAAAGCATGTTGGCCTTGCACTTGCTGACCTTCAGAATTGTGACAAATACATTTATGCTTGATCTGAACCACCCAGACTATTCTCTTACAGCAGCTAAAACATCAAGTCTCAGCTAGGGCAGTGAGGGCCCACAATACTTGAGAGACGAGCATCACCCTCTCCTTTCCAGTTCAGGATGACAGAAGCTTGATCTCGGGCTGAACTGACAAGCAGAGAGTCCTTCCTCTCCCCCAGATCGCAGTTGAGGCCGTGGTGTCAGATCTCTGTGGTTGAGAGTGAATTCCAGTCTGTGATTTCATGGATGCCTTTCTTCATCTAGTTCCACTTATGAGACAGAGATTCCATGCTATGAGTTATAGGCCAAGAATAGAGGAACCCCAATTATTCCCACCCAGCTCACCTGTAGGGCAGAGGATCTGGAGAGCTTTCTGGGTGAGGCACAAAGAGACTGTATGAGTCCACCCCTCCCATGCAGTTTCCTGTACTTAAAGCAGAGGTGTCCCTCTGACACAGATGAACCCTTTCTTCCGCACCAAGGCAGAGGCGGTTATATTTTTACAGTGGCAGACAGAGGGCATAAAAACAGAAATGCAGAGCTCTCTCTAATGGATGTGACTTTATTTGCAGTAAAAGGAGAATAATTTCAACCCTAGGTTTTTTCTAAAATATTATAAATATTTATGGTAAGTTATTAATAGAAAGCTGGTGGCTTCATGAGAGCAACACATTAAACAGGAATCCACTCATTTCAGCAGACAGAAGGAGAAAAACCATAATTTAGGAATAATGAGCTGGGCACTGTGGCACTGCCTGTGGTTCCATACACTTGGGAGTCTGATGTGAGAATAACACTTGAGCCCAGGATTTCAAGGCCAACCTGAAAACGTAGCTAGACCCCATTTAGTAAAATAAATAACATTTTGGGGTCAGGACAAAGTTCAAAAACTGCCCCTGAAATGAAGCCCAAATTTAATTGTGTAACACTGTGGATTAATGGATGACACAACAGTGTCACCATGCCTGCTGTGAGTGCAGTGTAACACTTGGATGACATATGAAGAGATACAGACACCCAAACAGAGACATCAGACAGTGAAGCTGTCAAAGGCTGCACTGCCGAGCGTCAGGCTTTTTATGGAAACCGTGTGTACATCTGGAACTGCACCTGGGAATGACGACATCAACCCTTTAATAGTGTCGGGGAAAGAGACGTCACTGAAATAGACAAACTAAGGGACTCAAGAAATAAATAGAGCGATTGGTTTTACCAATACACCAGAGCGTTTTGGGTGATCACTATTCAGAGTTTCTGAATTGTGTTACCTAACTGTCATTCAGAAAATAATTATGAGATACACAAAGAAAAAAATAACGTCACGAATGTACAGGAAAATTTCCAGAAAACACAAACTGTCTTTGAGTTGGTACAGATTTTGGACTTAACAAATGGAGACTTCAAAACAATTATTATAAAAATGCACAAATCACAAAGGAATACTATCCTAGAAAAGTTAAGGAAGGTATGATGACAGTATCTCACCAAAAAGTTAATATCAATAATGAGAGAGGGTTTTTGAAAGAAAGTTATAGACACGCTAAAATTAAAAACACAGTAATTCAAAACTATATGTCAGAGGTGATAAGCAGTATACTTGAACCTAAAAAGAAAAAAAAGCACACTTAGATATATATTAGTAGATATGCTATATTCAAAGAATAGTGAAAATTGCAATAAAATGAAATAAGCTTAACATAAAAGGTGGACCCTGCTAGACAAATCAACATATGTTTAGTGTGAACATTAGCATGAGAAGAGAGAAAGAAATATGTCACAAAAATATGTCATAATATAATGACAGATAATTCCATGATTTTTATGATAAATACTAATATACACATTGAAGTATGAATAGCTCAACAAACTCAAGGTAAAATAAGTTATAAGAGATCCTCAACAAAACACATTATAATAAAATATTTTACAGAAAAACTACTGAGAAAATCTTGAAGGCAGTGAGAGAAAAACAACTTCTCATATACAAGATAATTCTATCAACAGCTGATTTCTCATCAATAACAGCTAATGCTAAAAGGCAGCAGGATGACATATTTTCCCTTTGTATCCCATTTTATCCTCAAAGGCCACCTGCATACAAAGTAGACCAGTCTTACAAGAAAATCACAGCCCTAGTGTTCTTCTCTCAAGGAGCCCGGCTATGGACCTAATGGTGCCCTCCCCAAAGTCATAAGTATAATTCCCAACCTGCAATGTTACAGTATTTGGAAATGAGACTTTTGAAAGTGATAGAGTTTGAATATTTGTCCTCTCCCAAGGTCATGTTGAAATGTAATCACCAATGCTGGAGGGGGGGCCTGGTGGGAGGTATTGGATAATAGAGGCAGATCCCTCAAGAATGGCCTATGCAATCCATGTGGTGATGAGTGAATTTTCTGTTAGTTCGCATGAAATCTGGTTGTTTAGAAAAGTCTGGAGCCTCCTCCATCTCTTCTCTTGCCCTTTCTTGGCCCCATCTCTTCTCTTGCCCCTTCTCTTGTCATGTAATGCACCTGTGTGCCTGCTGCCTCTTTGCCTTCCACAATGGTTATAAACTTTCTGAGGCCCTCACAAAGCAGATGCTGGCACCACGCTTATTGTAAAGCCTAGCAAATGGAAAGCCAAAATGAAACCTGTTTTATTTATAAATTTTCCAGCCTCAGGTACTCTTTCCTAGCAATGCAAGGACACAGCAACACAGAAAATTGGTATCAAGAAGTGGAGCATTGCTATTAAAAATATGTGAAAATATGGACGCAGCTTTGGAACAGGATAACCGTCAGGGATTTGGAGGGTTTGGAGGGCTCAGAAAAAGTCAGGAAGATAAAGAACAGTTGGGAAAGTTTTAGAGACTGGTTAAATGGTTTGACCAAAATGATGAAATAAATATGGACAGTGAAGTCAAGGCAGAGAATGTCTCAAATGTAAATGAGAAAGTTATAGGGAAGTGAAGTAAAGATCGCCTGTCAAGCAAATCACTTGACTGCATTATGTTCATGTCCTGGGGATCTGTGCAAGTTTGAACTTACGAGTGACGACTTAGGGTATCTGACAGAAAAAAAATTGTCAGTAGCAAAGCATTCAAGATGGAGTCTGCCTGCTTCTAACAGTCTAAAATCAGGTGCAGAAGTGAATAAATGACTTAAAGTTGGAACTTCTATTTAAAAGAGAAGTGGAACATGGAAGTTTAGAAAATGTACAGCCTGGTTCTCTGGTAAAGAAATAATCCAGTTACACTGTGAAGCAACCGCTTGCTAGAAAGATTAGCTTGACTAAAAAGGAGCTGACTGTGGTAATACAAAACAATAGGAAAATAGTCTTGAAGTCAATTCAGAAATCTTTGAGGCCAATTCTCTCATTACAGGCTTAGGTATAGGAGCAGAGAATGTTTTTGGGGGTGAGACCAGCTAGGGCTCAAAGGTACAGCTCGGTTCACCACGTCTGATGGCGCAAGCTGTGATCCTTGGTGGCTTCCATGTGGCATAAAGCCTGGGTCTGCACAGTATGCAAGAGTCAACATGGCTTGGTGACTGGCCTCTAGATTTCAGAGGATGTGTGAGAAAGGCTAGGTGCCAGAAATGAGCCTACCTCAGGGTCAGAGTACACACAGAGTAATTTTTCCAGGGCAATGCTGAGGTGAAATGAAGAGTTAAATCCCCCAAAAGAGATCCCCAGGAGAACACTGTGTAGTGGAGCTGTGGAGAGAAGGTCACTGGCCCTCTAGAACCCAGAATGGGAGATCCAATAGCAGCATGTGCCCCAAGCCTAGAAACGCTGAAGGCACTCAGCTCTAAACTGTGACAGCAGCCGTGTTGGCTGCACTGAGAAAAGTCACATAAGCGGTTTTGCTCTCAGACTTGCGAGCCCATAATTGCACCGGCTGCAAGATGTGGAGTCACTGGTCACTTTGGAGGCTTAAGATCGAGCGCCTGTCCTGCTAGGTTTTAGGCTTGCATAGAGCCTGTTACTCATTCATTTGGCAAGTTCCTCTCTTTTAAAATGGAGATGTTTACCCAATGTCCGCACCAACATTGTACCTTTGAAGTAAATAAGTTCTTTCTAATTTTACAGGCTCACAGATGGAAGAAATGTGGGCATGAATCTCAGACAAGACTTTGGACTTTAATGGTGAAACAAGTTCAGATTTAAGGGGCAGATTTCGAGGGGTGGGTATTGGGAAGAAAATGATCCCATTTTGCAGTTGAGAAAGATATAAGATTTTGGGTGATAAGAGTTATGTGGCTTCCATATATGTCCATTCAAAAATCTCATGTTTGACTGTTATCCCCAATGTTGGTTGGGGTTTTGCGTTACGGGGGCGGATTCCTCCTGAGTGGCTTAGCGCCATCCACTTGGTGACGAGTGAGTTCTCACATAGTTAGATCACTCAGGATCTGATTGTTTAAGGGAGACGTGGATCTCCCCCTTTCCTTCTTTCCCCTGCTCACCATGTGACACTCCTGCTTCCCCTGTGCCTTTTACCAGAAATATAAGGTTTTTGAAGCCCTCACCAGAAGCAGATAGCAGAACCACACTTCCTGTACAGCCTTCAAAACAGTCAGCCAAATTAGAATTTATTTTTTATAAATTTCTCATCCCCAGGAATACTTTTATAGCAGTTAAGGAATTTCTATAAGAAAGAAAGTACTGAATTTAAAGGAGACGATGAGGGTGAAACATCAGAATGAAATTACTGACCTCATGAGTAAAGACACCAGACAGTCTCTCTCTCTCTACTTCTCTCTCTCTATTTCTCTCTCTCTCTCTCTCTCTCACACACACACACACACACACACACACACATGCCCTAAATGAAAAGATCATATGATCAAGTAACAATATGATGGCTGCTCTGAGCCAAAAGTAGAAGCCTCAAACTAAACCTATCTTGTCAGCATCTTGATCTTGGAGTTCACAGCACTGATAAATGGAATAAAATTAATGTTGCACGAGTCACCAAGTATGACAGTTTGTAATGGCAGCTTAAACTGACGAAAGAAAATTTGGGGTTAAGAAGAGGAAATCTGATGTTACAATTATTTGAACATTGTGAAAGTAGCTTGGAATTGGGTTATGTGTAACAGGATGGATACCTTTGACATATATGAAGAAATTTGCATATTGAGGGTCATGCTGATAGACAGAAATGAGTGGTTTTGGAAAATGGAGCAATAGTCATCCTTATCATAAAGTTTTTTAAAAAAAACTTGGCTGGGCAGTGATATAATATTTAGTGAAAGAGAAGTTGTGAGTAGTGAGAAATTGTGAGTAGCTGAGAATAGTTCTAAGTGTTGAAGATATTTTGCTTGATTCCTCCTGAGTGCTTAAAATAAGTGAGGTAGATAAATTAAAATCAGAAAAAAATAAAAGAAAAAGAATACAAAAGCTGAGGGCTTAGAAAATTCACAACCTATCCATATTGCAAAAATCAGAAACTGTATTCTACAAAGAACACTGAGTATATGGCTCAAATATCACTCAGTAAGAAGCTTAAGATACTCTATGAAAAGAAATATTTCAGGTTTTAAAGAATGAGAATTGACCTGAGACAAATTTGATGCATACTGTTAGATTTTTCAGATTTAATGGCCTGGAATAATAGAGCTACTTGGCTGCAAATGTACACAATTCTTCCAGAAGAGAGAAAAATAAGCTTTAAATTTATTTAGAAACCATCAGACCACTGCCTCTATTTCAACAGACCAGAAAGCCTGTTTCTAAAATCTTGAGGAAGAAACCACCCAACAGAGGCTTGGGTTGGGAGCACCCAGCAAGCCCTGTGTGTAGGGCTGCATGAGGCCCTTGACATGGGAGCTGGGCCTAGCAGTGCCTCAGGAGCGGTGCCTCTGCCTGCAGCTTTGGAGCTGATTCTGCTGCTCGAATAAGCTGAGAAGGAAAAAGAATGTTTCAGAGAAGATTACAGTGGAGGCTTAAAGCATATGGCAATTTGTTTTCCTATGCATTGTATTTGCTGGAGACAAACCACCCATTTTACCCCCTATTTTTTTCTTTGGCAATGAAGCTTTCTATTCTATGCCTAATTCAACAGGACACAGCAGCGGCTGTATCCAGTTTGACAAGATTCAGCATGAAAGGTTCCTATTACCTGTGCCGGATGCATCACTGATATGCGGCCACCAGTTTCTTAGGTTCATATCACTTTAAGGGACCAAATACAAATGTCAATAGCATATGTCATTCTTAAACTGCAGAAATGGTGTCAAAGAAGAATGTGGAGATAAGAGAGCAGGAGGAATTATGAAAATCCAGATAGCATCTTCTCTTCTAGAGTGGAAGGTACACTAGTAATTTCATGAAACAATAAAATAGATGAAATGTGTCATCATCATGGAGTGTCTCACAGTGGCAGTGCACAAATAAATTTCTAAAAATTCCATAAGGTAGGTGTGATGGATGAGGCTTATTTCCACACAGGGAGCCCATAAATACCCAGATAAGTAAAAAATCCAACACCTGGAACGAAAAAATGCCTCATCTTGACATCACAAACCCATCTCAGTAAGTCCGAGGAGTAATGTGGAAATGAAACGGAAAATTCACAAACACATTTATTGTGAAATTTTTAGCACATGTTTGAACATTAAAACAGAATTGTCCACAATTTTAGGAAAACCACTCCATGACAATGAGTCACTACACTCATAGAAACACCACTGAGTCAACAGAGTTCTAACTGTCAGCAGGTCAGTACTGAGGCCTCAGGAGAATCAAGGCTCTAGGGTACATTTTACAGAACCCAGAATTGAGCCACACAATCTATAGCCAAATGATCTTTGACAAACTTAACAAAAATTAACAAAAATATATACCAGAAAAAGGACACCCCATTCAATAAATGGTGCTGGGGAAATGGAAATGAACATGCAGAAGAACAAAACTAGACCCCTACCCTCAACACATACATACTCAACACAAAATGAATTAAAGACTTAGATATAAGACCTCAAACTATAAATGTACTCAAATAAAATACCAGGACAACTCTTCTGGGCATTGGCTGAGGTAAAGAATTTATGACTAACACCCCAAAAGCACACCCAAGAGAAAAATAGACAAATGAGACTTAATTAACCTAAAGAGATATTTCGCAGCAACAGAGTGAACAGGCAAGTTGCAAAATGACAGAAAATTTTCGCACACCTTGCCTTTGACAAGGAACTAACATGAAGAAATTACAAGGAATTAAACTATACAACGACAACAACAGGAAGAAGAACCAAATAACCCTATTAAAATGAGCAAAGGACATGAGTAGACATTTCCAAAGAACACATACAAATGGATAATAAATACATAAACAATGCTCAACATCACTAACCATTAGGGAAATGCAAATTAAAACTACAATAAGATATTATCTTACAAAAGCCACAGTGACTATTATTAAAAACTCAAAAGTATCAGATGTTGGTGAGGATGGAAGGTAACAGGAACTCATCTACACTGTAGATGAGGATGTGGACGAGGACAACCTCTATGGAAAATAGTATGGAGTCTGCCCAAAAAACTGGAAATAGAACTGCCATTTGATGCAGCAATCCCACCACTGGGTAACTACTCAAAGGAAAATAAATCATTACTTCAAAAAGATATCCATGCTTCTATGTTTACCACAAAACTATTCTTAATAACACACATGTCAACCTGAGTGTCCACCAACAGATGATTTTATAAAAGAACATAGCACGTATACACAATTCAATACTAGTCAACCACAATAATAAATGAAACTGTCTTTTGCAGCAAGATGCCTAGAACTGGGAACAACATAATTAGTGAACTAACTCACAAACAGAGAGTCACATGTCACACATTATTATTTATAAGTGGAAGGTAACAACGTGTCCACAAGGATATGGAGAGAGAAATGATGGACACCGGAGACTTAGAAGGATGGGAGGTGGAAGGTGGGAGCATGAGGAGACATTACCTAGTGGGTACAATGTACATTATTTGGGTGAGAGTACACTAAAAGCCAAGACCACTGTGGAATATATCCATGTGCAAAAGTTGCACTCATAGCCTTTAAATTTATATAAATAAATGTACAAACAAAAAAATTAAAAATATAAAATAATTAACAGTTGACCAATGATCTTAAAGTTAAAATTTAGACCAGGCGTGGTGGCTCACGCTTGTAATCCCAGCACTTTGGGAGGTCGAAGCAGGTGGATCATGAGGTCGGGAGTTTCAGACCAGCCTGGCCAACATGGTGAAACCCCATCTACTAAAAACACAAAAATTGACCAGATGCGGTGGCAGGCACCTGTAATCCCAGCTACTCGGGAGGCTGAGGCAGGAGAATTGCTTGAACCCAGGAGGCGGAGGTTGCAATGAGCCGAGATCATGCCACTGCACTCTAGCCTGGGCGACAGAGCAAGACTCCATCTCAAATAAAATAAAATAAAATGTAAAAAATGATCAATAAATGAAATTACTATCAGTTGAAACTCATTAAATTTAAAGACATTTTCTACTCAAGTAACTATAAGAACATGAATGTCAAGTTTCAGATGGGAAACTATTTTCAAATCAGATAACCACCAATTTAATTATAATAAGAACTCTCAGGACTCAACTGTGAAAAAAAAAAAAAGAAAGAAAGAAAGAAACAACCCATGGATAAAATAGGCAAAGGTTTGTGCAGACATTTCATCAAATAAGATGTGCAGATGACATAAGCATATAAACAGGCTCTTAACAGGATTTTCCATTAAAGGAATTCAAATCAAGCCCACAATGAGAAACCACTATACACTTTTTAGAATGGCTGAAATTAAGAAGAAATACAGGTAATACCAATGCTGATGAGCATACCAAGTTCCTAGTGTCTACGACATTGTTAATGGGACTGCAAAATGAAACAGCTACTCTGGAAGATAATTTTTAGTTTTTTCTGCAATCAAACATGCCCTTAACACATGACCTAAATATCCCACTCTTGAATTTTGCTTCAGAGAAATATAATCTTATATTCACACAAAACCTCTATTCAAATATTCAAGATATTGCGTGTGTGTGTGTTAGAAACTAAAAATAACATAAATATCTCAAAATCTGAATAGGTGAAAAAACTAGGAAGCAACTATAAATTGAATACCATCAGCAATAAAAAATATCAAATGATCGATTCACAAACCATTACAGGTGAACTCCAGGCATTACGCTAAGTGAGAGAAGCCAGTCTCGAATATCAAAGGGACACAGCTGTAAGCAGCACGGTCATCCTCAGGTGTCAGTGGTTTGGGCTGGGCTTTCTTTGTCTCTTTCCTGACCAGACCCAGATGTTGAGCTCTGCCACTTGCAGATGGAAAATTCTACTATTTTCAACCATGCACTGAGGTTTGAATTACTTCACAGACTGACCAAACAAACATGGGCTCCACTGAAGAGTGTCTGGCATTTGTTTCAACCACAAGAGAACTTTTCCCAGCTCTTCCATGTCCTTGGTTCTCTCCTGCAAGCCAGCAGCCCTGCAGTGTAGCCTGCATCTCCCATGCATCCACCCAGCTCCTTCCAAGGGCCTTCCACCACACCCTCCACTGTTTTTGAGAGCACTGGCAGGCTTTCAATTTTTCCACATTCTGTTGTTACTGAAGTTAGGATGTTTAGGACTTATTAAGATCATATTTTATGACTGAATTTCATTGCCCCCTCTCTCCTGGGACAGAGCTCCTAAACAAGGTTCTGCAGGTGTAGACAAAGTTGAGCTGTTTTATTCCTCAGCCTAGGAGCTGAGCGCTCAGTGGAGGGTCGGGCAGGAGCTTCCCACCTTCTCAGCACTTCGGTTATGGTGGGGCAGAACCTCTGCCATAGGACAGAGCTAGGAACCAGAGACCCAATGTTCCCAGTGGCGCTGGACCCAGGGCAGAGCCTCCATCCATGAGTGGGGCTCTATGGAAGGAGTGAGTCTCTGGCTCTCAGTAGCTCTTGTCCAGCACTGAACCTCAGCATCATGTGCTGTGGGCAGGGTCAGAGGGCCAACGTACTGGCCCCTGGGGAAGAGTTTCCTCTGGTGGGAGTTGGTAGAAGGTGCCCTGTCTTCTTGGCTGCATCTGTCCGCAGTGGAGTTTACATCATGCTGAGCTGGGATGTGGAAGGAAGGAAGAGCACCTTAGATCAAATACGATGACTGGCCTTACTGAGTTTTCTATATTTTCTTAAATAAATATTTCTTCACTTGCTTTATGCTGTTAGATCCTTTCCAAACCCTGTAATTTTTTCAAAATAATTTTCACTGGTCTCATGAGGGCATGGATTCATTGAGCCCCTCATGCTGTTAAAGAGAAATAGAACTGTTTTTTTTTTTCACTTTTTAGCGAACATCCATGGGTTATAAAATAATTAGTTGACATTTCTTCCAACACTTTACAGATACCATCAACTTTCCTCTTGCTTGTGAGGTTTTAACCAGAAGAATGCTATCATCATCTTTTCTGTTCTTTTGGAAGGAATGCCCCCTCTACTCACCTCCACTTGCCTGCATATATTTCTATTTGTCTTTGCTTTTCAGCAGTTTTAATAAGATTTACCTAAATGTGTGTGGGGGAAGCAGGGGGTGTTATTCTGTTGTTCTGTGTTCTCTGAGATGCATGGATTCACCATTTACTCTGCCTCCATTTTGGGGAACACAGTTAGAAAAAATGTCAGTGTGAGCCCAGAAACAAGCCTCCCTGAAGGGGGAACAGGACCACCCGGGGGCGCTCAGGACCCACTGAGCACAAGAGCCAGCCTCAGGGCAGGTGCAGACGGGGGTTAAGGTCTGGTTTCCCGTCAGCCCTGTGGCTTCCTCTCCATAAAACAGTTTCCTCTGGGGCACTTCTCTGGATTCCTTATCCTGTTCTTCCTATTCTTCCTGAAGAAGAAACATTTGTCGTAACAAGAGAAAAATTTTCTCACATGCACCAAAGGCAGAGTCACCTACAGTCACTTATTCCGGTTTCTCAATGTGAATAAATTATCAATGCTTCTGAATTTAATCAGCTAAACCTATTAAAGGTGCGGTGTTTAACTCAACACTGCCGCCAGCTCAACAGAACTCCAAGGGTCAGTGAGCAGCAGGCAGGATAAAGGGCATGCTGGGCACTGGGGCAGAGGGAGTTAGCATCCAGTGCAAGAGAAGAAAGGCCCCGTGGTGGTCACTGTCAGGACTTCAAGCCCATAGTTCCAATTGTAGGTGACCACGTTCAAAAGAAGAGAGACCTCATCCATGATTAGTGTGATGTGTCAAGTCTGATAGTGCCACACTCACACCTCAGGTGATTATGAAAAGATTTACCAACTCTACTATTGTCTGCTGAGAGCAGCACAGGCCTCTCAAGAAATTCCAAACTGGAATTTCCTCAATGGAACAGGAAAGGAGGCTGGCTTAGGGCTTTATAATGATTTGGTGGTGGGGTCGGGGGGTCATTTATACTCAGGAGAAGGAGCTTGTGTGATTTAAACCTCACATTGGCATCAGATGAGGGAGCTTCTACGATTTCTGACTAGATTTCCCATATGTGGGGGACAAGGGAGAAGAAGAATAAACCTTAATTCATCAGCAGCAAGCACCAAAATAGGACCTGACACTTTATTCTCCCTAGCAGCTTAAGAAAATGAGTGAAAAAGAGAGATGAGGGTCCACTGTGTGTGAAAAGCAAACAGAAATAAAGAAAATAAAAATTTTTATTATGGTAAGCACATAATAAAAAGAAAGAGAAGAAGGAATGAGACAGACAGTGGTGCTGAATCAATGTCCTGGGTGGGGCCTTTTCATTATCCACTGTCATCAGTTTATTCTGAAGGTCTCAGGTCAGCTTCCTGCTTCAAACTATCACAGGCCCTTATAGGGTATATAAAAATCCTTATAGGATATCCACAGTTTGTCATACTTTACTAAAGTAGTCTAATAATTAGATGAAGTTCTGAATTTAATATTCAGTTATAATAAATATTAAAAAATACCACAATCTACAAATTAGGAAACCGAGACTATATTTTTATCAAGGGTTACAGCCATCCCATATGCTGGAAAGCATAGTTTTGGTAAAGATGAGAGACAGACACTCCCAAGAAGAAGGAGTTGGGCAGAAGATTTATGCTGAACTGTTTGGCTAAACAGACTTAGTCAACAGGTTACAGAGAGGCTACTGATGTTCATGGAGGTGGTGCTGACACATGCATACTGAACACACATGCATTTAACATGTGAGTCCTGTTCAATTGCCAGTGGTGACTTAGCATTTAAATTCATTACAGTCAGGCCCTATGTGCAAACAGCAGAAGCAGAGACACAAAGGCACTCAGGGTGCAGCCTCTGTAAACAGCCAGAGCCAGGCCATGGTCAGCGGTCTCTGATCAGGAGAAAGGTCCTGATATCAAATGTTCAATCAAAGCTGGGGTTATGGCTTGTGGAACAGGGGGTCAGTTCAGCAGGGATGGGCTGCAATTGTCTTCATAGTGCTTGTCTCAGTGCCAGTGCTTACTGAGCCACCAGAGAAAACGAATAACCTATTGGCAGTTAGAACATAGTTTATCTTTTAAGTGTAGAAGTGAGTGGCAAAATCCTCGTCTAGCAAGGCCTTAGGTCTTGTTTATAATTTGACATCTTACTGCCACTGTTCTGTCAGTCTTATGATTTCTATTTTAACATAAGTGTTGGCCATTGCTGCGTCTAAACCACAAAGGGAAGAAGGTATAACGAGGCGTGTCTGATCTCTTGTTTAGACATGGTTGGAAACAGTTTTTGGATTTTTACGGGGTTCCCTAGGCCAAGAGATGGACTATTTAATCAGTCGTGGGTTTTAGGGATTTATTTTTAGGTTACAGTTTATAAATATGAACCCAACTATTGACTTTCTGCAATTTCACTGCTGTGTTGTGGTTAAAAGTACCTGATAAAATTCCTTCCAAAGTGGTTCAAGAGCAATATTCTACCCTGATGTTTCTTACAATAGATATAATTCCCTGCTTTAATGTTATTAGAGGCTATTGAAAAGATGTAGGGAAATGATGGTTTAATCTGTTGATGAATAGTGTGGGTAAAATGCAGTCATCACTTTCAACACTTTGTCATGCATGCATGTAATAGGACAGAGGTGAGCATTGTGGGTAAATCTCTAAATGTATGGGCCTTCCAGCTACCAAATAATAGGCTAATAACTGATGTCTCCCTGAGGGGATTAACTATAAGGCTCTCTTGCTAGGGAGAGAATCTTTGGCCAAGGAAGTTCAAGATTTTCTTAAGGTTTGGACAATTTTAGTTTAAGGATGACAATTTTCTTCAACATTTTCAGAAGATTGTGGATGGGATGGATGCTATGTTGTATACATAATGCTAATGCCTTCCATATTTAGATAATATTATAAACCCCTGACTGATAAGACTGCTTGCTTGGTGTGATGACCCACTACAATATGTATACTTTCAGTTGGTATGCTATGTCATTTTCCTTCAGGTTTTTACTTTCCAAGTTACATTAGTCAGGTCTCTAAAATGCAGGACTGCATCTAAAATGTGTTATTTTGTTGTGCATTTTCACATGTTCCAGAAGGTGGGAGAAATTTCTTTGTGTGAAGAGCATCCCAAAGTCAGGCACTCCTCTAGAACACGTGTTTAATCCTTGTCTTTGGCTTATTGATGAGCTCTGTTGACTGCAATAACTTCTGCCATCCGGGCTGACTTGACATCACATAGAGGAACAAATTCTGAATGAAAGTTTGCTCTACTCAATTGAGTGCATAACCTCATTTCATTACTGATGTATAATGCATCAGAGATAATATTAGATCAAGGATTTCAATGGGAATCTAATCTAAAAGATGTAAACAAATTTTCATAATTTAGATAAAATTACTGTGAGCACACTGCTGCTATTCAGCCATGTCTCCTATCACACTGAATCCACACTAACTTTGACCTAAAAGTTAGCATTTGTTCTAATGTTCAGAATTGTTATTTTTATCATAACGTCTCTAGATGATTACAGAGTGTGGCTATGTTGGCCATCAGTAAAGGAAAGCTATTTTAACTGAATGAAAATGAGACAAAGCACACAACCTAATGTAATGGAAGTCAGGACATGAGTGTCTCCAGGCTTTTGTGTTTCAAGAGTTCATGCACCAGGGGATTTCTTTTCTTACTTGTACACAGAGCAACACCCAAAATGTTCATTTCCTCTTCCATCGACTCTTATCATCTGTTTCTATGTCAGTTAGCTTTGAATTTTTGACCCCAGCTGCATTCAAGTAGCTGCAAATAAGCGTGATTTCATTCTTTTTTATAGCTGCATAGTATTCCACTGTGTATAAGAACCACGTTTTCTTTATCCAGTCTATAACGGATGGACATTTAGGTTGATTCCATGTCTATGGTACTGTGAATTGCACAGTGATACACACGTGAGTGGATGTGTTTTTTTGTTACAATAATTTGTTTTCTTTTGGGCATATACCCAGTAATGGGATTGCTGAGGGGAATTGTAGGTCTGTTCTAAGTTATTTGAGAAATCTCTAGATCGATTTCCACAGTGCTTTGGCCAAGTTACATTTTCACCAAAAGTATGTAAGTGGCGCTTTTCTCTATAGCCTTGCCTGCATCTGTTAATTTCTGATCTTTTAGTGATAGCAATTCTGACATGTGTTAGATAGTATGTGATTGGGTTTTGATTTGCACTTATCTGATGATTGAGGATGCTGAGTATTTTTGTATGTTAGTTGGCCACTTCTATGTCTGTATTTGAAAAGTTTCTGTGCACGTCCCTTCCCCATTTTTAATGGGGTTATCTGATTTATGCTGCTGATTTAAGTTCCATATAGATTACTGACTTGCACACACGGAGAAAGCCAGTATTCAAAACTAAATAGAAAAACATAATCACTTGTAGGTATAGACATACTGAATTTGGAATGGTCATGGCTTGCATGTTGGTATTGAAATGGGACAGCAACTTTGGAAAATGGTCTTCACTGAAAATCTCATACACAAGTGTACCTGGTGTCACCACTTACAGTAGTTGAATGGAGAATACAACTCAAGTGCCCATCGACTGCCACAGGGATGAAGACGCCGCGGTGTGTCTGTGTGTCTCTAACCCACAGGGATGAAGACGCTGCGGCGTGTCTATGTGTCTATAACCCACAGGGATGAAGACGCCACGGTGTGTCTGTGTGTCTGTAACCCACAGAGATGAAGACGCCGCGGTGTGTCTGTGTGTCTGTAACCCACAGAGATGAAGACGCCGCGGTGTGTCTGTGTGTCTCTAACCCACAGGGATGAAGGCGCCGCGGTGTGTCTGTGTGTCTCTAACCCACAGGGATGAAGATGCCGCGGTGTGTCTGTGTGTCTGTAATGCAGCTTTAAAGAGGAGTGAAGCACTGACATAGGCTGCAACTTGGATGAGCCTTGAAAACATTGGGTGACTGAACTGAGGGAGACACGGAAGTCTACATCCCTAATTGTCCCATTGACACGAAGCACGCAGAGCAGGAAAATCCCAGATCACAGGAGGTCAGGGGAAGGGAAACACAGAGTGACCGCTTAATGGAGGTGAGGTTTCCTTTTCTGTGATGAAAATGTTCCCAAACCAAATAGTGGAAATGGTTGCACAGCATTGTGAATGTGTAAAGTATCACTGACCCATACACTTACCAAGGGCTGAAATGGTAAGTTTTATGTTATGTGTATCTCAACACAATAAAAATGAGTGCCACATTTTGTTTAGCATATCAATGACAATAACAGTTCAGGTAAATGCTGGATTCCTCATCACAACCAGTGCTTCCTGATGGAGCTGGATTCAGGGGAGGGACTGGAGTGGGTTGGGTGCACAGGTCATGAAGGCAGCAAAAATTCCAACCCACTCCTCAAGAGTCCAGTCACCACCTCCAGATCTATGTCCAAAAAACAGCTCTTCCTATGGCTGAGCTACATGAGCAACAAGCAAATAACCATGTTTTTTGTTGTTGTTGTTTAGTTTTGTTTTGCTTTGTTTTTAGACAGAGTCTCGCTGTGTCACCCAGGCTGGAGTGCAGTGGTGCGATCTCAGCTCACTGCAATCTCTGCCTCCTGAGTTCAAGTGATTCTCCTGCCTCAGCCTCCCTAGTAGCTGAGACTACAGGCACTCACTACCACGCCCAGCTAATATTTGTATTTTTAGTAGAGACAGGGTTTCACTATGTTGGCCAGGCTGTTCTTGAACTCTTGACTTCGTGATCCACCCGCCTCAGCCTCCCAAAGTGCCGGGATTACAGGCGTGAGCCACCGCGCTCAGCCACAACCATGTATTTTTAAGCAAAAGACACAGTGAGGGGACATCAGTGTGAGCCCAGACACAAACCTCCCTATGCGGGTTCACAGGACAGCATGGGGTGCTGAGGACAGAGGTGGGCACTCAGGAACCAGCAGGGAAACCCAGGGGGCGCTTGGCACTTCATGGGGGCTCAGGACCATTGTGGGCTCAGTGGTCAGGCAGGCTCAAGGCTCAGCCTCAGGGCAGGTGCAGCAGGCGGGGAAAGGCCCTGGAGACTGGGTTTAGTGTCACCTTCTCATTGCGCCACTGGACACCCTCCACTACATCTATTCTAATGTGTATGAGTACTTATGAGTTTAGAAAATAACATTGATATTATAAATCTATAGCCATATGTGGGTGCATCAAGTTACCCTCTTCAACCTATGTGGACCCTGTTCATCAGGAATAAGTCCCTGCATTTGAGGACCTTATAAATCAATAATTATGTAGAATCACTTTCTTTTTCAGTCTCATTTCCTCCCTCTTTCTCTCTCTCACACACACTGACAAACACGCTGGTTGCTATAACTTTAATTACCTGATGTGTTAAAAAAAATTGATTCATTTGGAACTTAACCAGTTTAGCTGTTGTTCACGCTGTTATGTAAAAAAGATCCCTAAATGACTTCTACCTGGTAAGAGGAGGGAAGGCGTTGGAAGGTGAAATTGCAGGAGAAAAAGAAAATCGTGAAACGGATTGATTTGTTTTCTCTATGAATGGTGATTAGGTCAATATTTTTCAAACGGTGAACATATTGTGTGAAGATTATTTGTCAATATTATCTCATTAAAACTATTACAAATAAAAGTGTATAATTTGGTAAAAAAAATGAAGAGAGAAATAAAAATAATACAAGAAAAGTCATGAACTCCTGACTCCACACGTGAGTTAACCCTCAGTTTTTCTATGTTACTTAGAAAAACACTAAGATACAGCCAAAGAATATCATGATATCTTTATAAGAAGAGGGTTTTGTAACCCTCACTCGAAATTTCTAGCTCTGTCCTAGAGTTAATTTAGGGAGCAGTCAGATCCAGCTGTGAGAAACACGGGCCAGACAGTGAGACTGGCTTTTACCAGATGTGAGCTCTTAGACATGTCACATGGCCCTTCCGTGCTTGGGGGTTTACCTTCACATCTGTAAATGAAGGAAACTTTGACTCCCACAGAACATAATTCATGTGCATCTATAAGTAGAAATGCTAATGAGAATTAATTATTTATGAAGTATAATCACTCGCATCCACTCTGGGACACAGCCTACTCTGAGGCATCCCTTCCAGAAGTCACTATATAGTAGGAGACATGCAAATGGGGTCCTCCCTCTGCCGATGAAAACCAGCCCAGCCCTGACCCTGCAGCTCTGGGAGAGGAGCCCCAGCCCTGAGATTCCCACGTGTTTCCATTCAGTGATCAGCACTGAACACAGAGGACTCGCCATGGAGTTTGGGCTGAGCTGGGTTTTCCTTGTTGCTATTTTAAAAGGTGATTCATGGATCAATAGAGATGTTGAGTGTGAGTGAACACGAGTGAGAGAAACAGTGGATTTGTGTGGCAGTTTCTGACCAGGGTGTCTCTGTGTTTGCAGGTGTCCAGTGTGAGGTGCAGCTGGTGGAGTCTGGGGGAGGTGTGGTACGGCCTGGGGGGTCCCTGAGACTCTCCTTTGCAGCCTCTGGATTCACCTTTGATGATTATGGCATGAGCTGGGTCCGCCAAGCTCCAGGGAAGGGGCTGGAGTGGGTCTCTGGTATTAATTGGAATGGTGGTAGCACAGGTTATGCAGACTCTGTGAAGGGCCGATTCACCATCTCCAGAGACAACGCCAAGAACTCCCTGTATCTGCAAATGAACAGTCTGAGAGCCGAGGACACGGCCTTGTATCACTGTGCGAGAGACACAGTGAGGGGAAGCCAGTGAGAGCCCAGACACAAACGTCCCTGCAGGAAGACAGGAGGGGCCTGGGCTGCAGAGGGCGCTCAGGACACATTAAGAACACAGTAAACTCAGGGACCAGGTGCCCAGGGAGGTTAAGGGCTGGTTTCCTTTCAGAGACTTAGCTGTTTCTCCATCTAACAGTTTCCCCAGAACCCTGCCTAGATTTGTGATCTGTATCTGCTCAAACTATCTGTGTCACCTTCCTCACCTGTGACTTTGAGGAAGCTTAGTGTGGACATTCCAGTGGGTGGAGAGATCTTGGTGACAGCAATTGTGTGTTCTGTCTAGGCATGTCTATGGCTGGCCATCAGGAACGACAGGCTGGAATTCTTGGAAAGAGGCACACCTGCCATCCATCAGGAAATTTTGTTGTCTTCTGTTCTGCTAGAATTAAATCAGGCACGCCCAGGTTAACTACTACTATCTTCCTAGCTTGAGAAAATTAATGGTGGGCTTGAATAACACCTATATGAAATCATCAGAGCAACACCTAGATTCGAGTCTCATTTAATAATTGAGACTATGTTCTAGCCAAGGAGACACATAAAACTGGTGATTGCCGTGGTCAGTTCATATCATATATTTGTCAGTAGAATCTGGCTGGTATTATGAACAGCTTTGCCAACACATGTGTTAGTGTTGGTCTTCGGAGAAGCACATTCTATGAATGGATTAGGTTTATGTACAGTTTCCTAAGGAACCGGTCCACGCTTTTGAGAGGAAACGCAGAGCGGGTGGAAGGAGGCTGGGGAAGCTGAAGGCATATGAGGGAAGTTGGTCCCTGAGTGAAGGAGAGAGGGAGGATAACTCAGTGGAACTTCCTTAAACTGTGCTGTTCTAGGAAGGTCCAGCAAGTCACTGTATCTGAGTCATGTCAAAGTTTCCCATCGGGGACCCCCGTGACTCCCAGCAGTGGCTCTACTCAGATCAGCGCGGAGCTCATTGTTCTCCTGAGAGTGGAGCACAGGACGTGGCCCCAGCACCAGCCGTGGCATGCACATCAGAGTGCAGCCCCAGGCGCATGGCTCAGGTGCACTGTGCTCCCTGCAGGTGGAGGGAGGGAAGACCTGACTCAGAACCCATATGATGTGGGTTCCATACAGAACACAACTTTTACTTAATTTCTGTGGATGACATAGAAATAAACATACAGTCTGTAAACAATGGTGATTCCTACATTTACCTTGAGAGCTTTATTCTTTGATTCTGCAGAATGTCCTGGCATGGTGTTGCCTTTCTCATGTGGAAGTGTAACATAAGTTGAGGACATGTGTTCCCCACTTTCATTGTTTTCCTCCATGTACAGAGATCCTGAGTGGAGTACAGCTGACCCTCCTTCCACACTGTTCCTCTCCTCCCCACGGGAACAGCAGATAATTACCTGAGGCTGAATCTGAGGTGGGATATGTCCTGTGCACCTCAGAGCCTGCAGAGACCCCCGGCTGCAGATTCATGGAGTCAGGTGTTTGTGCATGTGGGAATCTCGAGCTGTGCTGTTGTCAGTGAATGCTGCTTAGAACTAATTGCAGGATTCAGAATTAGGAGACCCCCTGATCTATCACACCTCAGCTCATTCTGCCACTCATCATCTTCAGAAATTCTGAATATGGTTCAGTTTACATTTTTGTGATGTACTGTTCTCATTTCATTTAGTCATGAGTTTGGTCAGCAGAAAGTGCTACCATTTATGTGTCCCAACCTGATGAAGCTAATTTGCTTCACGAGAAGTTAGGAGGCTCCTGAATCTTATCCTAAGCCTGTCTCTCTGCACTTTCCTTTAAAATTCAGTTTTACCTGGAATTCTGTTGTGTTGATTTAGCCAGTTTTCCCCATACTGAGTGTCTGATTTTCCTGGATATCTGATCAGTTTCCTTGTCCTTCACCATAACTTGGGTGACATCTGATCACCCTGGTCTAACTTCAACAAAAATCCTGGCAGGCTGCCCTAAGCAGGATTTACCTCACTCCTGATGTTTCTTCTTGGTGATTTTCCATCCTGTGCCCCAACCCTGCTGTATGCCTATAAATCCTCACGTTCTCATTCTGTATTTGGAGTTCTGCTGAATCTCTCCCCCACTGCAAAATCCCACTGCCCTGGTCCCTACACCTATCATGAGGGCCCTGGATGAAGTCTTCCTTACTGTGCTGGAACAAGTGTCTTCATATATACATTTTTTCTTTAACAAATCAACCTTTAGTATTTCCTAATTGATCAAAGGACCTCAAACATTGCATGAAAGCGAGGATCTCCATTTTACTATAAGGGGTGTTTTGTGAATTTCAGTTTCCATGTGTGGTGTCCAGAAGTCCTGGGCACCAACGGTTGTGCTTCTCTGTCCAATTCTTTGATTCTGAAACCCGGGAGTCATCTGAACATGAGTAAATAGGTGACTTTTTTCACTATTTAGTGACTGCCTTATTTCATTTACCCTGAAGCTTCACGAACACATTGATGAAAAGTAGATAGAGAACTTGTTTGGAAATGCAAGATTTATAGTAGACGTAATCACCTACATGATTCTGGAGGTCTTCTTAGTGTTCCAAGAACCAGATGTTTTTCCCACCACAGGACAAAGATGAGAACCTCCACGCTGTGAGGATAGAGGACAGGCAGGGCAAAGATGAGAACCTCCACGCTGTGAGGATAGAGGACAGGCAGGGCAGTGTGAGGACAAAAGGGGCTGTGGTCACGTCCAGGGTGTTCTCTCCTAGCAACGCCTCCAGCTCTTTCCTCACTCTGTGGTATTTGTCAGATGGGAAACATACCTCAAATTTATATTTGACATATTGATGGAAGTCCAGGCAAGAGGCATCTGAAAGCTTATTTCTGAACCTGCTTCTGTAAGGAATGCCCATATCCCTTGGTCTCTTTCCTCTTTCTTAACTCCATTGGCTCCCTTCCCCTCCTGCACACACCCACTGACGTTTATGGCCACTTCCCCACACCCTTCACTGTAGTACCATTTTC